>NC_000002.12:6070606-6373636 GCF_000001405.40 Homo sapiens | reverse complement strand
AGAGGTTTAATTGGCTCACAGTTCTGTAGGCTTTACAGGAAGCATGGTGGTGCTCAGATCTGCTTGGCATCTAGGGAGGCCTCAGGAAGCTTCCATTCATGGCAGAAGGTGAAGACAGAGTAGGTATGTCGTGTAGTAAAAGCAGGAATACGCAAGAGACAGAGTGGGGGGCGGTGCCAAACACTTTTAAATGACCACATCTCATATGAATTCAGGGCAAGAGCTCACTTAATCACCAAGGGGTTGGCCCAAACCATTCATGAGGGATCTGCCCCCATTATCCAAATCCCTCTGCCAGTCTCCAACATTAGGAGTTACACTTCAACACGAGATTTGAGTGGGGACAAATATCCAAACTATATTAAGAAGAAACGCAGCAGTTCCCAATTTTGTCTCTCATCACCCTCCCACACACCAAATCATATATGTGAGGAGTACTTTTATATGCACAACTTGCCCTATTTAGAACTGTTCTGGAATGAGTGCATTTCCCATAGTACTATCTAAAATTCCATCCCCTGCAGTTCCCTTCAAGAAACCACATGACAGTATCAATAATGCATTGCATTTTAGGAATAAAGTTAAATATTTTCTAATTTATTTTAACCATTAATAAACTGTTCTTAACTCTTTTTATAACAATAATTTTTAGATCAGTTCACAAGTGATTACAACACACACGGCAGCAAGATGGATAATTGCTGTCCTAATGCATACATTACACTAAACATTATTACATACAATGATATTGCCAAGGATTTAAAATTTTGATCAGCAGTTTCAGGAAGCTAGGAGCTTTTAACTAAATGGATGAATCATGGAGAAGAGTCCCGCCATTTCTCGTTCAAGATTGGTGACTCAGTGTCAGTGGGACATGAGACTTCTATGATCTGACCTTAGAATGACCCCTTTTTATGGTGGAACAAGGTTTTAAGCAAGGCCATTCCCCTGGAGCCATAAAGGATTGACTAGGGAAGATTGCACTGAGCTTTGCTATGAACAGGGCTGCTGCATTTTTGTGATTTTTCCCCAGTCTGTGGTTTTTCCTGAGCCTGTATCCAGACAGTGGTCATTCCAAGTCCAGCTTTGCTGTCTGTTACAGCTTCTGTTTGACTATGTCTTTATACTCTTGCCTTATTAAGTTATAAAACTGTTTATTGCTTTATTGTCTCAGCTCAAAGGTGAATAACAAAACCCCAAGCATATGTCAGCCTTGGAAATTTAGTATTGACCTTCCTGGGCCCTCAGTGCCTGCTCATTTCCTATACCTAGCATTTACGTTTCCAATGCTTCATCTACACCTTCATTCACTACTACCTATATGTCATTTGCCTTATTATCTATGGTACGTATACTGAGTTCTAGTAAAATAGTATTTCAAGTGCAAGTTTACACATTCCTTATATTAACTTTAATTCAATACTTGCCATTTCTTTTTTGCTTCAGAACCAGGAGTTGAAAATATTTCCATTTGTCTTTTAAAGAGGTTATAAAATTGTCACAAGGACATGGGACATGCTGGCTATTTTTCCCTTTTTACTATTTTATAGCATCCAATTAGGTGGATAATAAAATTCTTATTTTTCCAATGAGTAGTCCAAGACTTCACGAATAAAAGTACCATGCTTAATGTCACACTACTAACAAGCGGCAGGACCAGTGTTTAAATGTAAATATATCTTATTTCAAAATTTGTTTGTTTTACCAAATTTTGTAGCTCCTTCCAAGACTCCCAACCTTCACCTTTTCTTTCTATCCCTAAGAATACATATGATTTTCACATACGAAGTTCGTTTATAACCTTTTGCTAATTAATTAGTGAAAAAAGATGCAATGAATTTTGCAAAATGTCATGCAAAAAATGAAGCAGGAACAGACAATTAGGAAATATTAAACCATGGTTAGTAGCATTGCATATCAGCATTGGTTTGATTGTAATTTCATTGTTCTGGACTCTCGCTTGTTTAGTTGGTGTCCCTGAGGCCTGCAGTCCTTCCAGGTGCTGAGAGTGGAGCTTCCCAGGCCTTCATCCTCTCCAGGACCTCAACCTTCCTCGTTCCATGTACAGACATAGAGCCCTTTCCACTTCCTTTTTGTAAGAAATAGTATTCTTTCCCACAGGTGAGACCTGGAGAAACATTTGAGTCCTCTTTGATCATATCCTTAGTCATTTCCCACTTCTGATAATGTGTTTGTAAGATTAATATGAGAACTTCAGTAAGACTGCACTTGCAGGGGTGCAGCTACATACACCAAGCTTCTATGTCACTGGTGAGGAATCCACAAAGCACTGACATGAGTGGAGTGATTTCCATTTCTCTTCAGCAGCGATCTCGTGTCAAAGACCATCTGGCAATTCAAATCCTGAGTTATTAAGGCTAAAGAATTATGGCCATATCTAGTTTCTATGCACAGACTTTCCCTGAGTAGAAGGCTCAATTAATTACCAGATCAAAATTGGGCTGGGATTTGCTTTGTAAACTGCTAAGCAGTTTAACTGGGTTGTAGAGAAAGACTCTATATGACATTAAATGACCTTCCTAAAAGCTTATTTCTCCCCCAACTGCTCATGTTGGAATCAATTTCAGGAGTCATTCACAATGAGTGGTTTATTAGCTTTCTCAATGCATTTACTACATGCCAGATGTCCAGCTCACACCAGCCTGCTGCTTGCCTTTCACTGACCCCTTCGATGGATGCTACGGACTTGGATCCACTGCCAAGGAAACACGTCACAGAGCAGTGTGTGGTTGGCATACTAAGCTCCACCAAGAAAGAAGACATCACCCAGGTGTGGGCAAAAGGGATGATATTACCAAGCAAGGTCATAATGATGACACAAAATAGATTTTTCCCCGTTGAATTTAGAAATACGTTGTGTCCTCAGACCTCTCAGTGTGTTTCAAGCGTTGAAAAATCCCTTTGATTGGAACCAAATTGATTAAAACTAAATGTAGAAAAGACCTTCTTGACAGTTCCAGGGCTATTCTATAGCTGGCTTGAATTTGATTTTTAAAAAACATCTCATTAATCCAAAGTGTTCTGCATAAGAGATCTGTACATCTGTTTTTTCACTTATATGATTGAATAATTATCATTTATTTTCAGTAGGTCATTCTGAACAAAATGCAAGTTAATCATTAAATGATTTCTACATTGGAACATGACATATTTTGATAAAAAGGCATGGCTTAAATAATACTTCTTATCAAGCAAGTTTCTTGATTCTTTAATTGTTTTACTAATAGAACTAACAATTGCCCAGATTTTCATGAAAAGAAAAACAGCAAATCATTGGTTTTCTATATTGCCTTTCTATGTGCATATGACAATGTAGCCATTGTTCAGATTCTCCTAAAAAGTTTAATTGACAATGACATCAAAATTATTCAAATATTCTTAAAAAATATGTGTGTGACAGTATAAGCAACAGTAGAACTGGTCAAAATAATTATGGATTATTAAATATTTACTATGAAATAAATGCAAATGCATTCAAAATACATAGAAAAATATTGGTTAAATATAATTTTGCAATAAAGATGACAAATGCTTTATTTGTGCTTTTTATTATGTTATTACTATAATAAGAAGCACAAATATAAAATATGTATTTATTTTGTAGAAATATATTATAAAGGGAAAAGGTAGACATCAATAAATACAGGTAAAATGAAACATCCACAGAATGCAAATAAATACAAATGCAACATTTCTAATATCAAACATCACATCTGAATGTTTTCCTGATGTCACAATGAGACATTTTCTTTATATCTGTTGGATCTAATAAAATGCAATAGTTAATAATCATATTTTTTGGATGGCATGGGGTAAACTGAATTATGTAGTTAACCATAATGAGCATTGTTAGACTATTTCTAAATTTCACAGGGAAACAAATTACTTTGTTGGTTGCCAAATTGCAACCAACACAAGTACTTAGTCAAAACTCCTTAATGGTGATGATAAAAAATTTGGAAATTATTCAGATTAATTTGAATAAGTTAAAAATGTTTTTCAACAACAGTAAGAAAACCACATGTATATAAAACAACATATCTAATAGATATGTAATATAATTATAATATAATATATGTAATATACGTGTACTGACTCATGCAATTGTGGAGGCTGAGAAGTTCCATAGTCCATCTGCAAGCTGGAAAACCATCAAAGCTGGTGGTGTAATTCGGTCCCAGTCCAAAGACTTGACCGGGAGCTCTGATGCCTGAGGGAGGGCACAAGATGGAAGTCCCAGCTCAAAACAGAGGGAAAATTCACCCTTCCTTTACATTTTTGTTCTATTCAGGTCCTCAGGGGATTGGATGAGGGCCTTCAACATTGGTGAGGATAGATATTGTTTGCACAGTCTACCAATTCATGTGCCAATTTCTTCCAGAAACACCCTCACAGATATACCCAGAAATAATGTTTTACCAGCTGTCTGGGCATCCCTTAGACTAGTCAAGTTGACACATAAAATTAAACATCACTCCAAGTAAAACTAGTTTTGCCTTCTCTTGAAATGTTTAAGGAGAGAAAGGTAACATTGAGCAGAACGATGTAGAGGAAAGGGCCATGCACATCACAAAAGCCTATCAATAACATTTGTGAGCCGCCACTTAATTGTCTGCAAAATGGATGGCATGGCGGGGTTGTGGTGAAGCATAGATTCAACATACAAACATGACCTCGCTTTGCACCATGCATCTAGATCCTTAATAATAATAGTGAGATAAAGATTACTTATATCAAACCATTCTTGGAGTTTTCCCTGACTCTGGTCAGTGAAGTCAATCCTAGCTTAACCTCCTAGTCCTGTTTCCCTTCCTTGCTCTCCATGGAATGGTGGACCTTGCAAGACATGGTCCTCATGGCCACATGAAACACAACCATGAGAAAAAGAGAGGTGAAGAAAGGCAGGAGGTAATGGGCCTAGGAGTGCAGAAGGTGAGGTAGGCCATGTGGGTTCAGGAAAGGCATGAATGTGACTATCGTATATGAAGAAAGATAGGAGAGAGAAGACCTAAGCATAATTGCTGTGGTCTGCTTACATTCTTTATGCTGTTTGTGAAAAGGAAGCGAAGGGTAAACTACTGTAAAATTGCTTTTTGTTCCTGGAACATAGTCTTTGGGATTCAACACTGCTCTGAGGCTGAGCTATGCAGATAGTGACTTCACTAGCAAAAAATGCATACAGTCATTATTTTCCAGAAGGACTTAACTGTACTTCTATCTTCTGCTTTGACATACATGGAGTAGACCTTTCCCATTCATTTTTCTTTTCTTTTTCTTTTTCTTTTTTTTTTTTTTTTTGAGACATTGTCTTACTCTGTCACAGGCTGAAGTGCAGTGGCACGATCTCTGCTCACTGCAACCTCTGCCTTCTGGTTTCAAGTGATTCTCCTGCCTCAGCCTCCCGAGTAGCTGGGATTACAGGAGCCCACCACCATGCCTGGCTAGTTTTTATTTTATTAGTAGAGATGTGGTTTCACCATGTTGGCCAGGCTGGTCTCAAACTCCTGACCTCGTGATCCACCCACCTCGGCCTCCCAAAGTGCTGGGATTACAGGTGTAAGCCACTGCGCCCGGCCTCCCATTCATTTTTCATACCCAGATCCTTCTTATCTCAGAAAGTCCAACTACCATGCCTTCCACGATGCTCTCCGTCCTGGATTTATCTATCTGATGGAAATATTTTGCACAAACTTCCTTTGTGTTTGATCTGTACCTATCTATAATCAGATTCTTCAGAGAAGAGCCTGAGATGGAAGTTAGGGTGCGTGTGGTTCATCAAAGGAAGGACTGTGAACAGGAGAAAGGGAAGAGACATTAGTACTGGGCAGGGGAGGAGCCAAGGACACGTGTGTTTTCAGCAGGACTCTGCCTCTGGCCTCCTCACATAGTGTGTTCTGGAAGATGAACTGTGTCTTGAGTTGGTCCATCCTCAAGGCAAGGAGGTCAGGCTCCCTTGTTGGTCCATGGGCTGTGGGCTTTATGCAACCTCCTGGGAAATAAAGTCAGTCTTCCATGTGGCTGAAAGCGGTTCTCTGGGGAGACAGCACCTACCCAGGAGCAGCCAATACACACGAACCTAACCCGGAGGGTCCTGACACCTTATTAATAGCATCCATTACTGACTTTTCCTGATGACCCTTCTCACGTTTCACCTTGTGTTATATGAATTCACATTTCTGTCATATTTATACTAAATTGTGAGTTCCTTGAGGTCAAATTAAGTGAAATATTTATCATTGAAATTTTCGCAATACCTAGCCTTGCTCCTGGATAACATAGCACTGGAAATAACTTTGAAATTGCTTACCAGGACTTAATTTTTAACTGGATGGGGCTCTAGAATATAATTTCAATTCATTCTGTCCTACTATGGAACAGATCATTACTATTCACGGGGAAACTTCCTGAAAGTCCAGAAATGGGCAAAATTCCTAACACTGATATAACCAGATTTACCAAGGTGTATGAGTATCAAAAAACAAGGGTAGGTTAAGAAGGGCGTGGGCTAACTAGGCTTAGTGACTTTTTCCTACATATTAGACTTACGGTGTAAAGTTAATATCCAGGCCTTAACAAAATGACACATTTCTACACATTGTGAACCTTCCGGATTCCTATACAGTCTGATTTGGAAATATTAAATCTGTGAATGCCATGTGTTTGGTAGGCATAATTGTTAAGTTAATAAATGATGCATAAAACGGAATAATATATTGTAAATACATGTGTTAAAAACCTTTGAAAGAGCATTGAGTATAAAAATGAAAAGGAAACCTGAGAATAACTGTATTATTCACACTTCCCACTCATCGCTGGTTTTTCCAGTCTCATTGCTTCATATGCCCTCTGTATTCTGAGGCCCCCCAGGTTTATGTCTCCTTCTTCTATAGCTAATCTATGCTATTAAGTATGCAGACATAACTTCCCCCAAATGAAGCTCTTGATCTTCCCCACAAACCCTGACATCTTGTGTTTTTTACCATCTAAGTCTCGGCAAATCTAATCCTAGTACCTCAAGTCACAAAAGCTGGGGATTATCCCTGACTCCTGTCTTTTTCTCACACTGAATATTCAATTCTTATACAAGCTGTAGGTGTCACCTTCAAAACATGGACAGATTCCAACCACTGTTTCCATTACACTGTCACCTCCACAGTCCAAGCCATCATCATCTCTCTTGGATGACTGCAATAATCTTCCTGCTTTTACCCAGTTTGTCTTTAACCTACTTCACAATGTTTTTAATACAGTCCCCAGAATGTTCTTGTTAAAATATAAGTCATAGCATTTCACACATCTGCAAAAAAAAAGTTACCTTTTGCATGAAAATATACTTTCTCTACTTATTTGGTTATTTACTCATAAATTCATCTTATATACCTGTATTGATTATTTTCAATACCAAGTACTAAAAACTCAAGGAAGACTAAAACAAAATTATTCTTTTGCAGAGTCATGCTGTATTATCCAGAATACTTATGTGTCTCCATACCAGAGATTGACCACCCAAACTTCTTCATTTATAAAAAGCTTCTCCAAGTACTTGATTGCTTGAAATTGGACTATAGTAGCTTCAAGAAACACTTATAAACATTAGCCAATTACAGAGTATTTTGTTATGTTTGAGGTTTTATAAATACCTGACCATCCAGGGACTTAAAATCCTGTTGGTGGCAGAGACCATCAATATTAAAACACTTATTTTCACAGACATTTATGAGTTACTAATTTTGTGCTAGGAATTGTACTAGGTAAAAGGGGATATAATGATAATGTCATGCCTTGACTTTGTTGTTAAGAAAGTTTTAGCCTAGTTGGGAAGAAGGCAGGTTTATATAATACATTTAGAGCAGTGGTTTTCAACTCTGACTATACATTGAAGAATCCAGTTAGGAGTTTAGGAAACTTCAACATCTGGGTCTCACCATCAAGATCTTACTTGGTCTGAGATGTGACCCTTGAATTAATTTTCTTGAAAGCTTTCTAGGGGATTCTATAACGATGCAGGATGGAGAGAGGGAAAAGTATCCAGTAACGAATGAATCATTGCTTTGCCTATTCTCATTGTTGTGCACAATATGTCTTCCTGACTTTGTCAAGGAACAAATAACTCATAAAATAACATGATCCTGATGGACCAGAATGTGGTAAGGTCCACATTCTAATGAAAAGAACATTATGAAGCGTCTTACATACAGAATACATAATAATTGTCACATTTTTGGCCATTAATAAATACTTTCCAAATATATGAAAAGATTCAGGAAACAACTATTAATTCTTGAATCTGTAATTTATAATCTGATCTTTTTAAGAAGTGAAGAAAGTACTTTAGAGTCCTCTGGGTCATTACTACAAGCCTCATATCTCATTTAACAAGTGGAAAAGAAGTGAAAAAATGACCTGAATTATTACAAACTGACCACACACACATGCACACAATCACACACATGCATGCACACACACACACCCTATATGCTCTTTTAAAGATAGAAAGAGAAAAGAAGTTCTATTTTTCAGAGATTTTTTTCATGACTCTCTCTCATTTTGACTTTTTAACTGTTTTATGAAATAGGCATTCTTATTTTAATTTTGCAGATCAAGAAATTCAAGAAAGCTTAAATAATTCATGTAGCTTCTCATAGCTAATAAGAGTCAGAACTAAAATTTTAAATTAAATTATTAATAGATTTTTTACTTTTTCACAGATTTTTCTTATTAAAAATTGTTTACAGGAAAATTACAGTGATTTGCATCATTTTGATGATGAGTACACAGTACTTACAGAAATTTAAGTAGTGTTGTTTTGTTTTGTTCATTATTAATTTTTTTTTGAGTTGGAGTCTTGCTATATTGCCCAGGCTAGTCTTGAACTCCTGGCCTCAAGTGATCTCCCACCTCTTCCTCCCAAAGTGCTGGGAATACAGGTAAAAGCCACCACACCTGGCTCATTTTGTTCTTTAATCAGGACATCACAAAATACATTGGCTCACTAATTTGCCAAATGGAGCCTTGCTGGAACCAAAAAGCCCTCCTGTCTTCCAAAACGATAAACTCATTCCCAAGGGGAATCTCAGCCATAGGCAACTGGAAAGCAGAAATTCTTCTGATTGTATTCTAGACAGAGTCGACCTGGAATTAAAAGTCTCAAGCTTCTTTGAATTAGGCACTTCATGCAGAGTTTTGCAAAGCACTCTTAAGATTTTTGAAGCGATGTACTGGTTTCTGGTGGAACCCTCCTTTGTGTTGTTGTTTCTTTTAATTATTCATGAGAAAGTCATGTTGTTGATAATTGATTCGTTTTTACAAACAGATTATTGGGAGGTAGTATCCTAAATATTGTAAAAGATGAAAACAGCAGGGTGTTCAGATCACTTTTGAAATAGCAGCATCTAATCTTAATTTCTTTCTATGAAGGTTACAAAAAGAATATGAACACAATTCATTTAGTAAATTAGTGGCAATAAATATAAAGGTTTATACCCCCAGTGAGAAATTAGTTGTTTCAGGCATCTAAAGGAACTTAAATTGTTAAACACTCATGGCATCTAAAAGGGCCAAACTTGTGCTTACAAGGAGATGAGAAGTAATGTTGTCATCAAAGTCTAGGTTTGAAAAGGAAGCATTGAGAACATTTTGGAGAAACATCCAAATGAAGATAAAAGAGGGTAGTCTGATTCTCTATTTGAGTATAGGAGAATTATTTGATCCTCTGGCAACCCAAAGAGAAAGGATCATTTTAAAGAACTTTCAAGATGCTGCACTTTTCTTTATTTGAAGTATTTCAGTCCAAACCATTTATTAAAAGCAAAACTCTATGTGATTGGCCAACATGCAAATATGTCTTATCAGTAGAGACATGCATACAATTGTAAGTTCATTCATTCAGGTAACAATTATTTATGGAATTCTCACTTGATCCCTGGTTCCTACTGGGCACTGGTAATAGAAATGCTAGATAATAGAGACTTTGTTTCTTTCATCAAGAAACATACTAGCTAGTGACCAAATCTTTTAAAATGATAGTTTCAAAGGAAAAAAATCATATGAAGTTTGCAATCATCACGTGAATATAACAAGTAAATGTGGTCTGTTCATTATCCCTATATGAAGACAAATTCCACACAATATATTTTTCCGGAATAAAATTATTTTTTCTTTCTACCCTGTTAGATTATCAACTCTTTCAGAATAGTGATTTTATATTCCAGATTTAACTGTCATTTGTGTACTGTAAATGTTCAGAAATGGTAGTTAAATGAAATAGAAAGAGTGAGAAAAAAGTCCTTTTGGTTTATTTGGTTTTTGTTTGGTTTTGTTTTTGAGACACAGTCTCATTCTGTGGCTCAGACGGGAGTGCAGTGGTGTGTTCATAGCTCACTGCTTACAAAAAGGTTGGGATTACAGGCATGAGCCCCTGCGCCCAACCGAAACTTCTTGCCTTCAAGAAGAGTTGCTGTTCAACGGGCATAAAGTTTCAATTATAAAAGCTGAATACGTTTTAGAGATCTGCTGAACAATATTGTTCCTATAGCTAATAATACTTTATTCTGCACTTAAAAATGGATTCAGAGAGTAGAACTCATGTGAAATGTATGCTATGGTCTGAATCATAGTGTCCCCCTGAAATTCATCACGGTGAAACCAAACTCCCCACATAAAGTGGAAGTTTTGGGAGGTGATGAGATCGTGAGGGTGGAGCCCTTGTGAATGGGACTAGTGTCCTTGTAAAAGAGGATCCAGAGACAGCTGTCTTGCCCCTTCCACCATGTGAGAACTCAGTAAGAAAGCACTGTCTATGAACCCGAAAATGGCCCCTCACCAGACACAGAATCTGCGAATCTGCCGGCACTTTGATCTTGGACTTCCAGCTTCCAGAACTGTAAGAAATAAATTTCAGTTGTTTAAAAGCATCTAGTTGATGGCACATTGTTATATAAGCCGGTACAGGCATAAACAGTGTTCTTAAGACAACAATAAAAATGTAATAGATCGGGGAGAACAAATGCACGAATAATGCATTATAAACAGTGAGATTGGAGTTAAGGAAGCGTACGTGATGTAGGATCAGGGACAGGCAAACTCTGTGTGTGTGTGTGAGAGAGAGAGAAAGAAACAGAGATAGATAGACAGACAGACATACACATACACACAGAGAGAGAGAATTTCATAGGGGAGATAACTTTTGAGCAGATTTATTAACAATGAGAATAAATTTCAGGCAAAGAGAAGAATATACATTGTCCCAAAGGTCAAAATGCTGACACATTTTCCTGAGTCCAGGAAGCTTCTTTGTTTTTTGTTTGTTTGTTTTTGCTTTTTTTTTTTTTTTTTTTTTTTTTGAGACGAAGTCTCACTCCATTGCCCAAGCTGGAGTGCAGTGGTGTGATCTTGGATCACTGCAACCTCCAATTCCAGGGTTCAAGCGATTCTCCTTCCTCAGCTTCCCGAGTAGCTGGGACTACAGGCACGCCTAGATAATTTTTGTATTTTTAGTAGAGACGGGGTTTCACCATGTTGGCCAGGCTGGTCTTGAACTCCTGACATCGTAATCCGCCCACCACGGCCTCGCAAAGTGCTGGGATTACAGGCGTGAGCCACCGCACTCGGTCCCCCAGGCAGCTTCTTATGGATGGACATGAAAACATTATCATCTAAATCATCATCACCCTGAGGGTTCTAAGATATATTGGTTTTTGATTTGTGTTTTATATGTTTTTCTATAACTCAGTAGAAATAAAGCCTACCTGGATTAGTTTGCTGATTTCTCCAGCAGTGTTATTTTCTCTTAAAATTAGGGCTTAGATATGGAAACGTTGCTAATGTAAAAGTTGCTGATATATTATCGTAGTATTTCATGGGATGGGCTTTGGGATGCCATTGAACTCAGTCTTCAGTGGTCAGGACTCTCCATTCTTGAAAGCTAAATGGAAGGTGATCATACATCTCCGGACATTTTCTGGCACTGTTGATTTGGTGGTGTGCTGATGATGTAACTAGTAATACATAATAATTATGACTCCAGAAGCAGAAGACTGTTCCTACAGTCTGGCAAAGACACAGGAACAGGGTTGGATTAGGATGACGTATCATAATTTTATACCTTCATGCAGAAAATAACATTTAAAAAGTGCTTCTCCAATAGCTGTGGCTGAGAATTCTCTGTTTCCTGGAGGCAGTCTGGTAACAACATTTTGCTGAATTTCAAAAGAGCACCTATAAGTAAAGCCATTATATTGACCATGCTAAAAATTTCCAAGCAAGGCGATCACCATACAGTGGCTGTGTTCTGTAAAGCAGGAAGTGCCGCCATCTCTAAAACCCTTCGGTGGATTTCAGGAGGATTAGCTCTTTAGCGGTGTCTTAGACAAGAGCTGGTTGAGGTTGGTTTGTGGTCTGGTGAGCTTTCTGCTTTTGTTCTGTCATTCCCTGGCTCCTTCTCACCCTTGACTGCTGCAGATGAGAAGACTGGGAGGAGGATTATTCTCTGGAGGGTGACGCTGAGCCCCTCTGCCAGCCGCCTGTGGCTTAGGCAGCTGTGCCTCCCAGGGACTTGGTTGGCCATGGCCCACTGGAGCCTGGAGTCTTCAGTTAGGGAGGTGTCAGAGAGGAACCATGCATTCTTGCTGTCATGGGAGGTGCAGGGAAGAACCACTGCAGGGACCTAGAAAGAGGGACCATCACCTCCCCCTTTCCAGCTCCCTACACACACACACACACACACACACACACACACACACACACACGTCTCACACACAAACTTACATAAGCCCACACCCAAATGGGAATCTTTCTGAACCATAATCAGAGACATGATATTTTTAGACTTTGTTTCAAAGGTGTTCCTCCAGGCATCTGCTTCTGCTGGGGCTCTTCTGCTTTTGCTCTCCACAACATTTCCCTCCCCTCAGGCCCCGATCTCCTCCTGCAGACACAGTCAGGCCTCATGCTCTGTGCTTGGTGATGGGGAGAGATGCAGAAGAGCCTTAGGGTCACCTGCTGTTTCAATCCCACCTCCCTCCTTTACTTGCTTGGTGACCTTCAGCAAAGCACTCAGTATCTCTGCATCCCAGTTTCTTCAGCTGTGTTTTGGGGATGACACCACCTACCAACCTCAAGGGTGGTCATGAAGGCTGCATGAGTTAATTTCTATGAAGCATCTTGGAAGTGTCCCTGGCATACAGGGCAATTTCATTCTTTGCTTTGATGAGCAATTTCTGAGCCCATCTTAGTCATGGGAATAAAGATTAGTATCTCTCCCTCCCTCCTAGGGTCTTAGAATAAAGTCCTCACCCTGTCCCAGCAGTGGAGATGCGTGCTCTGCCTCAGCACAGCTGGCTGGGTTCTTTTGTCCCCATCCCTGTGATCCAGTGCCCCAAAGGAGAACTTCCAGACCTCTGTGACGTGGAACACTTGCCTTTGCCATTCTAACCATGCCCAGACTCCAGCCAGTTATGAATGGAGGCTTCACCTTGGCACTACCCCAAAATGTTGATGGCTTGTCCGGGCTTATTCCAGGAGAAGGAGACATTCTGTTCTGAATTTCAGCCCCATGGAGGCTTTTCTGTCTTTTCTTGTTTTCGTCAGACTTTCCTCCAAAAGCAGGAATCATATCTTGACTATATTCATTGATCAAGAATTTCCTGCGCATAGAAAAATCAGAAACACACACACATAAACACACATACACACACACACGATGATCAAAAAATTATTGCTCAATAAAACAATATGCAAATGACATTAAAATGAGGTTTCAAACAATGCCTAGCTGAATAGAGAAAATGCTAATGATATAATTTAAATGAAACAGATAAGATGTAAAATTGTATATTTAACATGGTTTTATGCACTCATGATTAGATGAATAGAAAAACATGGATACTTATTTGGTGGTGAAATCATAGGTCATTTCTATAGTCTTCATAATTTTGTGCTTTTTTCCAACATTTTAAAAGTGAACTTACAGTACTTTAATAATGTGAGACAAAAAAAGCAATGAATAGTGCTATTTTTAGGAAATCTGAATAAAAGCCATTTATATAATCCCTCTGGGGACTTAGCATTATCTATATTCCCCATTCATCAGACTGAAAACCTTCTAACTCTGATATCACTGGAGGAATCCTTTGAAGAACTGCAATGCAAATTCGGAGAATTTGTTGTGGTGCCTGTCTATAAGATGAGGGTGCCTGAAACTCTTATTCCCACCCCCACCCAGGGCTAACTCTTTCTTCATTGACGGGGCTCCCTCCAGCTGCTTATTTTTCATGCTTCCAGTTTATCCCTGAATTCCAAACCTCTTCATCCTTAGAATGGAGGGCAATGGAGGGCGTCTACCTTGAGCCCAGAGTGGAAGTTTGTGTCAGCCCTGTGTGGCCAGGGATGTTTGTCTGGTGGCCAGAGGTAACACGACACATCACTGGGTACTCAGATGAAATGCGCTGACGTCATCAGACTGTGTGACTGACAAAGCCATATGGTTACACCAAAAGGACAGTAGTCTTACCTATTTCTCCTATATTCTGGAATGAGCTTTCCTTTCATTTCCACATCACATAGCCCAGAGATAAAATTATTTTAAAAAGGTCAGGTTGTGCTTTTCTGATATTGCTTATAGGCACTGCAATAAATGAAATCATCTTTAGGTATTAAACTATCAGAAATGAATATTTTGAAAAAAATACACAGAGTGCAAAAATGCACGGGAGGGACACAGTTTGCCCTTTGCCTTCTGGGATTCTAGACTGATCGGTGTTAGAGGGAACAGGAACTCTCGGATTTATTTCCCTCCTCCTGATGAGTTCCTTAGCCCATATGGAATGCTTTCAGTCTGACTCCTGTGCCAGGCAGTTTGCACTTAGGACGGATTGTCTTGGCATCTTTATTGGTTATACACTCCCTCATATTGTGAATGACATGACGTAAAACTTACTGAAGACAGAAACAAAGCATGAAGTGCTCATCACAGTTTCTGTGCTAACCTGGTTGACAGGGGGAAGGTACTGGCAGTGTTGACAAGGAAGGAACTGGGTAGGAAAGAGAGGGCCAGGCTGAGCCAGAGTTTACTGTAGCATAGCCACTGTCCGGCAGTCACATGCTGCCCCGGTGCACATTGGGGGATGCGCCCTTTGACCTGAGCAACTCTTGCAGTGTGCTATCAGGGCTGCAGTTTCCATCACAAGGGAGGAATCGACAGAAGTCCCTGCTTTGGCTCCATCACGGAGCTTATGTGTGTGTTCCTGAGAGAATCCCACCTCTTGGATGCGTTAGCCTCTCACCTCCTGCCTTCGGCTTCCTTCTTGATGCTGCAATTTTGGCACGCCAAAAATATCCTTGCTTAGCACAACCCAGAAGTGAGGGGCTACAAGTGCACAACCCGGAAATGGGGGGCTACATATATCTGATGGATAAACTCTTCCTTTATTCTCTTTGAAAAGGAATGTGCTGAGAAACAATTCCCAGAGCGTCAGTTTCCCCAGGCACCTGGCAACCTGCCTGCACTCAGTGGCTTCCAGCTTCATAGTGCACCTTCATCCTGACGTCTTCTCTTCTGCTGCCCTCTTTTCTTCCCTCAATCTTGCTCCCTAAGGTTGTGCTAAGTCTTCTCGGACTCTGGGAATCTAAGCTAAGAAACTGCTTCCTAGACAGTGCCTTCTTGCTATGTCCTCATGTGGTGGAAGAGACAAGGCGGCTCCCTGCAACCCCTTTTACAAGGGCGCTAATTCTCTTCATGAGAATAGAATTCTATTCATGAGAGTAGAATTCAGGACCTCATCACCTCCTTAAGCCCTCCCCTCTTAGCACCACCAAAGAGCGATTTGGTTTCTATGTGCATTTTGGAGGGGCTCAAGCATTAGAGCACAGCATCAGCATTTTATAATTCCCTCCTTTCCCTGGACAACCCTGTCCTGGCTCCCATACTCAAGCTACTACATCAATTTGTTTGGTTTCTCAGAAATCCCCACTATTTGAAGGACCCATGGGAATATGCAAGCATTTTGGCTCAGGAGGAGAAGTGCAGTCTCAAGGGGGATACCTGGCGCGGGGCTAAAGAGAAGAGGACAGACAACCGTGACTATCTGGAAATCAGAAAAGAGAGAATATTACAATTTGTATAAAATATTTTCATAAATATTATAACATTTTAGACGTTCTCATAAATGACTTCAAGGCATACAGAAATCAGAGTGGCTGAAACCTGAGGGAATCGCTGAGTGTCAGCACATTTGAGTAGACAATGCCAAGTGCCTGGCCAGGCCAAATGGAAATGGTTTGGGGGAGGGGAAGATATTTCAGGGACACAGACTGAAAGTCGACAGGCAAGGCGGTCCTTGGGTGAGAAACAGGAGAGGCTGATGGTGTGGGCCATACCTGGGCTTGTGTTGGAAAATGACTGCCTGGCTGTCTCCATAAAACAGTTGAGTTTTTGCCAAAATAGATGCAACATCTCTCCTAGGTTTCCCTCAGACCTGGTTTAGGGCATGATTTCCCTTAAGCAAATGATGAGGAATGAACGCAGAGGAGAGGATTGCTGTGAGAACTATTTTTCTTGCACATGTGCAGCCTGCGTGTGCCTGAAGACACGTGACACCAATTATGCCTCATTATAAGTAGGAGCCGCTCTAGATCCAAGAAGGAACACGGAGAACAATGGGATAGCACCAGTGTCTGAATAGGAGAAAAGTGATGGCAGGAAGCAACCGTATTATTTAAAGTTTAAATATACTATATTAAGTACTGGAAAAGTACAGCAAAAAGAGCTGAAAAAGTCATGAATCAAGTTATAACATTTTGAAGCACTTGAGGATGCAGTACCAGGACAAGTGCCCCTTCTGACCTGCAGAGTCTGCCTTCATCAAAATCACTTTTTACTATAATGGAGCAGCCTGGAGGTCAACCCTTTTTTCTGGGTCATCCAAAGCCCCCTCATTTTTTCCTCCCAAGCAGCGAGAGGCCATCCAACTGTGTGACATGCTTTGGTTTGGTATGTTCCAAATTCTGTAAAGAGAAATCTATAATACTGAGTTTGATTTCCTGCCAGCAGATGTCCTTCTCCATCAAATCAAAGGCAAAAGAACCCAGGCTCACTCTTCGTTGTGTCCAATTTTCTCAGTCTTGGCTCTATGGGGGTCTCTGCAGCTCTTGGGGGGTTGGGCTCGCTGCCAGGCAGCTTCCAAGGCTGGCTCTCCCCTGGCTCAGACTCTGATGAAGTTCTTGACCACCAGGGTTAATGGAGTCCGCCTGACACGGCAGGTCTGGCAGGGGCCCCCAGGGGGATGTGCCCTAGGGAGAAGGAGAACCTGCTTTCACACTCAGAGGCTGGGGCAGGGCTGGAGGAAAGTGGCCCCCTTATTACAACTGGGATTTGAGTGAGTATGACTCTGATCATCCTAAATCATTGAGACTCTATCCTGGTGAAGCACTTCCCTCCAGTCAGCAGGCCGAGGACCAGATGGGGGCAGTTGGCCCAGGGCTATCAGACACCACTGGATGGAGGCCCACACTGGGTAGATGCACCTTCCCCCAGGCCCTCAATCAGCCCCTTGGAAGCTTGGAGAGGATCCTTTAGGTGATGAATGGCCAGGAGAGAGAAGCACATGGGAAAATTCCCTCTCACTTGGCATAGATCTCCACTGCTGCAGAGGAAATACTGCAGGCAGACTTCATCACAAACCTCAGGGAGGATTTATTTGCACCAAGGGAGGTGGGATTGTGTCCTGTGTTGTAATTAACATCAATGAATTTCTCTTTAAGTCAAGAATTTTTGTTGTTATCAAGCCTTTTTTTAGATTAATCTGAAACCCCCAAAAAGAGGAGATAATAGAAATTTCCCTATCTTACATTCAGAAAAATGTGATACATGTAGTTTATGTGAGAAGATAGAGTCAAGGAGAATGTGGAGTGAGGTAGGGGTAGGATCCCGTTAAGTAAAAATGAGGAAGTAAAGGTAATATATGTAATCAGCATTTATTATGTGGGTACCTACTATGTGCAGACGTTATAGTAGGGAAATTTACACATCTTTTTTTCTTTAAAGCTCTGTGATGTTTTTTAAGATTGTAATTATTAACCTTGTTTTAGATATTTGGAACTTGAAACGCTAACAGGCTAAGTATATTTCTAATATGACAAAGCTAATAGGTGTCTAATATGACAAAGATAATAAGTAGTATTTGAACACATCTGTCTGAATCTACCTCATAAAAATAAGGAATACTGTGTCCAACCCCAGGCCTAGAACATGTCATCCCTAATTCTTTGATAATTCATCTCTAGCCATCCTTCACATTTCAGCTTATACACTGAACTTCTGCAATTTTTTTAAATGGAACTTCCACAATTCCCCTGAACACTTTCTTCATTTTCCTCATTGCAGTGGGGGATTTTCTCCTTAGTTGTGTAAGGGTTTTTTTGTTGAGTATTTGTTGGTGATAATATCTTTTTTTTGTTTTTTTGGTTTTTTTTAGATGGAGTTTTGCTCTTATTGCCCAGGCTGTAGTGCAATGGCACAATATTGGCTCATTGCAACCTCTGCCTCCTGGGTACAAGTAATTCTCCTGTCTCAGCCTCCAGAGTAGCTGGGATTACAGGCGCCTCCCACCACGCCCGGCTAATTTTTTGGTATTTTTAGTAGAGACAGGCTTTCACCATGTTGGCCAGGCTGGTCTTGAACTCCTGACCTCAGGTGACCTGCCCTCCTTTGCCTCCCAAAGTGCTGGGATTATAGGCATGAGCCACCACACCTGGCTGATAGTATCTTTTTTTGGTGATTGTTATATTCTTAATGACCAGCCTATGACAAATAAGCATGTCCTAAGTGAACGAATGAATGACTGAATGAATGAATGACAACTAGGTAGCATTGATGATCTAGAGTCCATACTTGGCCTTAATAGTGCTTTTGTGCATTTTCAGAACTGGTTATGACTGTCATACAAGTCAGGCTTTGTTTTCTAATCCTGTCCCGGGAAAACAAAATCCAGTGTTGATATTGCCTAGACATCTCCCTCAAAATATCTAATGTACATTTCATCCATAAAACATTCCCTAGGCTGGAATTCTCATTCATCTTCATTCCTCACTGTGCATCAAGTCATATTATGCTCAGCTATTAGTAATATATACCCACAGTATTAAACATATAGTTGGATAATCTGTTATATTATTTACATAATAGAATTGTGGTGGGCATAAATGTTAATAAATAACAATGCAATATTATTAGTGATCACTTATACTTGCAAAATGATAAATTATTCAGGAGTCTCTTAATTCTTGAATGTAATATTATATTAAATGGAAACTATCGAAGGTATATTTTATTCAAAGCAGACTCGCAACATTTGTACTTTTGAGAGGTCCAATCATCTCACTCTGACTTTATGATTAAAGGAGCCTCGGTGTCACAGAGATTCAAGTTAACTCTGTAAATCGCTGAGGACATTATGAGTTTTCCCAGAATGTCCTAACACTACTGTGTTCACAGAATACTTATTTGAAATGTATGGGAAATCAACTTCCAGGGTTTCTCAGAGGTACTTAAAAGGGGCACTCAGTCACAAATGTTAGAAAGAGAATTTGCCAGATGACCACAGCATATGTTCCAGTGATTTCCACAATCTGGAAAATTATTTTCAGGTCACAGAACAATTTTGCATGGTTCTAGTCTCAAAATCAGAGTTGGTGGTTGAGCACCAGAGAATACTTTTCTCACACTGAAGTTTTGATGGGGAGAGATCTAAAGGTTTCTGAACACTCACTACCTGCCATGTATTTCACTTCTTGTTTTCTTTAATCTTTGCAACAACTCTGAGCTACAAGCTTTAATGCACACGCTAGCCCTCATTCTAAAGCCAAGTAAACAATCCTAGAGCCGCTGAGTAGCTCTTGCCGAAAGGTCTAGAGAAGCGGCAAAGTAGACACTCAAACCCAGATTTACCTTGGGTCAAAACATATGCTCTTTCCACTCCATCCCATGCCAAACCAAGGAAACAAATGTGCCTTTTCCATTATTTTCCTTTGTCAATATTTTGGGTGCTATTTTCTTTCCATCATAAATATAAATCCAACTTCTGTTGTATGTCAATGACTGTGTAATATTTGGGGAAACTGTGGGAACAATCAAGATTCGGTGTCTTCTTCCGTGAACATTTAAACAATTTAAAAACTTAGATCTATTCACTTACTATTTTTCTAAGTGAAGTTAGACTTAACAGGTTTGGCTTTGTTTCTTTAACTACAGCACTACACTGGAGCTGAGCTTGCTTCTGGCCATGGAGTGATACCCCTATGATTCCACTGAAATTACTTTTCCCAAAGCATCCAAACCCCTCAGGTCCAAGGCTGAGACCTGGCTTTCTGAACTGGAGTCCAGCTTTGCAGAGTGACAAGATTTCTGTTTTACTGTAAGGTTTGCACTCCCTTGAATTTTCACTAAACTTCTGCTTCCTAAGCCAGAGGTGCTGCCCCAGGGACGCCCGGGAGGCCTGGATGCAAAGCCCCTCTGCCACCTGGTGACGGGCATGGGAACTGCTCCATCCTGGAATTCTGGGGCCTGGAACAAAGCCTGACCATGATTTATTTTATTATTTATTTATTTTTTTGAGAAGGAACCTCGCTCTTTCGCCAGGCTGGAGTGCAGTGGTGTGATCTCAGCTCACGGCAACCTCCACCTCCCAGGTTCAAAGGATTCTCCTGCCTCAGCTTCCCGAGAAGCTGAGACCACAGGCACGCGCCACCATGCCTGGCAAATTTTTGTATTTTTAATAGAGACGGGGTTTCACCATGTTGGCCAGGATGGTCTCAATCTCTTGACCTCATGATCCGCCTGTCTTGGCCTCCCAAAGTGCTAGGATTACAGGTGTGAGCCACCACACCTGGTTTATTTTTTATTTAAAAAAAAAATTTTATTAATTTCATTTAATTGTATTTGTCCTCAGTGAAGCAGCACTGTCACCCTGGGTCTTATTTTTGGGAAAGTCTCAGTGTCCAGGTTACATTGGCTAAGTCCTTGAGTCCATGAGGAAAGTCAGTCTGAGGGCACTGGCCTCACTTTTTTCACCTTTGGCTTTCTCTTTCCTCCTGTCAGTTTGCTTTCAGAACAGTCCCTGAGAACGTGAGAAACTGCGAATTTACCTTTATGACCAAAATACATTCTTAAGCTTTGGTTTACAAATGGAACCCTTTGGGAAACGACAAAAGAGAAGTGAAAGTTCTCTTAAAGAAATCTCTCAGTCTTCGTGTTTAAGATTCCCCTGGCTGAATGAATGGCCACCACTGACAGAGCTGTTTCTAGATTACCTCCTCGCCTCCTTTCTCCAGATCCAGGTGCTCTCACTTGACTCTATATTGAATGCACAGACTTGGGGAATACTCATTAGACTTCTCCGAGTCTAATGAGTGGCTAATGTTAAGAACCACTGTGAGTCTAGGCCCAGAATACTAAAAACAAAAGGAAAAGGCTGTATCAATCACTTGGATTCACTCTTGTTTGAGGGAAGACAACTAATTAGAAAACTTTAGAACAACAAGATTCAAACATGGTAACCCATGTTTGAATTAATTAAAATCTGAATTAATCTAAGATTATTAGCCCTAGTTCATAATCAAATAGGTCTTTAACATACTATACTAACTTTAAACATTTCAAGTTCACACAGTTTCACACTACAATTTTTGCATTTCTGAAAATTTATATGAAAAAAAGAGTATAAAATGGAAAAGACCTTTAGATCTACCCGAGTTCTCACTTAAACAGGTCTGATGGATTGCAAGTAGAAATGATAAAAGAAGTGGAGGTCAAGTAATCATGGGTGCTTAAGGTCTTGAAAGTATCTAGAATATGTTGCCACCTTTATAAGGTTTCTGGTCTTTGCATACTTAACACATTTTGAGTTCTACAGAGTTTGGCTTTTCATTTTATTGCATTACTTATTCCACAAAAACACTTAAAATAGGTACTTATTTTTAACATTTTTTCTACTAATAAATAAAACATTGTATTGATAAAAACGTGTCACAGTTTCTTTTTCAAGACATCCAGGGAGTAAAGAGGGTGCACGTGAACAAAAAAATTCCACCAAAAATACAAATGACAAGTGTATTTACAGATATTCAGCCATCTTAAAAGAAGCATTTATGGGGATTGTAATGTTAAATGCACACAAGATGAGAAACAAATATCAAAACTGAAGAATTCATATAGAAATGGCAATTAAACAGATGGTACCGGGCAACCAGGCCCAAAGTTTAGTGGTCAATATAAGTCATATACAAGTTAACGTTAATCAGTTAACCAAAATTATAATTAAAAGTGCCTTCTAAACAATACTTCAACTGAAAAAAAAGAAGAGAGAGAGAGTGGAAAAAAAAGGTGTGGATTTCCTCAAGATGGCACATTATATCCATGGACTAGTTCTGCTGAGTTTTATTTTTTTTTTAGAGGCAGTCTCGCTCTGTCGCCCAGGCTGGAGTGCAGTGGCACAATCTCAGCTCACTGCAAGCTCTGCCTCTTGAGTTCACTCCATTCTCCTGCCTCAGCCTCCCGAGTAGCTGGGACTACAGGCACCCGCCACCACGCATGGCTAATTTTTTGACTAGAATTGCACTGAGCGGGGGATATAGGAAAAAGATCCCCTTGTCGCCCAGCTGACTCTGGGGTATTGTGGGTAACATTTTTCCCCAAAGATAAGAAGTTACTGGATACTTCCTACTTAGTTACCTGTGACTGGAAAGACGTGTTTCGTTCTGGTTTTTACATTTTTTTAAATGGGGAAGAAAACAGTAGAAGTACATTTTAGATCTCATCCATCTCTCTGAGAACAAACAAATAGGCCAAAAAATAAAATTCTCCAAAAAAATAACCCCAATAACTAAAAGATTCTGAAGGCTAACACACTGGACCTTCTCTGCCCCGTGTTCTAGTGGGAGAGGAAAAAGGTAGAGAAAATGGACAGAAACCAAAATTTATTGAACAGCTGAAATGTTCCAGACTCTATGCTAAGTTTCTCATGCTCATGATTTTATTATGGTCTTAAATCAACCTTTTGAAAAAGGTGTTATCTCTGCCTCACAAATCAAGGGATTGCGCCTCAGAGAGGTTAAGCAACTTGCAAAATGCCTCATAGTCAAAATGCAACAAATCTTTTATTTGAAACCAGATCGGTTTCACTGATGTTCACACTGCATGCTCTATGCTAAGATTGAAGGTGGAAGAGGAAGAGAGCAGGACATTTGTAACAAAAGTCCCCGTGCTATGTTACTGTTTGTCTCAGATATTGATGGGTTCCAATCCCCTCCATACTGCGTGCGTGACTTTTGTTTCCCTGGATCCACACCTCATTAAATACGTCATAGCTCCTTGGAAGGTGAGATCATTACCATGCCACACATTTGTAGATCCTCAGAAGATGGCCTTGCTTGGTGCGGCTCAGCAAGCGATGAGCACAGCCAGTGGGTTGGCTGTCAATTCCTTTCTTTTTCAGGATAGACATATTTTACTGTAAACCTGTCCATGTCATTGTTGTTTGAATTCGTGAAAAGCTGGCGCCCCTGGCAAGCGAACTCAGGAGGAAACACTGACGATGTCTCCTCCTCCCATTCTCATGCTGCACCAGAGGAGGACCTGGTGGAGAAAAGTATAGACTGAGACCCTCCCGGGGTTGAAACGTTGCTGTTGAAACCTTTTGTTCTACCTTAGTTTCCACATGACATAATCCTCTCTCCTCCAGCATTACACTTAGAGATGAGTTGAACAGAGAGAACCACATTTTTTACCCTTCTGTTGTTCCATTGTTAACAAAAATTAAAATGCAATAAGTACCTATATATTCCCATAAAAATGTGAAACTTGGAACAAGAAGAAATTTCAAGGCAGAAAAGAACACACACTTGTGTTGACACGGATCTGAATAAACAATGACTTGCAAACACACACTCTGAAATAGCAATTGTGACAGCCTATGATGGAATCATGGAGTTGCTAGAGTTGCCCTTCTGGCTTTTTCAAAACTGTTAAAATTGTACTAACTCTTTTTTAGTTCAAGTTAGTAATCTCTATCAGAAAGCTTTGCCTTGTACATTCCGCAGGATTGAGAAGCTCATCAGGGTTCTGACACATCACTCTATGGTACCTGCGAGAGAACTCACCACACTGCAGAGGAACCATGAGCTTCTTCATCAGTTTCTCCCACAGTCTGAAAGTATCTGTGAGTTTTTCTAGTGCACGGTCAATCTTGTCACCTTGAAAATGTTCAATTAAATGTGTATTCAAATGAATGTCAAACTAAGGATCATCTTGGGTTTTATTGGATTTGTCACAATAGATACCAAACTTAATAGGAGAATTTTTTTAAAGATATTTTGGAAACCTTTGCCACTTACCCAGGCTTATACTATTGCTTGCTTTCCTATAACATCTAAAATGATACGTATACTACATATTTTGACCTTAAGTGCTGAAACATTCAGTTTTTCATTGACCAAATGTATGAGATTAGAGTTAAGAAATACATTTTTAAAAAAGGGTCCTAGGATTATCAAAGCCTGGGAATCAGCCACCTCATCTGAATATTCTGCTCTTTGCTAAGGAGGGTGAGGCTGAACAGAGGGACTCAACTGCAGAGATGTACTCAGACCAACTACCTTCCTAACCTCTGTTAGGAAGGAAAGCATCTCTGTAATAGACACTTTGTCCAGACTCCTGAATTTGATCAATGTGGGTAAGAAGATGACTAATCAATGAGAGCTGAACAAAAGGCATTTTATTATTCAAGACTGTGATAAGATTTTCCCACTTTTAAATGAAAAAAAAAACTCAAATAATTTTAATCAAAAGGAGATTTGTATACCAGATTCATTTAAATTTCTGACTTAAAAAAATTCTACTGGAATTTGATATAGAGAAAAGTCAGGGATATATAATATTGGCATAGAGTTAGTAGAGAGTTAAAATTCATTTTTTAGCTGCACTATCTGCCTAAACTGCCCTTAACAAGATCATTTTTTATACATGAAATTTTGCACCTCATTACCCCTAATTACATCCTTTTAACGGCATTCTTTGAAAATGCAGACTGAACAATGTAGGATAGAAAATACTTATCTTTCTTCTATTCCTGTTAATTGTTGAGTCTTATTCTTAAATCTGACTTCATCTTTTATCTCTTTCTATCCAAACTAAAATGTTTCATTCTGATCTAAACTTCAGAGACTTTTCTTTTTGGGAATAGGGAAAGAAATACACCATCTTAATGAGGAGAGCAGCAACATTTTCCTTTCCACTCTTGTAGCACATTCTTTCTACTTTGCTATATCACATGATTACCCAGTAACCATTTTGGCTTCAAGATTATTAGCTTATTAAGGACAGAAACAATATTGTATAGATCTATTGAATCCTTATAATATCTAAACTGGTGCCTTGAGTAGACTATGCAACTAGTAAGTTTTTATTGAATAAACAGGTTTCATATTTTGCAAGACATCTTGTATTATCTTGAATATTTCCAAATATTAGAAATGTTCTCAAATTTTGTGATTATTTCTGCTTTCCTCAGCTTCTAACAGATTGTTTACTCCATAAAGCCCTTCACAGTTTTCCTAAGCATTTTCTCGTGTCAGTCTAACAAATATTTGAAGATAATTATATTGTGCTTCTGAGTATTTTTTTTCTATACCATTCTCCTTAATGCAAGTTTCTTCATTTTTAGCTTTTAAATGTAATTATCCAGATTGCTCTTCTCTGAGCATTCATCTATAACTATATGTGTGTGTGTAGATAGATAGATAAATAGATAGACAGGTAATAGATAGATAGATATGAAGATATGAAGATACCTGTTAAATATATCTTAGTAAACAGAATTCAAAATTGGATCTAATAATCTGAGGCAATATGTGTAGCTAAAATAAATGGAACTATCATTGCTATCATTTTTATGTAATTCTTCTAGTGATGCTAGTAATACTACCAATGTATATATGGCTACTTTTAAAGTCATATAATTCAGTTAAATCAAAATGATTTTGATTTCAATAAAACCCTTGCTTTTTAAGGCTAGATTGTCACTATCTTATTCTTGCATTTGTTTACGGGAGACCTAAATACTATAGATAGATAGATAGATAGATAGATAGATAGATAGATAGATAGATAGACAGATAGATAGATAGATAGACAGATAGATAGATAGACAGATAGATAGTGATAGACAGACAGACAGACAGACATAGAGAATATTTGGATGGATATTTATTTTGCAATACGCACTTGACATGTGTGATCTAATTCTCACAACCACTTTGTAAGGTAAAGGCGATTCTTATTCTCATTACACAAATGACGAAATTGAGGCTTAGGAAGATAAGTGTACAAGAGTAGGTGATAGGGCCTGGATTTTGTTCTTAAGAAAATTTCCCCTGAATCCTGGGCCTCTACTCACTTCTTCACAGTCATCACTCTGCCTGATGAGGTATTCTTGGAGTTGTGTATGTTTGCCTTTCACCTGCTGTTTCATAAATGTCATGCCACCAGGAAAATGGCTAGTTGAATCAGATATACTTGAGAATACTTGCAGAGGTCTATACATGTGTTCTGTTGGAAAAACTGGACTAGTGGGGTAAGAATGGGGGTTCCTCCTTCCACCTCCAGGTAATTCAGAGGGTTCTCTGCCAATAACTTTTTCCTAACTGAATCTATTGTAACTCAGAATATTTTTTTTTTCTAAGAGTAAAGTTTTGGGCCAAGTCCTACTTTTTGGTGGGAATATCTGTGGACAAGTGGAATCTTGAGTCTTCTCTTAAAACTAATTACTTGGCTATTGTCCTTTCTACACAAATGCAGGGAGAGCCCTGTGCTACTGTTACAATGATGTCTCCTTATTGGGCTGAAAGCACTGTATGAACCATCTTGTCAAAAGTGCTAATGAGTGTATATTTATATTTTCAGGAGAGTATCAAGGGTTCTTTCTTCCCTTGATCTTTTGCACAGAATTAAATAAAACACACCTGGGAAACATACTTATAGAACAAGGTTGAATTTTCTCTATTTAAAAATTGATTTGAGAAAGAAAAGCATTTAAGAAGGAAAGAAAAATAAAATCAAGGAGTTGATTTGAATTAGAATAAAGAATATTGTCCTGAACGTCAGATCACATGTGCTTGATGATCAGCTCACCTCTGCCCTTTTAAAGGCTTTGTTTCTAGGATATCAAGATGCATCAGACGCCATGTCAAAGGCTCCCAGAATTTGAGACTTACATCTCAAAGGCTGTCACATCCCCTGTCCTGCAGATTTCTTATAGAGAACAATACCTGCCTTATAAGACTGGTTCTGGTAAGTCCTTTAATTTTTGGTGTCCAATCAGTTACTAGTAGATGCCAAACCTTGAGTTCATGTTTTAGTTACAGACTTCAGCTCATACTTTCTCAATTATAACACTAAGAATCGTCCTTTGGATAATAACGCTTATATCAAACCTAGAGACTACGTAAGCACAACTTTTCTCTTTTACTGTTCTATTCACAGTTAAAATATCTTTGTGTGTGTGTGTGTGTGTGTGAGAGAGAGAGAGAGAGAGAGGTGGGATAGAGAGAGAGGGACAGAATGAGAACAAATCTGGATTTGTCAAGGAAAAAAATGTTCCATGGCAAAGGAACCATGAGTTGACCAATGGGTACCGATATCTACTGTACACAAAGGATCGAAGCCAGTCCTGAGGGCTAGACGGGAGAAAACATCATAGTGACCCTAACCTGTATTTAAATGTATCCCGTAGAAGTTAGCTAGACTGCAGCCAGAGCAATACAGTGAGTAATCACCAAGTCATGTTTCTGAACTCACATGACTCCTCTGAAACATGTGGTGAAGATATTTGAGGCATTATCAAACACCTGCAGATTTTCAGTTCCTCATTTCTTGCTCATGTGATTTATTAACAGTTCTGCTAATGCAGATAGAATGCAGCCTCAAATTACAGCAGAGGAGAGGGTTGAATGCTGTGCAGCCTATGCTATTCAGAGTGCAGAATATCTGCAACCTAGTTGATCATTTTTGAATCATCAGCTCCATCTTTTTGTTAAATTAACAATTTAACAGCTGCTTTCATCAAAGTTCTTTTGTGTCTACCAACACGATACTGTAATTTTTTTTCCTAAATGCAATTTCCAAGATCATTTCTGTCTTTTCAGTCCCAGATTACTGATTTGCATGTTTGATCAATTTGTATACAAATGTTCAAGAATTTATAAACCATCTAGGGAGCATGAAACACCCTCTAGAGCTCTAGAGAATAATTTGATCCATCTCATCATTCACTTACTTAAATTTCTTTTTCATTAAGAACAGGTGATGAATGAAGGCAGTAAAATATGACTGAGCTTAGGTATACTGTTTCCTAAATAGGAAATATTGTAAACCAAAAGATTTTCACAAAATTCTAGTAAGTGGGAATATTGAAAATTGAGTCAGATTTGTCATAGAAAACATATTTTTTTCTTTTTACCTTTTGTGTTAGTCGGCTTGGGTCACCATACCAAAATACTATACAATGGGTGGCTTAAACAACAGAAATTTATTTCTCACACTTCCAGAGGCTGGGAAATTCAAGATCGAGTTGCTAGCCAATTTGTTCTCTGTCAGGGCCTCCTTCTTGTTTTGTAGATGGGCACCTTTTTGTGACATCCTTGGTGCATGCAGGCACACACACACACACACACACACACACAGAGAAAATGTTCAGGTGTTTCTTCCATTGGACCAGAGCCCAGGACCTCATCTAAACCTACTTATTTCCCCAAGGTCCCATCTGCAAACACTGTCGCATCAGGGGTTAGGACTTCAAAGGATACAATTTGTTTGCAACATCTTTTATAACAACTCAGTCTGCAACACTTCTCATATCTCCAACAATATTTAGGCTTTAATTTATTTTAAAATCATATTTCTAAGCTATATGCATAATAGTACAGCCTGAATGTCTTGAGCTCAAAAGAAGACCTTTAGAAAACAATGCACCTAGATTTTCAAGGAAAATCTATGCTACGTTTGTGGCAGAAGCCACTTGAATTGGCTGATACAAGTTTCTTTCTTGGCTACTGGATCTCATTAGAACCAGCTTCTCCAGATTGGAATGACCTCCTTAAGGGCCCTGAGTATCATCTTCTGTGTCTAGTTAAATTGAGGAGGAGGCACAACCTACTACGTAGCCTTTGCAATCAGGAACAATCAGTCCCCCTTGAGCATTCCTCAGAACAGGAACTGTTCAAATCTGCCCTTTCTCTGAGCTTGTGGGTCCAGACAGTGCAGGAATAGCTGGACAGGTTGGAAGAAGAGAAGGCCAGGAAAATTTCCAGAAAAGTCCCTGAGGCATTCATTGGAGCCGAGAGTCAAGCTCAAGCAGCAAGGTACAAAATACTAACATCAAGTCCAAAGGGTAAAAGACTGAGTTAGGATGGGCTAATGGAATAAGAAGTTTTGGGTAAGTGGAAACAAAGTTGAAATAACAATAGCCCCAAAGCAAATCAGAAGGTTCACGTTTATTACCCCAAACAGTGCTGGGCCAACTGTAGCTTGCCTTATCAGCTACTCCACGTTGGATGAAGATAGCTTTGATCTTCTGGCTTAAAGGATCAGAGGCAGTGTGAGTAGAAACTCAACCGTTTCCCAAAGGGTGGAAAAGCAAATGATATGGCTGGCAAAACACGACTCTCAATGCTTTGGCTTAGATGTGATACATGCCACATTCATTTACATGCCATTGGCCAAAGCAAGTCACACAAACAAGCTTGATGTCATCTGGGTGAGGATACATACTTCTCCAATGGGAGACACTACAAATCCCGTGCATGGTGCAACTGTATATAATTCTTTTACAAGAAAGCAGAGTGAATATGAAGAAGCAATAGTTCAATCTACTACATCTTTTGAAAATAACTTTCCCTTTAGAAAGACCGTCATTTCTCTTGCATGCTTGCTGTTTCCTTCCATTTGTTTTTCAAAACACTAATCTTGGTTAGATTCACATATAGTCTTCATGCCTTTATCTGTGAAGGTGAACACCAGTATAGAATGTTTAGAAAAAGACAAAAGAGTATAATATCATCTTCATACATTCATAATTAAGAATTTCAATTCTCACTCAAAAATTCTAAGAAATCCTACCGGTTTTCCTCTACTAAGCTCATTATCCCACTCTCTGCACTAACTATTTTAGACCTTTGTTTTTCTATTCAAGCTCATCACCCATAATTCCCCTCTGCACCACTCCCCTCACATGCTGCCCACAGATGGCATTGCCTCTCATTTCGTTAGAAAAACAAAAGCCATCAGGTGCCCCCTCACCTCCCCAGCACCGACTCTGTGCACCTGTCTGAGCCTGGACTCATCTTCTTCTTTTCTGTTCTCTTTCTGTAAGAGTTGCTAAATCGTGATGACTGAAGGATGTATAATTGGTACTAAGTTTCAGAAATAAGCCTCCTTAGAGGCTCTGGTAGTTAAAAGAGGATTCCGGTGATTCCCAAAGTTTGCAATAGTCCATTTCTCTAATCTGTCCATGTTTTAGGCGTCCAAAATCAGCAGTTTGCAAAATGCCAACTGTTGACTACGTCAGAATCATGGGATTTCTACCCATGATTCCTACCCCTGTATTTCCAGGATGGGACCTGGAAATACGTATTTTACTGTCTGTCCAAGTGATTCTAATGCATTGCTCAGTATAAAGGTACCTATTACAGAACCTAAGGTGCCTTTAAAGTTTTAGATCTGTGGTTCTATAACTTTGCCTCATAATAAAATTACCTGGGGAGCTTTTAGGGCGCCTGAGGCCCAAGTTACACTCTGGACCAATTAAATTTTAATCTCAGCGGTTAGGGCTAAGAAGTTGCCATTTTTAGACCTTCACAGGTGTTTATGATGTGCAGCAAGCCTAAGAACAACTTCTCACTTTCAGCGAAGTGTGCAAGGCTAAGGGTGCCTTCTGGCTGCACTCAGAGGGGCTTGGATGGGGAGTGCAATATCACAGCTCCACATTGAGGAAGCATCCCCAGGGATGGTTTTGCAACAGAAAATATTGTTCATGCCACTCAAACTGGGAAAAGACCACCTTGTACCAAATGGAAATAATTAATCTATGAAGAAAAATACTGCTGAGGCAGCATAAAATGCTGTAAAGTGTGCCAGACTCAAGGTCAAAAGAGCTGTGTCTGTTGTTTGTTACCTGGGACAATCTTGGGCAAGGAATTTGATTATTCTGAACTGGAGTTTTCTTACCAGTAAGGCGGATGCTACAGTACCAGCCTTGTTGTATGGTTGCTATTTTATTTCATTAAGAGAGCTGACAACTGACATATTCAAATGGTCAGAGTGCTTTTCATTGGAATTTGGGGAGCAATTTGGAATTCCTTATTTGAATCTGGAGTTAAATCTTTATTAATACATGTAGTTTTCTTATTTGTTTTTATATTATTAAACTCTTTTCTAACCTTTTAGAGAGCCAGTCTAGCTCTTTTGTCTTAGAATAATTTTACATCCCATTTTCTTAATTGGCCTAGAGATTCTGTAGTATTGGTGCTTGTTTTCTCTATTGCTGCTGAATACCAGGAAAGAGCCAAAGAGTACCTTTGTTGCCCAGATATCTGATAAAGTCCAGATGCATCTGGAAACCATTTGGAATTCACGGGCAAATGAAGTAGGTCATAAAATATGAAGAACTCAAGAGAAAAAATAAACTACCAAGGTTGAATTATAAGGTAAGGTCTTAGCTCTTATCTTTCTTAATAATGCCTCCTCTGCTTGCCATGGCAACCACATGTGCTGGCAGTTGTTATGGCAAAGGGAGAGGACTGCAAATAGAAGAGAACTGTAGGATTCTGCAATGGAAGAAGGTATTTCTGAGACTAGTAAAAACACAGACCAACATGTATTGTTATGATCTAAGCCTCATGTGTATGAATAAGGGGGTATCACAATGAACTAAGATTTCGTGAGGCACGTTCATCTTCATTTTTTTTTATTTGTTGCAAAATGAGGTCTCATTGGTGAGTCCTCATACTGATGCCTATAAAGCACTTGTCACGGTACTTAGTTCATAGAAGGTACTCTCTATCTGTTAGCTGAATATAAATAACCTGGATGAACAGTATGTGTGTATAAGGCTGTTGGCATATGGATTTTCTGTAGAAAAATTTTACTTAAAAAGTAAGCAAGAATCGAAAGTTTGATTAATAGACAATTGGAACAACTAAAATGAAACCCTTTTTCAAGGACACCTACCAAGTGAACTGATGCATTTTGAAGGGCATCTGATGAGTGGCCATGCCATGGCAGCACATTTTCTGTTTGCCTGTGCTGTATGGATTCATATATGATTACAAAACCCAGAGTGACCCATTAGTACAAAGTAGGCATAAATTTATGTATTTATTTTTTCAAATTAGCGAAGTGTTGAAATTTCAGGATCCAAAGAAACCAAGAGACCTGTTAAAGGGGTTATTTCTTTGACCGTTTATCTTTTGCTTGAAACAATGTAGAGGTGCATTGACCTTTTCTCACCTCCATGTCAGCTTTCACATTTGTGTGTTTCCAGTCTTCTTTGAGCTAGTGAAGTGAATTCTCACAAAACCTAAATATTCTAGATTCTCTGCTTCCTTAATCAGTGGGTAGAATAGTGGGCCTGGGATTTTCCCCAGCATGGCGTGGTTTTCGTGAAGGGGATGGAGGAAATTTTGAACTCATTTGCAATTTCTCTGAGGACAGAAATGATAGAGACCATAATAAGGACAAATTAGACTGTAGTGAAGCTCAATATGGTGACCTTATTTTGTGTGTGTTCAGTGGGTGGATTCTACTTTTTCTTTATAAATGTCATTAAATAGCAAGCTGATGTCACAATGGGCAGAGGTCTCTCACAGAAACTTACCAAGCATTGCACATTCTACTTGTTGCAATCTGTGAAAAAAACCTTGTAATAAATACACATCTAGAACCTGATGTGATTCTCTTTTGTACAGTAGGAAAAACATAATTTGTTATTTCATTGAAAGATAGAACATACCATGAATGTGTATGGTGAAGTCAGGAGGCTTTAGACGCAGCAGGAGAGTGTGATAGTGGTCTTCTCTACTGGTTTAGAGAAAACATCAGGTTCCACTTTAGCTTGGTGTTCTCCAGGTCCTATCATGTAGGCCAGGGGTGTCCAATCTTTTGGCTTCCCTGGGCCACGCTGGAAGAAGAATTGCCTTGGGCTACCCATAAAATACACCACCACTAACAATAGCTCATAAGCTAAAAAAAAAAAAAACTGCAAAAGAATCTCATAATGTGGCTGGGCTTGGTGGCTCATGCCTGTAATCCCAGCACTTTGGGAGGCCGAGGTGGGTGGATCATGAGGTCAGGACATCGAGACCATCTTGACCAATATGGTGAAACCTCATCTCTACTAAAATACAAAACATTAGCCAGGTGTGGTGGCGCATGCCTGTAATCCCAGCTACTTGGGAGGCTGAGGCGGGGCAATTGCTTAAACCCGGGAGACGGAGGTTACAGTGAGCTGTGATGGCACCACTGCACTCCAGCCTGGCAACAGGGCAAGACTCCTTCTAAAAAAAGAAAAAAAAAAGTATCTCATAATGTTTTAAGAAAGTTTACAAATTGGTGTTAGGCCACATTCCAAGTCATTCTGGGCTACAGGTTGGACAAGTTTGATCTAGGCCTTCCTTTATGAGGTTTAGCCCCTGTGGTCCTAGATAGTCCCAATTACAGCAGGAAGCATATTGACAGTTTTAGCCCCAGTGAAAGCTGGGATTAGAAATTAGGCTTATTTTCACAAATATGTTTCTATCTTTGTACTGAGAATAAGCTGGGAGTGTCTATGTGGCACCTCTTTCTGGCTACCATGGTCAAGAAGGCTTGGCTACAGCTCTAATTTCCTGGCCTTTCATCTGAGGCTACTAAATCTTTGTGACTATTCTTGTTTGTTTCTCTGGGTTTCCACATCTAGATTTTATCTTTCTGTGAATTAACTTAGTTTGGTTATTTATGGGCCATTCCTAGATGAATTTGGATATTTCCTTGCTGTATACCTCTGTTGTCCCTCACCAATGGGGCGGATCCAATTAGACCTATAGATACACTGTCTAGATCCCACCCCCAGGGAGGGCTTGCTACCACACCCAGTAAGGGGGGTCAGCCCAAGGACCCCAGCTCTCTGCTCCCGTAAGGTCTGCCCTCAGCTGAGGAGAGCCACCTGGTCTGGGGTTACAACTTTCCCAGGGCAACCCGAGGCCAGGAGAACAAGGTCGGGGTAAAGGCCCAGGCATTCTGAACAATGGGGACCTTGGCCAGGGGCAATACTCCTTTCTGGAGCTCCTGTGGGACTAGCCATGGCTCCTTTTGGCCTGCACAATGGAGTTGCCTTTTTCCCCCGGCCCAGTTCTATTCCTTCCTGCTTTTTCCCACAGGTGTTGATCCCTAATAAATATCTTTATGCCAAACCCTGACTCAAAGTTGTCTTCTAGAGAACGGGGATATTAGAAATAGAACTCTCATTTCTTCTACAGGGAGAAGCAGCTAAGAAGGACAAGTTCTCCAGCTCCTTCTCTTTCAGGTCCTGAGGTTCTGTGATGCCAAGCAGAGCAGCCACAGATGCTCTTATCTGCTTGTGGAAAAGCAGAATTCACATTCCTTCTAAGCCCAGAGCTACAACCCTCCCAGTCAATCACTGCCTGACACAATGTTCACGTAGTGTGAAGGACTTATTTCAACTTTATTTTGCTCTTAAGTTCTGTGATAATGGTATACCCCTGCCTTTTGGTATAACTGTACAAAAGAAAAACGTTCATCTTTTATGTACAAAGAAAATTTCACCTTTTCCTTGTTGCTAAGTTTGGGTTTTCAGGCAGTATTTGTCAACATCTGGCTGGAGTCCTGGATCTGCCACTCATTGCTTGAGTAACATTTTTTTGTCTCAATTTCTTCATCTCTAAAATTAAACAGCACATCACTTACTTCCTTAGGTGGCTGATGGGATCAACAATATTTGAAAGAGAATAAAGAAATATGTACAAACATATTTTACATGCTAAAACATCTTATAATTGCGAGGAAGTATGATGATGAAGGTTATGATTTTCTAGCTGTTTTGCAGTCGTTGGTTGGAAACTTTGACACTGTCTATATTTTCCGTTCTAGTTCCATTTGCGACTGGCGCCTGACATTTACAAGATGGCGATGACAGGGTGCAGCTTTTTGCTGGGGGACAGAGTTCTGCCCCAGCCCAGACTTAAGTGGTTCATATGGTGATTGATCCCCTGACCTTGGGCGCATTAACTTTATCCTCTCATGAATGGAAGGAACCAGCCATAAGGATCTCTTTGTGCTTACAGTTTTCTTTGTATTTCTAGAAATCAGAGCCGCTACTACCCAAATTGTGTGTGTGTGTCTTCTGAAGTGTCTACCCTTTGCTAGACAGTTTCCAGGTGTATAAAAAGTTCCCTGTTTTAAATAAAGTCACAGCATGAAAGAAAAACGTGGAAAGCACTGTAATATTTCTTGATTGATAAGAGCAGGTAATAAAAGTGAGAACTAAGATGCTTGGAAACTTTGAAGGAAGAAAATAATGTGATTTCACATCTAATCCCGTGACAAAGCATGGAGATTACTCCAATCTCAGGGCCCGGAGGAAGATTCTATTGTAAGAACTGAAGATTTCCCTCTTGTTCACCAAGATCAAATTTATCAGCTTCCTTAGTTTAGTTTGGAAACATTATCCTGCTTCTATTTTAGCTGAACCCTTATGCAGTGCAAGGAAATTGAGGCGGGCACATTGAGAGTGGTGGTTTTTCTTGTTTTTACAAAAACACAAGATTCTCTTTAACAAACGCCTGGGGAACACCTACTCTGCCAGTGCCTTAAGGCCACAAATGTAAACTCATTCATGCATTTTCCCCCAAACGACATCCGGTATCACTCTTTCGGAGGATAGATGTGTATAGCGGGTGGGAGGGGATGCTGAGAAGAGTAACCCGATCTCCAGGCACATCTGGGTCTTCACTTCACTGTTTCACAGCAAGGGCAGAGAGCAATTTTACAAAGACATGATTGGACAAGCCAGGAAAAAGAAGATCCCCTTGGTCGCTGATGGGCTTTTATTCTGATGGATTTTTCTGAACACGCAGGAGTCACCATTCAGAATTCCTTTTCTCTTTCTCACAGGATCACCTGAGAGAAAGCCACCTTCTGCTTGTTTCTCCATCTGTCCTTTGCTGGCATTCCCCTTGCAGCAACCCTGGGGCCAGGGAGCATCTGATCAGAAGAACTCACTGCCTCTGTGCCCACAAGGACACGCCTCTCACACTGTGCTTCTCAGACTATCTGTGGTAACGAACCAGATGTTTGTATGTTTTAGGTTTTTTTATTATTATTTTTATTTCCAGTCTGTATGGAAGTTGCTTTTGTAAAATACAATCCCAGTAAAATATTAACAAATTAAAATTTTGAACACCATTGACACAATACAAGCTCTGTCATCATCACCATCATTATCATCAACAACGTAGTCATCATCATGCTCATTATACTCAAGAAGCCGAACATTATTCTGCCAATTCTGCTTCTTTACTTACTGCCTTGAGAACTGGCTACAGCCAGCTTGCTGAGGGCCACTGGTCCCCACTCCACACTGCTGGCACTATTAGCATGTGCCTTCCATACATAACAGGATCCTCTTCCTTCCTGGCAACCTTGAGCCTTTCAGTGCTTTGCTCAGTGGAGGAGGAGGGAAGATGAGTTAGGTACTGAAGAGAAAATGGCCAGATCAGACTGTGTGAGGATTAGATACTTTTCCAGGGGAGTGGAAGTCAAATACTGTACAATTATCAGGGGAGTGGAAGTTCTGGAAGAGGCAGCCACAGGTCTGAGAGAAGCATATGGGAGACATTGTGAAAATACCAGGTGTCGGGGTGACATGCCCTTTGCTCTGAATTTCTAGGTATCGGTGAGTTGAAACATTGTTTCTCTGGCTACAAATTTATTATGTATTATTATAGCCAATGTAGGAAAGTACAGACAAATGTAAATAAAAACTCCTTTAAAGAACACAATCAAGAGACCTAAAATATTTGGAACATTTTCCTTCAGGTCTTTTATTCCATGATGTTTAAAAGTGCTTCATATCTGGGAGGCCTAGGTGGGCAGATCACCTGAGGTCAGGAGTTCCAGACCAGCCTGACCAAAATAGAGAAACACCCTCTCTACTAAAAATACAAAATTAGCTGGGTGGGGTGGCACATGCCTGTAATCCCAGCTACTTGGCAGGCTGAGGCAGGAGAATCACTTGAACCCGGGAGGCAGAGGTTGTGGTGAGCTGAGATCGTGCCACTGCACTCAAGCCTGGGCAACAAGAGTGAAACTCTGTCTCTTAAAAAAAAAAAGGATGCTTCATATCATACGGAACCCATATCGTTTTTCAGCTTCTTCATTTAAAACTGTATAGTAAATGATTCTCCATGTTATTAGTTTAACTTTAAAATCCTAACTTTAATGGGTAAATATTGTTTCATTCATCTATGAATCAAAAAGTATTTAACTATTGCTTTTGTGACATTTAGATGATTTCCGATTCATTTGCCAATATAATGAGCAATAAAATCAATATATTTTTGTGTTTATGGATTTTTATATATTTCATAGGCTTAGTGGTTATTTGTATTTCTTCTTTATTAATTTTCTACTTGAGTATATTTATTTTCTACTAGTATTTACCTAGTGTTTTCTATATAGATGTGTACACATTTTATGTGTATTTAAAAAACAACAACCTCTAGCCAGTCATATGTTGTGATGGTTAATACTGATTGGATTGAAGGATGCAAAGTATTGATCCTGAGTATGTCTGTGAGGGTGTTGCCAAAGGAGATTCACATTTGAGTCAGTGAGCTGAGAAAGGCAGACCCACCCTTAATCTGGGTGGGCACCATCTAATCAGCTGCCAGCATGGCTAGAATATAAAGAAGGCAGAAAAATTTGAAAAGATGAGACTGGCCAACCTCCCAGTCTCCATCTTTCTCCCGTGCTGGATGCCTCCTGCACTCGAGCATTGGACTCCAGGTTCTTCAGTTTTGGAACTTAGACTGGCTCTCCTTGTTCCTCAGCTTGCAGATGGCCTAGTGTGGGACCTTGTGATCATGTGATCCAATACTTAATAAACTCCCCTTTATATATATAATTAGTTCTGTCCCTCTAGAGAACCCTGAGTAATACATATGTCTACCTATATTTTTTCTCAAAGACCACTATACTTAAATGTTAGCATACAGGCTTAAATGTACTTTTAGTAGTTGTTAACTTTTATACTGAGTGGCTGCTTTGTGTAGTGGAAAGAGAATCAATAAGAGAAAAAAAACTAAGACCAACCTCCAGGTGTGACTCTGCTGGTTGCCCTTGGACAATTTGTTCAACCTCTCTGAGCCACTTGACATCATCTTCTCTGCCCTGGAAGAGGATGCCCTGCTTTGGAAGAGGATGTTTTATTTTGTGTTGATCTGCCAGCCTCCACACTTGATTTCTATTTTGTCTTCCAAGCTGACTGAGCCAGCATTTTCCAGCCTATTCATAAAGCAGTGAATGGTATGGTAAATCCATAAAGGAGGGAAGGATCTGGAAGCTCCATATGTTTCTTCTGCATATGTCCCATTGTCCAGAACTAAGTCACAAAGCCATATTGAGCCCTTAAATGGAATCCTTTATTTAGTTAGATGGATTTCGGGAAACTACTTGAAGTGCCTACTGTGGTCTACTCCTTTGGCCACCCAAATATCTGTACTCACACTTCCACTCAGAACATACCCATTATCTCAGTCACTCAGTTATTTCCTCGACAACCAATTCCAGGATCTCTGGTTGATGCGCAACCCTCGGTTTCAAGTGTGAATGTGGCTTCTCACAGCTCAGCAGCTACAAACTAAGCTGTAAGTAATCCACTGTTCACACCCTGATCTCCAAGCACATCTGACATGTGAGGAAAGGGACAGCCGCTCTATAAAGTATCATTTAGAAAAGAAAAGTTTGAAAAAACACACATAATAGGCATATTTCATAGCAATGATCAAATTGGGCTGAGCCACTGATGTGGTTTGGATATTCGTCCCACTCAAATATCATGTTGAGATGTAATTTCCAGTGTTCCTGGTGAGGCCTGGAGGGAGGTGTTTGGGTCTTGGGAGTGGATATCTCATGGCTTGGTGCTGTCTTTGCCATAGTGAGTGGTTTCTTATGAGATCTGGTTGTTAAAAAGTGTGTGGCACCTCTCCCCCTGCTCCCTGTATGTGACATTCCTGCCCCTCCTTCACCTCCTGCTATGATTGTAGCTTCCCGAGGCCTCCCCAGAAGCTGAGCAGATGCTGGTGCCAAGCTTTCCGTGCAACCTAAAGAACTGTGAGCCAATAAAACCTCCCCCTGACTTTTTTTTTAAATAAATTATCCAGTCTCAGGTATTTCTTTAGAGCAACCACAAGTACAGCCTAACCCAGCCACCCTTGTAAGACATCCCTGACCGCACAGTGCAAGAAGCTCTTCATGGAACTCATCTGCCGGCTGCCAGGACTTCTCTGGAAGGAGCTGACACACTGTCATCCTCTGTTGCCCAGCCTCTCCTTCGGGGAAGTTCCTCACTATCTGTTTTCCTCTGCTTGGAGAGGATGCTCTGTTGAGTGGCTGCATGGTCTTCCCTGACCACTGGTGTTACACAAAGGCTTGGGGGTGACATTAGGGCCAAATACTCACAGGCTTTTCACAATTGGGCTGTAATTTCTTTGGCATATGATTTTTCTCAAAAACTTAGCAGATATGTGTGTTTTCTAAAGCTCCTATACCAAACTACCTCCAAACTTCTGGCTTAAAACAACAGAAATTGATCACCTCATATTTCTGGAGGTCAGAAGTCTAAGACCGGGTTGTCACCGGGGTCATGCTCTCTATAAAGGTGTTGGGGAAGGATGTCTTCTGGGCCTCTCTCCTGGTTTCTGATTGTTCCTTGGTTGTTGGCAACCTCCTTCCAATTTTCTCAGGGCAGTCTCCCCCTGTGTGGGTCTGTCATCGATGTCAAATGTCCTCCTTTCATAGGGACCCCTGTCATATTGGATTAGGTGTCTGTTTTACACAGGTATAATCTCATCTTAACTAATTATATCTACATAAGCCTATTTCTTTGAAAGGTCACATTCTGAGATACTGGGGATTAGGACTTCAATATATATATATTATTGGTGGGAAGGGCACAATTCAACCATTTATTGTAAGTTTCTGGAAGTTTCCTTCTGGCAGTTTCCATGTGTAAGTAACTGTAATCAAAACCTATTGCTCTACATAACTGCAGTTCTTGAGCCCAGAGACTGCTTTGTCTTCTGCAATGGTCTCTGATTCTGCCTACCTCACTTCTTATAACTCAATGATCATGGTTACTTTGGGACCATGTGAAACATCAGATTATCATAGAAAAAATTTTCAATGTTTTCTCCATTTTTAAAAAATCTCTGCATGTGAAATGTCCCTGTCTGACAGCTCTGAAGACAGTAGTGGTTTTTCCAGCACGGTGTTTGAGTTCTGAGAATGGACAGACTGCCTCCTCAAATGGGTCCCTGACCCCTGTGAAGCCTAACTTGGAGACACCTCCCAGTAGGGGCTGACTGACATCTCATACAGGTGGGTGCCCCTCTGAGATGAAGCTTCCAGAGGAAGGAAGGATCAGGCAGCAATATTTGCTGTTCTGCAATATTTGCTGTTCTGCGGCCTCCACTGGTGATACCCAGGGAAACAGGATCTGGATTGGACCTTCAGCAAACTCCAAAAGACCTGTAGCTGAGGGACCTGACTGTTAGAAAGAAAACTAACAAACAGAAAGGAATAGCATCAACATCAACAAAAAGGATGTCCACACCAAAAACCCAACTGTAGGTCACCATCATCAAAGACCAAAGGTAGATAAAACCACAAAGATGGGGAGAAATCAGAGCAGAAAAGCTGAAAATTCTAAAAACCAGAGGGCCCCTTCTCCTCCAAAGGATCGCAGCTCCTCGCCAGCAACGGAACAAAGCTGGATGGAGAATGACTTTGAGGAGTTGACAGAAGTAGGCTTCAGAAAGTCAGTAATAACAAACTTCTCCGAGCTAAAGGAGGATGTTCGAACCCATCACAAAGAAGCTAAAAACCTTGAAAAAAGATTAGACAAATGGCTAACTAGAATAAACAGTGTACAGAAGACCTTAAATGACCTGATGGAGCTGAAAACCATGGCACGAGAACTACGTGACGCATGCACAAGTTTCAGTAGCCGATTAGATCAAGTGGAAGAAAGGGTATCAGTGATTGAAGATCAAATTAATGAAATGAAGTGAGAAGAGAAATTTAGAGAAAAAAGAGTAAAAAGAAATGAACAAAGCCTCCCAGAAGTATGGGACTATGTGAAAAGACCAAAACTACATTTGTTTAGTGTACCTGAAAGTAACGGGAAGAATGGAAACAAGCTGGAAAACACTCTTCAGAATATTATCCAGGAGAACTTCCCCAACCTAGCAAGGCAGGCCAACATTCAACTTCAGGAAATACAGAGAACACCACAAAGATACTCCTCGAGGAGAGCAACTCCAAGACACATAATTTTCAGATTCACCAAGGTTGAAATGAAAGAAAAAATGTTAAGGGCAGCCAGAGAGAAAGGTCGGGTTACCCACAAAAGGAAGCCCATCAGACTAACAACAGATCTCTCGGCAGAAACTCTACAAGCCAGAAGAGAGTGGGAGCCAATATTCAACATTCTTAAATAAAAGAATTTTCAACCCAGAATTTCATATCCAGCCAAACTAAGTGAAGGAGAAATAAAATCCTTTACAGACAAGCAAATGCTGAGAGATTTTGTCACCACCAGGCCTGCCCTGCAAGAGCTCCTGAAGGAAGCACTAAACATGGAAAGGAACAACTGGTACCAGCCACTGCAAAAACATGTCAAATTGTAAAGACCATCGATGCTAGAAAGAAACTGCATCAACTAATGGGCAAAATAACCAGCTAACATCATAATGATAGGATCAAATTCACATATAACAATATTAACCTTAAATGTAAATTGACTAAATTCCCCAATTAAAAGACACAGACTGGCAAATTGGGTAAAGAGTCAAGTCCCATCAGTGTGCTGTATTGAGGAGACACATCTCATGTGCAGAGACACACTTAAGCTCAAAATAAAGGGATGGAGGAAGATCTACCAAGCAAATGGAAAGCAAAAAAAAAAAAAAAAAAAAAAAAAAAAAAGCAGGGGTTGCAATCCTAGTCTCTGATAAAACAAACTTTAAACCAACAAAGATCAAAAGAGAGAAAGAAGAGGATTACATAATGGTAAAGGGATCAATTCAATAAGAAGAGCTAACTATCCTAAAAGTATATGCACCCAATACAGGAGCACCCAGATTCATAAAGCAAGTCCTTAGAGACCTACAAAGAGCCTTAGGCTCCCACACAATAATAATTGGATACTTTAACACCCCACTGTCAATATTAGGCAGATCAACGAGACAGAAGGTTAACAAGGATATCCAGGACTTGAACTCAGCTCTGCACCAAGCAGACCTAATAGACATCTACAGAACTCTTCTCTCCAAATCAACAGAATATACATTCTTCTCGGCACCACATCGCACTTATTCCAAAATTGACCACATAGTTGGAAGTAAAGCACACCTCAGCAAATCTAAAAGAACAGAAATCACAGCAACTGTGTCTCAGTCCACAGTGCAATCAAATTAGGACTCAGGATTAAGAAACTCACTCAAAACTGCACAACTACATAGAAACTGAACAACCTGTTCCTGAATGACTACTGGATAAATAATGAAATGAAGGCAGAAGTAAAGATGTTCTTTGAAACCAATGAGAACAAAGACAACGTACCAGAATCTCTGGGACACATTTAAAGCAGTGTGTAGAGGGAAATTTATAGCACTAAATGCCCACAAGAGAAAGCAGGAAAGATCTAAAATTGACACCCTAACATCACAATTGAAATAACTAGAGAAGCAAGAGCAAACAAATTCAAAAGCTAGCAGAAGGCAAGAAATAACTGAGATCAGAGAAGAACTGAAGGAGATAGAGACACAAAAAACCCTTCAAAAAATCAATGAATCCAGAAGCTGGTTTTTTGAAAAGATCAACAAAATTGATAGACTGCTAGCAAGACTAATAAAGAAGAAAAGAGAGAAGAATCAAATAGATGCAATAAAAAATGATAAAGGGAATATCACCACTGATCCCATAGAAATACAAACAACCATCAGAGAATACTATAAACACCTCTACGCAAATAAACTAGAAAATCTAGAAGAAATGGATAAATTCCTGAACACATACACCCTCCCAAGATTAAACCAGGAAGAAGTTGAATCACTGAGTAGGCCAATAACAGGCTCTAAAATTGAGGCAATAATTAATAGCCTACCAACCAAAAAAAGTCCAGGACCAGACAGATTCACAGCCGAATTATACCAGAGGTACAAAGAGGAGCTGGTACCATTCCTTCCAAAACTATTCCAATCAATAGAAAAAGAGGGAATCCTCTCTAACTCATTTTATTAGGCCAGCGTCATCCTGATACCAAAGCCTGGCAGAGACACAACAAAAAAGGAGAATTTTAGACCAATATCCCTGATGAACATCGATGTGAAAATCGTCAATAAAATACTGGCAAACCGAATCCAGCAGCACATCAAAAAGCTTATTCACCAAGATCAAGTTGGTTTCATCCCTGGGATGCAAGGCTGGTTCAACATATGCAAATTAATACATGTAATACATCACATAAACAGAACCAAAGACAAAAACCACATGATTATCTCAATAGATGCATAGAAGGCCTTTGGCAAAATTCAACAGCCCTTCATGCTAAAAACTCTCAATAAACTAGGTATTGATGGAACGTATCTCAAAATAATAAGAGCTATGTATGACAAACCCACAGCCAGTATCATACTGATTAGGCAAAAACTGGAAGCATTCCCTTTGAAAATTGGCACAAGACAGGGATGCCCTCTCTCACCACTCCTATTCAACATAGTGTTGGAAGTTCTGGCCAGGGCAATCAGGCAAGAGAAAGAAATAAAGGGTATTCAATTAGGAAAAGAGGAAGTCAAATTGTCCCTGTTTGCAGATGACATGATTGTATATTTAGAAAACCCCATTGTCTCAGCCCAAAATCTCCTTAAGCTGATAAGCAACTTCAGCAAAGTCTCAGGATACAAAATCAATGTGCAAAAATCACAAGCAGTCTTATACACCAATAACAGACAAACAGAGAGCCAAATTATGAGAGAACTCCTATTCACAATTGCTACAAAGAGATTAAAATACCTATGAATACAACTTACAAGGGATGTGAAGAACCTCTTCAAGGAGAACTACAAATGACTGCTCAACGAAATAAAAGAGGACACAAACAAATGGAAGAACATTCCATGCTCATGTATAGGAAGAATCAATATCGTGAAAATGGCCATACTGCCCAAGGTAATTTATAGATGCAATGCCATCCCCATCAAACTACCAATGACTTTCTTCACAGAATTGGAAAAAAACTACTTTAAAGTTCATATGGAACCAAAAAAGAGCCCACATTGCCAAGACCATCCTAAGCAAAAGGAACAAAGCTGGAGGCATCACACTACCTGACTTCAAACTATACTATAAGGCTACAGTAAACAAAATAGCATGGTACTGGTACCAAAGCAGAGATATGGATCAATGGAACAGAACAGAGGCCTCAGAAATAACATCTCACATCTGCAACCATCTGATCTTTGACAAACCTCATAAAAACAAGAAATGGGGAAAGGATTCCCTATTTAATAAATGGTGCTGGGAAAACTGGCTAGCCATATGTAGAAAGCTGAAACTGGATCCCTTTCTTACACCTTATACAAAAATTAATTCAAGATGGATTAAAGATTTAAATATTAGACCTAAAACCATAAAAACCCTGGAAGAAATCCTAGGCAATACCATTCAGGACACAGGCATGGGCAAGGACTTCATGACTAAAATACCAAAAGCAATGGCAAAAAAAGCCAAAATAGACAAATGGGATCTAATTAAACTTCAGAGCTTCTGCACAGCAAAAGAAACTACCATCAGAGTGAACAGGCAACCTACAGAATGGGATAAAATTTTTGCAATCTACCCATCTGACAAAGGGCTAATACCAGAATCTACAAAGAACTTAAACACATTTACAAGAAAAAATCAAACAACCCCATCAAAAAGCGGGCAAAGGATATAAACAGACACTTCTCAAAAGAAGACATTTATGCAGCCAACAGACACATGAAAAAATGCTCATCATCACAGGTCATCAGAGAAATGCAAAAGAAAACCACAATGAGATACCGTCTCACACCAGTTAGAATGGCGATCATTAAAAAGTCAGGAAATAACAGGTGCTGGAGAGGATGTGGAGAAATAGGAATGCTTTTACACTATTGGTGGGACTGTAAACTCGTTCAACCATTGTGGAAGACAGTGTGGTGATTCTTCAAGAATCTAGAACTAGAAACACCATTTGACCCAGCGATCCCATTACTTGGTATATACCCAAAGGATTATAAATCATGCTACTATAAAGACACATGCACACGTTTATTGTGGGACTATTCACAATAGCAAAGACTTGGAACCAACCCAAATGTCCATCAATGATAGACTGGATTAACAAAATGTGGCACATATACACCATGGAATACTATGCAGCCATAAAAAAGGATGAGTTCATGTCCTTTGTAGGGACATGGAAGAAGCTGGAAACCATCGTTCTGAGCAAACTACCGCAAGGACAGGAAAGCAAACACTGCATGTTCTCACTCATAGGTGGGAATTGAACAATGAGAACACTTGGACACAGGGCAGGGAGCATCACACACTGGGGCCTGTCGTGGGGTGAGGGAATGCTGGAGGGATAGCCTTAGGAGAAATATCTAATGTGAATGACGAGTTAATGGGTGCAGCAAACCTACACGGCACATGTATACATACGTAACAAACCTGCACATTGTGCACATGTACCCTAGAACTTAAAGTATAATAAAATAAAACAAAATAAAATAAAATAAAATAAAATCTCTGCATTTATATCCATTATATTTAACATGGATTCATCTTTCTCGTATACAATTTTGCTAAAATCAGCCAGAATGACCCAGTTCATATGAACTGTTCAGATGCCAGTTTTTTTCCTATTCCATTATTCTGTGTTCTCCAAACACGTGCCCCATTTTGGGTCCAGCCCTTTGTACTAGATCCTCATTCTGTGAAGCAGCCAGAAGGACAAGGGAAAGGGAGAACACACTTTTTCCCTTTAAGAAAGTGGCCCCAGATTACAGTGTTACTTCCTTTCTCATCTCATTGGTCATGACGTAATCACAGGACCACAACTAACAGTGAGATGGCTCAGAAATGATGACCATGTGCCCAGATGAAAATATTCTACCATGTCAGTAGGAGAGAATGGATTTGTGAGTACAATTAGTAGTCTCTGTCACAAGTACCCACTTTAAATTATGGTTTTAAAACCTCTCTTTAAAAATAAAATCCATTAAAAGGAAAGATGGCTGGATAGAGGGACGGGAAGTCCAGCCAGGACACCTTGGTTCAAGTCTAAGCTCTCTCTGAAGTGAGTGTGTCACAATCTTGAACAGATAGTTTCTTTTTCTGGTATGTTTCATCTCCTGAATAATAAAGGCATGGAGGAGATTGGCATTTCCAAAATAAAGTTCTATAGAATAAAAGGTTTAGGCCGGGTGCAGTGGCTCACACCTGTAATCCCAGCACTTTGGGAGGCTAAGGCAGGTGGATCACGAGGTCAAGAGTTTGAGACCAGCCTGGTCAACATGGTGAAACCCCGTCTCTACTAAAAATATGAAATTGGCTGGGTGTGGTGGTGTGTGCCTGTAATGCCAGATACTTGGGAGGCTGAGGCAAGAGAATCGCTTAAACCTGGAAGGCGGAGGTTGCAGTGAGCCGAGAGTAAGCCACTGCACTCCAGTCTGGGCGACAGGGCGAGACTCCATCTCAAAAAAAAAAAAAAGATTTTAAAGGTAGTAATAATTATTTTGTGACAAAGAATCTCTTTACTCAAAATTAGGAAGTGATTAACACCACATTCATCTTTTAGAGATTCACAATATCATAATAGAGATTCTGAGATACTCTTTCCATAAGTATTATTTAATTTAAGATTATTACTCAATCATCTATGAACTTCATGTAAAACTCAAGGTGGGGAACACCAAACTAAATGGCCTATAAAGTTCCTTCCTGCTTTCAGGTTCTGTGACGCTGGAATCCATCATCAAGCTCTTACCACACTTCATAATCTATTAAATTATTTACAAAGTCTATTTATAGCCTCCTGTTCCTGAAATTGAGTTAAGGAATCTTACAACAAAAGGTCTTTAAGTAAGACTAAATATCTACGATAGACATTGACGTGGAAAAGCAAGACTGATTCATTCCTTCACATTCATTAGTCTGTTAGGTGCCTTCTCCAGTCAGCTAGTTACCTAGTTAAACTCTGAGGGAATGGAGACAATTAAGTTTGGAGGAAGAGGCTCACATCACATGAGACCTGTCACTGGGGTGGTGGGAGGAGGGCCGGCGGAGGGGGTTGGCACCAAGATTCCCCGGGCAGGCAGAGCACATGAGCTCCCGCAGGGCACGCTGAAAAGAAGCAGGGCGGTGCCAGACAGAGGGCCAGCCGACTTCCAGCCTCCTCAACGATGTTGCTTAAGGCTGGCTTTGTGTGCGTGCAAATCATTCAGATAATTGCTGTAATTCTGTGCTTAGCTTGGCTGCTAAGACCCTTGGTTCATGAATATTCATAAGCTCTATCCACACTCCACTATTACTTAAATTTTCCTAGACAGCTTTCATGCTGAGCATGCCAGCCTGTTTGTGCTGGAGATGGTGATGGTGATGATTTCTTGTCTGGGTGGAAGCAGGCTCAGCGAGGCCCAGGGACACTTCCCTTTGCCCGCCCACCCATGTATTTGAGCAGAAAAGGTACTCTTGCTAAGACAGCCCTGCTTCTCTGCAGGTTTCCTCTTACACATGGATTCTATTCATTCACCGTTTATTGAGCTCTGTGCCAGGCACTGTGCTAGATGCCGGAGCTCCTGCGTAGAAGACCGGTGAGTACCTACCTTCAAATGAATGTGTGGTCCTGCCAGCAAGATAGACTATGGACAGACCACTGGAGAATAAAAATGGTTGTTAAGAGAGGATGAGTTCAGAGAATTGTGAGGAGTTTAGAGAAAATGCACAAAATCAAAATTGGGAGTGGGTGAAATCAAGAAGAGATGGCTTTTCACAGGAATCAAATACCTACATTGAGCCTTAAAATTACATAACATAAATAACACACACTCATTGCAGAAAACACATGTAATAAAATGGAAAGAAAAGTCTTTTGACATTTCTCACCCAATTTTATTATATCTATATTCAGACTTTGTGTGTCTAAAAGTCTTTTTAACAACAACAAAAAAATTCATGAACTATGTAGTTTTATAATCCACTTTTTTCAACTATGCAAATATTTAAACTTGAAGAAAGAGTAAGATATTCCCGTGTAAAGGTGGTCAAGGAAGAGAGTGTAGGCTGAGAAAGTTTGCTCAGAGATATGAGGTGTCTGCCAGGTATTGGTTACACATGGAGTCCAGGGCTGGAGGTGAGGATGACCCTGTACAGGAGGTGAGCAGACAGGACAGTGCTTTTTATGCCTGTCTAAGGTCTAGAGAGCTTGGGCTTTACCATGAGGGCGAGGGGAAGCAACTGAAAGTTTGTAAGCAGAGAATCAGTAATTTGGAAAATTGTTCTAAGGATAAATGGGAGCAGAAGGAGCAGTGGAGTAGAATACCTTTAACTGAGTCTCCTCAGAAGATTAAAATTCTGACCGAAGCCTGGCTGAGTGAGAGCCTGTCACATACAGAGACTAAGTATGTGTTCATTTTATGGTTGAGGTATATGGATCCTCTAAAGATGGCTTCTCTGCCACATTCTTCAATAATTAAGACACTAAAAAGCTTAGCATCTCAAAATTCAGCATGGAGAATCTACTCTGGTTGTGGCACTTAAATCCCAGGGCTGATAGTAAACCGGATAAAAATTGCTTATTTATCCAAGCCAAAATTGACATGATTCTCAAAATACAATCTGGATCATAGGACTTCATTTTTGTTGGGTCACTCTGGCGCTATTACTTTCATGTCTGTTGGGAGCACTACATTCAATTTAAGATATTTTTAGAAAAACCTAGTTAACGCTGCAGATATAGTTGAATTTGTTGCTAGAGTCAATTTACAGAAAAATATATAGTAATAGATATTTGCATTCCACTAACTTTCATGAAAAAAACCATAGCAAACAGCGTTCATTCTGAGGAGTCAGTGGCTGTAGAGGAAGTTGGGATAATTTATGCATTACTTTATGTACTGTCTACTGTTCAATGATGACCATAATTAAGTTTATAATAAAGTAATCATTAAAAATTTTTTTTTGTTCCTAAGAGAAGGATTTTGATTCGAAAGATATTTAGGACAAAGAAAATCTATAGGATGTTGCACACAATTGGGGATGGGGAGCATGGTAAAGGGAAGTGTTGCACGGGTGACTCCTTGGTTTCTGGTTCCCATGGTGGTGCCATTCACAGTAAGGAACATAAGAGGACAAGGAAGGCCACCAGAACTGGAATTTGAAGAGTCTTCAGATATACAGTTTTAAATTGTAGCTTCAAGGAGTACATGTTCAGGTTTGTTACATGGATATATTGGTGATGCTGAGGTTTGGACTTCAAATGATCCCGTCGCCCGAGTAGTTAACATAGTACCTGATAATTAGTTTTTCAACCCATGCTTCCATCTCTCTCTCCCTGTTTTGGAGTCCTCAGTATCTTTGTGCCTGGGTGTACCCAAAGTTTAGCTCCCACTTATATGTGAGAACACGTGGTATTTGGCTTTGGGTTTCTTTGTTGATTCGCTTAGGTTAATGGCCTCCCGTTGCATCCACATTGCTGCAAAGGAGACGATTTCATTCTTTTCTATGGCCCTGCATCGGGGTTGATTACATGTCTTTGCTATTGTGAATAGTGCTGCAGTAAAGATACAAATACAGGTGTCTTTTTGCTAAAACAACTCATTTTCCTTTTTGTATATGCCCAATAATGGGATCGCTGGGTGGAATGATAATTCTATTTTTAATTCTTTGAGAAATCTCCAGTCTGCTTTCCACAAGGGCTGAACTAATTTGCATTCCCACCAATAGTGTATAAGCCTTCCCTCTTCTCTGCAGCCTTGCCAGCATCTATTGTTTTTTGACTTTTTAATAAATAGTCATTCTGACTGGCGTGAGATGGTATCTCATTGTGGTTTTGATTTATATCTTTCTGATTAGTGATGTCAAGCATCTTTTTATGTTTGTTGGTGGCTTGTATGTGTTCTTTTGTTCGTGTTCTTGCTCACCTTTTAAAATTATTATTATTATTATTTTTAGAGTTGGGGTTTTGCTCTTGTCATACAGGCCGAGTGCAGTGGTGTGATCATAGCTCATTGCAGCCTTTTGCCTACTTTATAATTGGGTTGTTTTTAATGGGGTTATTTGTTGTTATAGATTCTGGATATTAGTCCTTTGCCAGATACATAGTTTGTAAATATTTTTTTTCTCATTCTGTAGGTTGTCTGTTTACTCTGTTGATATTTTCTTTTTCTGTGCAGAAGCTCTTTAGTGTAATTAACTCTCATTTGTTTATTTTTTATTTTGTTGCATTTGCTTTTCGAGAATTCATTATAAATTCTTTCCCTAGGCTAATGTTTAGAAGGGCAATTCCTAGGTTTTCATCTAGCATTTTTATAGTTTTAGGTCTGACATTTAAGTTTTTAATCCATTTCGAGTTAATTTGTGTATGTGGTGAGAGGTATGTGTCCAGTTTTATTCTTCTGCATATGGTTAACTAGTTTTCCCAGCACCGTTTATTGAATAGGATATTCTTTCCCAATTATTTATTTTTGTTTGCTTTTTGAAGATCAGTTGGATGTAGGTGTTTAGCTTTATTTCAGGGGTCTCTATTCTGCCTCATTGGTTTACATGTCTATTTTTGTGCCAGTACCATGTTGTTTTGGTTACAGTGGTCTTGTAGCATAGTTTCATGTTGGGTAGTGTGATGTTTTCATTTTTTTCTTTTTGCTTAGGCTGCCTTGCCTATTTGGGATATTTTTGATTCCATATAAATTTTAGAGTAGGTTTTCCTAATTTGTGAAAAATGATATTGTTAATTTGTTGGGAATAGTGTTGAATCTGTAGATTGCTTTGGGCAGTATAAACATTTTAACAATATTGATTCTTACAACCCATGAAATTGGGATGCTTTTCCATTTCTTTGTGTCATCTATGATTTCTTTCAACAGTGTTTAGTAGTTCTTATAGAAATGTTTCATTTCCTTGGTTAAACATATTTCTAGGTATTTTTTGTGGCTATGGTAAATGGGATTGAGTTTTTGATTTGGTTCTCAGCTTGAATGTTATCAGTGTATAAAAATGCCACTAATTCTTATATGTTGATTTTGTATTCTGAGACTTTGCTGAAGTCATTTATCAGGTCTAGGAGACTTTTATCAGAATCTTTAGGGTTTTCTATATAGAGAATTATATTGTCAATGAAGAGAAATAATTCGACTTCGTCATTTTCTATTATTTGGATGCCTTTGTTTCTTTCTTTTGCCTGATTGCTCCAGCTAAAAATTGCAGTACTCTGTTGAATAGGAATGATGAGAGTGGACATTCTTGTCTTACACCAGTTCTTAGAGGGAATGCTTCCAGCCTTTTTCTGTTCAGTGTTATGTTGGCTGTTGGTTTGTCATAGACAGATCTTATTATTTTGAGGAGTATTCCTTAGATATCTAGTTTGTTGAGGGTTTCTATTATGAAGGAATATTGAATTTTATAAAAAGCTTTTTCTACATCTATTGAGATGATCATATGTTTTTTGTTCTTAATTCTGTTTGTGTGGTGAATCAAATTTACTGATTTGTGTATGTTGAACCATTTCTGCATCCCAGAAAGAAAGCCCACTTGATTGTAGCAAATTAACTTTTTGGTATGCTGCTGGATTTGGATTGCTAGTATTTTGTGGAGGATTTTTGCATCTGTGTTCATCAGGTATATTGGCCTGTAGTTTTATTCTTCTTGTTGTGTTTTTATCAGGTTTTGGTATTAGGATTAGACTGGTTCCATAGAATGAATTATGGTGGAATCCTTCCTCCTTGATTTTTTGAAATAGTTTCAGTAGTATTGGTTCTAGCTCTTCTTTGAACATCTGGTATAATTAGACTGTGAATGCATATGGTCCAGGGCATTGTTTGGTTGGTAGGTTTTTGTTTTGTTTTGTTTTGTTTTGTTTTTTGTTTTTGGTTACGAATTTAATTTCATTACTTGTTATTGATGTGCTAAGAATTTCTGCTTCTTTAATCTTTAGGGGTTGTGTATTTCCAGGAATGTATTCATTTCCTCTAGATTTTCTAGTGTGAATGCACAGAGATATTCATAATAGTCTCAGGATCTTTTGTATTTCTGTGAGATTGGTTGTGATGTCACCTTTGTCATTTCTGATTCTGCTTATTTGGACCTTCTCTCTTTTTCTTTGTTAAGGAGAAAGAGGTCTATCCATTTTTATCCTTTTAAATAACCAACTTTTTGTTTTATTGATCCTTTGTATGATTTGGGGGTGTCTAATTTCATTTAGTTCTGTTCTGATTTTGGTTGCTTCTTTTCCTCTGGTAGCTTTGAATTTAGTTTGTTTTTGTTTTTCTAATTCCTGCAGGTGCAAGCTTAGGTTGCTCATTTAAGATCTCTATCTTTCTGATGTAGGCATTTGGCACTATAAACTTTCCTCATCATACTTCTTTTGCTGCATTCCAGAGGTATTGGTATATCGTGTCCCTATTTTTCTTTGTTTCAAATAATTTTTTTATTTATGCATTAATTTCATTGTTTACCCAAAAGTCATTCAGGAGGAAGTTGTTTAGTTTCCATGTATTTGTGTGGTGTTGAGAGTACCTCTTGGTATTTATATTTTTATCCCACTGTGGTCCAAGAGGATGATTGGTTTGTTTCTACTTTTTTTTTTTTTTTTTTTTTGACAGAGTCTTGCTCTTGTCACCCAGGCTGGAGTGCAGTGGCACAAAATTGGTTCACTGCAACCTCCGCTTCCCGGGTTCAAGTGATTCTCCTGCCTCAGCCTCCTGAGTAGCTGGGATTACAGGCACCCACCACCAAGCCCAGCTAATTTTTTTTCTTTTTTGTACTTTTAGTAGAGATGGGGTTTTGCCATGTTGGCCAGGCTGTTCTCGAACTCCTCACTTCAGGTGATCCGCCTGCCTTGGCCTCCCAAAGTGCTGGGATTACAGGTGTGAGCCACTGCACCCGGCCTCTATTTTTTTTCTCCATTTTTAAAACTTGCTTTATGACTGACCTTGTGGTCAATCTTAGAGTATGTGCTATGTGCAGATGAGCAGAAAGTATATCATTTGACTGTTAGGTGGAGTATTCTGAAGATGTCTATTAGGTCCAACTGGTCAAGTGTTGAATTTAAGTCTAGCATTTTTTTGTTAGTTTTCTGTCTAATGTTGTCAGTATCGTGGTGAAGTCCCCCACTGTTAATTGTGTGGCTGTCAATCTTTTCTTAGATCTGAAAGTAGTTGTTTTATAAATCTCGGTTCTTCAGTGTTGTGTGAATATATATAATATATATAATATACTGAAGAACCGAGATTTATAAAACAACTACTGCACCTGTAATATATATATATTAATATATAAATGTAATATATATAAATATATATTATATATTATATATTTTATATATACACTATATATATGTTTAAGATTCTTACGTCTTCTTGTTGAATAAACCCTTTATCGTTATGTAATTCCCTTCTTTGTTTTTTTTTAAATACTGTTGTTGGTTTAAAGTCTCTTTTATCTAACACTAGAATAGTGATTTCTGTGCTCTTTGTTCTCCATTTGCGTGATATATCTTTCTCCTTTCTCTACTTTGAGCCTATGGGTATCATTACATTTAAGTGGAATCTCTTGAAGACAGCGGAAAGATGGCTCTTTCTTCCGTCTAGTTTGCCACTCTATATCTTTTAAGTGGAGCATTTAAGTTGTTTACATTCAAGGTTAATATTGATATGTGAAGTTCTGTTTCTGTCATAATGTTGTTAGCTAGTTGCTTCATAGTCTCCATTTGGGTAATTGCTTTATGGGGTTCAGGAGCTATGTGCTTGTTTTTGTTTTTGTGGTAGCAAGTATCATTCTTTCATTTCTGTGTTTAGAACTCCCTTAAGCATCTCTTCTAGGACCGGTTTGGTGGTGACAAATTCCCTTAGCAATTTTTTATCTGGAAATATTTTATTTTTCCTTCATTTGTGAAGCTTAATTTGATGGGATATGGAATTCTTGGTTGACTTTTTTTTTTTGTTTAAGAATGCTAAGAATGGGCTCCCAATCTCTTCTAGCTTTTCAGGTTTCTGCTGAGAAGTCTGCAGTTAGTCTGATGGGTTTCCCTTTATAGGTAACATGACCCTTTCCTTTAGCTGCCTTTAAGACTTTTTTCTTTCACATTGACCCTGAATAGTCTGGTGACTATGTGCCTTGGGGATGACCATGTCGTATTATATGTCAGAGGAGTTCTGGATCTCTTGTATCTGCATGTTGACCTCTCTAGCAAGATTGGGAAAATTTTCCTGAATTTCATCCTCAAATATATTTTCCAAGTTGCTTATTTTCTCTTCTCTATCATGAATTCCAATAAGTCATATATTTGGTTGCTTTTACGTAATATTGTATTTCTTGAAGGCTCCAATCCTTTTTTTTTTTTTTTTTTTTTTTTTTTTTTTTTTTTTTTTTTTGAGACAGAGTTTCACTCTTCTTCCCCAGGCTGGAGTGCAATGGCATGACCTTGGCTCACCGCAACCTCCGCCTCCCAGGTTCAAGCGATTCTCCTACCTCAGCCTCCCTAGTAGCTGGGATTATAGGCATGTGTCACCACGCCTGAGTAATTTTGTATTTTTAGTAGAGATGGGGTTTCTCCATGTTGGTCAGGCTGGTCTTGAACTCCCAACCTCAGGTGATCAACCTGCCTCAGCCTCCCAAAGTGCTGGGATTATAGATGTGAGCCACCACACCCAGTCCATTCCTTTTTTTAAGTGCTTTTTTCTTTATTTTTTTTCTGACTGGATTGACTTATGGGACCAGTGTTTGAGCTCTAAAATTCTTTCTTCTTCTTAGTCTAGTCTGTTGTTAAGGCTTACAACTGTATTTTGAAATTCCTAAAATGAATTTTTTAATTCCAGAAGTTTCGTTTGGTTCTTAACATAGTGATGTCGTCTTTCAAATCTTGGAGCATTTTCCTGGCTTCTTTGTGTGGATTTCAACTTTATCTTGGATCTTGTTGAGTTTCCTTGCCATCCATATTCTGAAAACTTTATCTGCCATTTCAGACATTTCACTCTGGTTAGAATCCTTTGCTTGTGAGCTAGTGGAATCATTTGAAGATGACAACACTCTGGCATTTTGTATCAGAGTCCTCATGCTGGTTCCTTATCATCTGAGACAGCTGGAACTTTTTTTATTGTTTTTCTGAATTTGTTATCATTTGAATGCAGATTCTTGAGTTTTTAATTATTTTTTTCCTTAGGGATATGACTGTGATATTTATTGTGTTATGATCAATTGACCTCATTTCTGGGTGCTTTCAGGGTTCTGAGGCTTTGTATGAGTTTTTTGTCGCAGTTACATTTGTCCAGTGCGTTTCTCAGATGTTGCCTGTTGCACTGATGTAATGTCATGTGTTGCTGTAATTCAGGCTGCAGTATAGCAGACGGCATTGAAGAATGAGAACCGGCAGGTGGGGTGGGGGTGGAGGCAAAGGAGAAGCACTAACAGGGCCCTGCCCCAGCAGGCATTCACCTTTAGTGGGGGCAGAGCTGTTGGAGAAAGTCAAGAAGTGAACTTTTTCATCCCATGCTCCCTGAAATCCTGAAGGGAAGAGTTGCTGCCAAGTCCATGATAAAGCACTCTCTTCAGATATTGGAACTGGAGATACTAAATAGATTTGGGGTCTCTTCATTTGGATTACAGAGATAAAAATCATGTTGAAAATTTTAATTTAGCAGCCCTCTGACTATATATTCTCATAGAAATCCTGGAGAAGAAAATCATCATGAAAGAGTAGAGACTGAAATACAGAAAGGACCTATGCTTAGCCTTGTAAACACCAATATTTAAAGGTCAAACAAAGAACAATTAACTGATTGAAATAAAAAGGCTGAGACCAAAGAGCTACACCTTACACAAGGGGTGTGTTTGTTGAAGGATGAATGGTTGGTTAAGCTGAATCTTGGAATTTTTCATCATCTGTGGTGGGCACCACATGTTCACTCATAGAGGAGCTGAGGAGACTCCCTTCTTACAGAAATGAGGGTAGAGCATGAAGGCTTGATCTCCACTTGTGCAAGATTAGTCAGAAAATGAGATGTTATAAAAAGGTCTCTAAATAATTTTTGTCTTGGTTCCAAATGTGTTTGTCCAGTTTTGAGTTTTACAGCAAAAGAGTGAGCCCCAAAAGTAAAAACTCAAATGGTGTTTTTATTAAGACTGCTGAAAATATTTAGACATAATTCAGAGCTCTGTTAACACCTTTATGACAAATTATAGCACAGAAACAGAGAAAGACATCCTTCCCACTTTACCTAAAACCATCTTTTAGTTCTTCTGCCTCTGGCCCCCTTTAATGGCAATGGATGTGAAAGGAACCCTCATATTCAGAGAGGTATAGTTATACGGCAGGAGTGGCAATTCCCAATAGAAGTGGACTTGGTGACCAGAAGAATGTGACATGTCTTTCTGAAGCAAAGAAATAAAAAAAAAAAAAAAAATTTAACAGTGGCCAACCACATGGAACCCAGTGAATGCGCATGACAGCATAAGAGGAGAGGAATTTCTGGGAACCATTTAGTTGTAGAATGAATATATAACTGAAGAGGATCATATGAGAGATACCTCCTCACCCAGAAAAGCCTAGGTGAGGGGGGCTATGAAGGTGACTGTACTCCTGCAGCAAAGTTTGGAGAAATGCTGGTAAAATTGGTAAAACTAAGCATGAATAACAATGTTTTTAGTATATTGAGGTGATTTAAGTTAAAACACTGATGCTAATTACATATAAACAAAATTCACTTATAAAGATGTTTACATAGCCTAAGGCACTAATGAAAGAAAGGAAAATACCCAGTAGGAATGTGCTAGTTCTATTCATGACATGTATTAACACATCGTGTCATTTTTTTCTAAGAAAAAATAGGGGAAGGGGCATATGTAAAATCACAAAACTCAAAATTTGCTAAATCAACAAACAACCACAATAGCAGCAGCAGTCTATAAATGCTCAGGATAGTAATGCTATATAAATTCAGGGTCTAAAACTCAGCCAGAGTCAATTTGGCCCTCTACCTGTTTTTGTAAATAGTAAAACAAAGTATTTCTTGGACAAAGCCACCGTCATTACTCTATGTATTGTCTATGGCTGCTTTCAAAGTACAGTTGAGCAGTTGAGATACAAATCATGTGGCCTGCAAAGCCTAAAATATTAACTATCTGGCTCTTTACAGACTTCTTTATGGCAAAGATAAAAGAAGTTTGTTCTTTATTTTGTTTGTTAGATGTTTGTTTGCATATTGGCATCCACACTGTGATATAAAGATCAGGCTAACCTCCTAGAGTCCAGAAGCAGCTGCACTGGGGATGCAATGCCTTACATGTGCTCAAACCCACAGTCATCCTATTTCTGTGGCACAGCTTTTGCTTATGTGATGAAAAGTGAATTCTGGTTTGTGCTTTCCTCCACCTTCCCTGCTCCCATCTGCGTGCTGACAAAGCATGAAAATTCAGTGAGTGGCTCCCAGTAGAGCCAGTCACTGCCAAGGTGAATGTCGATGACTCTTTGGGAAACTCTCAGTTTAATACGGCTGCCCTAGTCCATGATCAGTTTCATGCAGTGAGCTTTTCCAAGGCTCATTTCCCTCACTGTGAATGGACTTCCCCATTGGGCATAAAATTTCAGAGGAAAATCAGTGGAACACAATCAGTACTAGTTAAAAATGCAGATTTCTGAGACCCACCCCAGAGCTGCTGAATCCCTGGATTAAGCCAGGAAATCTTGGGTGGTGGAGGTGTAGGGGACAAAAGCGTAGTGATTCTGATCTAGATCTCTAATCCATATTTTGAGAAACACTGATCCATAGAATCATTTTCAGCTACAAAGCTTCACAGCTCTATGAACACTTGGCTTGCTTTGCATTTTATTTCTCAAATCATTCTCTATGCTTCTATTTCTCTGTCTTTCAAAGCTGGAGAGTATTCACGCAGTGTAAGATTCAGTGTTGAAAAGATTTCTACCAGTTGAAATTTGTGTTATTATATTTGTTTCAGGCATTTAATCCCTGTTGAGACTCTAAGCATGGGCAGCTGGATCCCTATTCCAGGTGCTACGCCTCACAAATTGTTGACATCTTTCTTCTCTATTAGATACCAAAGCCCAGCTGCAGCAGAACTAACACATCTACTCCCAACATTGAGCCCTCCACTTGCCTGGGCGACCACCACCGAGGATGGGAAAGGATGACATTGGAAGGGAATTTGCAGCCCTCCTGATCTCCAGGCAAGCATTCTTTGTGGTTTGGCTAACTCAAGTATATGAGTAGTGATTTCTTCTGAATTAGACAGACTTAAATTTTGCAAATTGCATCCTAGGAGAGAGAAAAGGGATCAGAAACGTTGAATAATTTATAACATTTCCTGTCAGGAAACCATTGAGGTTTTATAGAAATATGGAGACTCCACCCCCACATGGCTTTGCCTAAATGGATCTTGTACAGTATTTAAAGCCCCACTCAGTAGCTGTTGGCCCCAGAACATTTTCTATGATATCTGTCTCACCTAATTAATTGCTTTCAACCCTGAATTCCATTGCTTTACTGTCTCTAGCATTAACTGAACTGACACTGATTAACTGATATTCAGCATATAGGATATCAGAGTCGGCAAACAGGGGCTTCATAAATAAACACATGATCTTTGCTTCCCAGGAGTGTGTGACTGTAAACAAGCACATAAACAGCAAAGAGCTTATCCTACTGTGCCCAGTGAGACAGGGCACACATTTCAGTTTCCCCACTGAACTGAAGACAGGAGGTCAGGGAGCTCCTGTATCTTGATATTTTTGTTTCTATCATGGCTCTTGTCATCTCCCCTTGGACAAGAACAAGTGCCCAGCACATCTTGTATTGAATTGAGCTGAACTCCAATTTAACCTTTTCCTTTTAGAGATCAGGAAACAGTCATAAGCATCTGAGTTTGCTCATCAGAAAATTCTTGTTCATGATTCTCAACGTCAAAATTGTGTTTTGTCACCTTGGAGCTTAAGTTCAGCTCCAGGAAGAAATGCAAAAGGACTTTGACTAGTTTCTCTCAGCATGGAAAGGTTCACAAGCTTTCCCACTACTCTGCCACCTGGGATTCCCACATTATGAAGATTCACATTCCACCATCTCCTACCCTCAGGAATGTTTCCTTCCCTTTCTAACTTCTTCTTTAATAATCGCTTGTCCTGTGGCCAGTTTTCTCGGAACTCACTCAGCAAATGGTCAAGGAATATGATAAATTGATAGGAAGATCTAATGAGAAGAGTATCACTTTCTCACATCATAGGTTTACATTTTGGTAGAAGCTTTTTTGAAGACAGAGATGTTTAGCAAATGGTGAAAAACTAAACAGACAAATTTCAGGAATGTAAGAAAGATATTTTCAGATAGCTTGATATCCATCTTACATGCAGTCTGCCCACTCTTGTTACTTCGATTGCATTAACACTTGCTTTTAAAAGTAAAATTTAGTCAGTCGCTTTTTAAGAAATTAAGTTTATGTTTAACAAAAAGCCCATGGATTTTTATCCTGGAGGCCTTCTTTATTCATCATAGTATAGTATTAAATCCTTCAATAAAAATAACATAGCATTAAAAGAGACTATATCAAACTCTTATAAATCAGATTATGTTTTTATATTGTTCTGTTATGTGCTTTTAGGCATGTTTCTTCAGAAATAAATCTCACTTCAACATACAATATTTTAAAATATAGTAAATATTACACATGACATTGTTAATTGAACAAAAATTGTAAAAATTAATACACAATGAATCTAATGAAAAACATCCCATTCACCTTTTCTTTGACAAGTCAACATTATATCTGATATCATGGATTGTGTCCAATTTTGGAACTGAAAGAACCTCAGTGAATTTTAAATGGCATTGACTTTTATAGATGAAGAGCTTATGGATATGAAAAGGCTTTCCCAAAGAAGCCATGGAGTAGAATCCAGGTCTCCCAGTTCGTGATCAGTCTTCCATCTCCCTGGTGGGCCAGAGATATTTCAAGTTGGCAGAGTCAAGCATGAGCAAGGAGATGGTGTGGGGCAGAGTGTGAACCATATATTCCTAGACCCCAGGTATGGCTGTCATTTACTAGCTCTGTTACCTTAGAAATGACTTAATCCTGTCCACCTTAATTCCTTTGTCTGTAAATGGGGCTGTTTTATGTTAAAATGCAGATATGTAATATGTGCATAGTTGCTCTTGAAACCACACAGTGCTGTGCAGGGCAAAGCTACTCCTATTATTATTGTCACTATTATTGTGTACTTGATATTAATTTATAGCTACTGGACCAGTAGACATTGTTGCTTATGCTCTTGGAATAGGACAAAGCTCTCAGCAGATACTGGTCCCTTCATCCTCACACATCCTCCTAGGAGTAATGGTGGCAAGAGATTATCAATCTCACTTTACAGGTGGAGAAACCAGAGCAGCGCCCTTGCCCTTGGCCGTGCTGACTCATCAGCCTTGTTAATGCTTGGTTCACTGCCTACTGCTTTAAATCACATCACAGGGGAGAGCGAGAGAGAGCATCTCCCCAACAGATCAGACCTTTCATTTATCTCGTTTTTTACAACCGCCATGGCCTCATGGGTTCATGGAGATTCTACAGGCATGACGCTTCATTCAGTAGGGAGGGAGAAATTTGTATTTCTATATTATATACCAAATCAAAACTGATTTTTGGAGGAATCATACCACAGTAAAGACACAAGATCCTCTTTAAATAAGAATTCAGTGGACTACGGAATGAATAATGGCAACTATATATTTTCCTCTAAATAGAGAAGGTGATTGGTTCAGAGGGTGAGTGAGCCTTATTGGCAGCAAGCTCGCCTTAGCCCAGGTGCAAATTCAGACCAAACGTTGCACTTATGCAAGTGGACATAACTCTCCACTTTAAATAAAACACAAGATGCTTATCGTTACTGCTCCTTTCTCAGATCCCGGTGCATTTGCCTCAATTCTCTCCCGGAGTATCACGTGAGATTGGCGGGGCAGTGAGCATCATGCTCATTTGTTGAATGAGTGGGGAGGAGGGCGGCCAGGGGCTTTCTGCAAGGACATTAGCCTGGTTAGTGCCGCAGCGAGGCACTCTGAGCTCCCACTCCTTAATACTTCAGTTTCCCACAGTCTCTGCTCCTTGAGCCTTGATCAGCTCTCAGCTGAGGCCCCCAGAAAGGCCCCTGAGTATGTGTGATGTCTGTGTCCCTTGACATGCACGCTGTGAGGTGTTGCTCTTGCCTGCCCAGTGTCACTGTGAGCCCATGTCCATGAGATTCCCCACTCAAAGCGCTCAGCAGAAAACCAGAGAGATGGAGGTGGCCTCTCATCTTTACAAACTGCATTTTGAACCCTTGATAATCAAGATTTGAATGAGTTGGAGGGGCTTTGGCTAGTCCCTGATGGGAGGCCTTCCACATCATAAATCCTCAGCAGGTCGTTCATCAGAGCTGGGGCTCCTGTCCACAAGGAATGCCCATAGGAGCCATCCAAGGAGCTGCATAATCGCGGGCTCATTAGTGCAGGTGGTCTCCCCCATCAGAAGGGAGGTGCCCATTAGCCTGTGAGAGGGCCGCTAGTGTTGAACCATTTCATAGCACAGCTGCTCAGGAATGAACTCGTGGCTTAATTTCAGAGTTTTCCTCATCTCTTCCATTTACACAGACCCCTGCTGCCCAGCTGGGAGTGTGTCACCCGCAAGACAATACAAAACTCAACGTTCTCTGCGTTCTGGCTCTAAGTCATATTTTTATAAGATATATGCTGTGTGCCCTATCTTCGTTTCTGTTTATTTCCTTATTTCCAAGGAATAATCAGTTTGAGATTCGTCAACACAATAAAACTCAAAGAGACGGCCAGAGAGAGATTCAATGCAGGAGAAATATAGAAAAGACCGATTATCATGAAAACTCTCAATTTGCATCTTGCTCTCCTTGTAAGTCATAATACCAGGAAGCCAATGCAATCCCCTGAAGGAAGCTTTTCATATCTAATGACAAGGCTATATGCCTCCAGGGTGGTTAGATTATATATATTTCATCAGTCATCTGAAACGGTCCCTCTCCTTTCTGTGCTTGGCACTCATGAGGAGATGGGACCCGTTTCCCAGGGAGGAGACCTAGTCTCACAATCTGCCCAGCAGAAAGCTACATAATATGCTTCCTGATTTCTTCTGGCAAGAGGCTCACCTAGCCATGTCTCCAGGCTGCTAGCTGGGGATGGGGAGCGCCCTGCTGGGTGTACACAGAGGCTCCTGCAGCCGGGACTGCTCCTCCCAGGGATGCAAGCCCTGTGCACTTAGGCACGTGTGGGCCAAGCCTTCCTGAGTGTGCTCTTTAATCATCTCGGTATTAAAAATGCATTCTGAAGAGCATTTCCAAAGGGAGTGTGCTGGATACACGGCTCTCCCTGCTTTGAAGAGCATGCTATCATTACTGCACCCAGTCTCCCCTAACAGCCGAGCAGACAGGAGGGGGGATAGCCGCGGTTCTAGACTTGGGCAGACTACCAACAGCTGCAAAGTTAATTATGGCTCTCTCCCTCGTTCTCCTTCTCTTCAAAATCTCAGCTTTAGAAATAAAAGATAAGAAATTCTTTAGAGTAATTAGAGACTGCTGAGCGCTTGTGGTAATAATGAAGGAAAACATTCTGACTGATTTACAGCAGGAAGAGGCAGTGAGAGTAGCGATGCAGGTTGAAAAAAAAATAATTAAAATCAGCTTTGCCACTATCTTGATGGAGCTGTCAGTCAGCCTCAGAGAGAAAAGAATTGCTAATGAAATATTAATATGCTGCTTTAGATTTTATATAACTGCCTTTTGTTCCCAGGTACTGTTCCAGTTTGTCAGTCAAAGGGGTCAGGTGTGAAAGGACACAGAACCAATGTGGTCGAGGGGGAAATGAGAGCTCTGTGGCCCCAAAGATGCTGGGCTGCAGAAAGGACTCACTGGAGCATTGCAGCAGACAGTCCCACGGGCCTCCCCTGACAGCCACAGCCTCAGCTGCCCCAGCTGGAGAAATCCTAGTGGGGCAAAGCTTTTTTTCTTTTCTTTCTTTTTTTTCCTCCCCCAGGCTGACAGACACTAAATGTCAGCAATCATCAAGATACAATCAGAGCTGGTTTTATAATATCTATAAGTGGTTTTGAAGTCTGCAGATGCCAGACGGTTTGAAAATCTCAGAGAAATTGCATCTCATAGGTAGTCTACAGACGAGACATAGGCCCCACGTATTTTTTGTTTTATCAAACCAATCACTCAGAGCCACAATGCGAAATGGATGACACGGTTTGGAAGCTGTGTGTGTGTGCTAGCGCGTGCACATGTGTGTGCCCATGTGTGTGCATGCACATATGAGAATTTGCTTTGTGTACAGGCACACCTGTATGCATGTGGCTGTGTGAGTTGCATGTCTTTGTGAGCATTTTGCATATGCATGTCTGAAACCACCCAAATGCTAAAAGTTTCTTAGGTAGCCCACAATACACCCTATATGGACTGGTTTGGGGACACACTTTGTTTCTTAGAACTCCTGACTTGCACATTCTGGCAATCCAAGTAAACACAGAAGAGATAAAGCAAAGGCACAAGGAAACTGGTCAGGAGGCACCACAAGGAGCCACAAACAGAGGATGCAACCAAGGCCCGGGTGACAACACTGTATGAATGTCTTTTTGCTTAGACTCCGTGAAAGTCTAGAGTCTGAGGAGGAGTGGCCAGGGAACAAAGACCCAGGTGATGAAATCCAGGGTCAGGAACCAGGCAGGTGAGATGGGTCAAGGTGGCAGAGGAGAGACATCTGAAGAAAGAGCCCAGTGATCTGGGTTAAGTCCTGACACTGACAAGAGCTCACTGAGTGACTCTGGGCTGGTAATACAAACCCTTTGGCCTTATTTCCTGTAACTGAGATGTGAGAAGGAGCAGGGGTCCCCAAGGTCCCCTTTGGGTCTATGATCCGGTTAGAAGGCATTTAAAAAGGGACACTGAATAAGAGCCATGGCCATTCTTGCCTAGGACATGGTTTCTGGCTTTCATAAGATAACTCACCTGTTTCCATGATTCAAACTTTAAAAATTATAGCTGAGGTGAGAACATTTTTTAACTTAGAAACATGAAAAAAGTGAAATAGTGTGGTATAATAGCTACTTCATTTATCAGGAATTTACTGTGTATGAGGAACTTGCACCATTTTGAAGTATCTTAAATGTTCAATAAAATAAATGTGAGCATCCCCTAGTGACGTATGAAAAAAGGGAGACCTGTATTTCCACGCTAGTTAAGGGCAGAGAGTTAGCCCTCACCCAGGTCTGTGTCTCTGAATTCTATGCTGTCTCTGTTCCAAGTTAAGACCGATAGCGATAGGTCAGTTCATGTGGTAAGTGGCCAAAAGCGATAATACATGCTTGTTTAAATTAATCATTATTATTTAATCCTGAGAACAATCTTATGAAGGTCAGGGAGGTTTGGAAGGTCCCCAGGTAGCCCACATCTGTGCCCCTCTCACCTCATTCCTCAGTTCCCCTAAGGTAGGACCTTCCCTTCTCCGGTTCCATTTAGATAAGAACAGAAACCAGGAGACCTCATGCTGAATGGACAGATTTCAGCTTCAATTTTAGAGCTGAGAGGCCACATGACTTTGAAGAAATCGTATGTTCTCCCTGCCCCTTGGTTTCTGTCTTTAAAACAGGATACTATTGCATAACTTGGCAGAAATATTCTGAGGTTTAAGTAAAAAAATAGGCACATAGCATAGTTCATCGCTAATCATGGTAAAATAACAATAAGTCACATTTATTGATTGAACAGGTGAAATGCACCAGCCATTGTGTTATGCATTTGGGAATGATGAGGAATAAAACACAATTATTTTTCTCTCAAAAGCAATTCTCAGGATTTACAACGTTTGTGAGTGGCGTAAGCACTCAGCTCCAACTGTGCCCTTTTGCTCTGTTGCCCAAGCTGGTCTTGAACTCCTGGTCTTAAACAATCCTCCTTCCTTGTCCTCCCAAAGCATGGGATCACAGGCAGGCAGCATCACGAAGGGCCTCCAGCCATTCTTGATTATTCAACTCAAGTAGTTAGAGAAAAAGAAAAAATGTACATTCCAAACTGTACATTTATTCATTCTTTTTCTACATACTCTTTTGTCAATCTGTACATGAAATGCCAGTAAAGCTCAATTTGTTTTCTAATTTGCTAAATGAAAATAAACATGCATAGATATTCTTTTCTTCTCGCTTGAAGACCTTGCACATTCTATTTTGAAATTTACTCCCTTTGCTAGTAAAAGGAGCAAATCTACCTGACTGTACAGCACGTGTTTCTCAACAAGGCTTTTGTTGTTTTCTACTCATTGTCTTCTTTTAATATGGTATAAGAGGTGGTTTCTTTGTGTTAAGTGGCTATTAAAAAAAATAACTATATGGCCGGCCATGGTGGCTCATGCCTGTAATCCAGCACTTTGGGAGGCCGAGGCGGGTGGATTATGAGGTCAGGAATTCAAGACCAGCCTGGCCAACATGGTGAAACCCCATCTCTACTAAAAATACAAAAATGTCCGGGCAAGGTGGCTCACGCCTGTAATCCCAGCACTTTGGGAGACCAAGGTGGGCAGATCACTTGAGGTCAGAAGTTCAAGACCAGCCCGGCCAATATGGTGACACCCCATCTCTACTAAAAATACAAAAACATTAGCCGGGCATTGTGGCAAGTGCCTGTAATCCCAGCTACTCAGGAGGCTGAGGCAGGAGAATGGCTTGAACCTGGGAGGCGGAGGTTGCAGTGAGCCGAGATCCGGCCACTGCACTTCAGCCTAGGCGACAGAGAAAGATTCCATCTCAAAATAAATAAATAAATAAATAAATAAATAAATAAATAATAAAAATACAAAAATTAGCCAGGCGCTGTGGTGGGTGCCTGTAATCCCAGCTACTCGGGAGGCTGAGGCAGAAGAATTGTTTGAACCTTGGAGGCGGAGGTTGAAGTGAGCCAAAATTGGCCACTGCACTCTAGCCTGGACGACAGAGCAAGACTCTATCTCAAATAAAAAAAAAACAAAACAACAAAAAACAAAAAAACACCAAAAAACTATGCATCAACTATGCTACTGGGGAGAAAAAGAAAATGAGGGAAAAGGGAAAGAAGAGATTTTAAAAAGTAGTAACTCGCAACTCCACCTCAAAAATGAACTATTTAAGTTGATCCCATGTCTTTGCTATTGTGAACAGTGTTGCAATAAACATATGCATGCAGGTGTCTTTGTGTTCGAACGATTTATATTCCTTTGGATATATACCCAGTAATGGGTTTGCCAGGTCGAACGGTAATTCTGTTATTAGCTCTTTGAGGGATCGCCACACTGCTATCCACCATGGGTGAACTCATTTATACTCCCACCAATGGTCTATAAGTGTTTCTTTTTTTCCACAACCTCTTCAGCATCTGTTATTTTTTTGACTTTTTAATAGTAGCCATTCTGACTGGTGTGAGACGGTATCTCATTGTGGCTTGGATTTGCATTTCTCCAATAATCAGGGATGTAGAGCTTTTTTCCATTGCTTGCTGGCCCCATGTATGTCTTCTCTTGAAAAGTGTCTGTTTATGTCCTTTGCCCACTTTGTAATGGGGTTGAGTTTTTTGGTAATTTTGTTTAAACTCCTTACCTAAATGCTTATCAATTTTAGACTGGATAAGAAAACGTGCTACATATGCATCATGGAATATTATGCAGCCATAAAAAAAGAACAAGATCATGTTCTTTGCAGGAATATGGATTGAACTGGAGGCCATTATCTTTAGCAAACTAATACAGGAACAGAAAACCAAATATTGTATATTCTTACTTATAATCAGGGGCTAAATGATGAGAACACATAGACACAGAGAGAAACAACAGACACTGGGGCCAACCTGAGGGTGAGAGGGGAGAGAGGATCAGAAAAATAACTAATGGGTACTAGGCTTAATACTTAGGTGACAAAATAATTTGTACAACAAACTCCTGTGACACAAGCTTACCTATGTAGCAAACCTGCACATGTTCCCCTGAACTTAAAAGTTGAAAAAAATAATTATTGCTAATCTAACACTCATTGAGTATTTTAAGCCAATCATAGAATGAATGCTTAGGGCAAATACTTATTACATGTTCACACCATTCTGGGAACTGTGCTAAGTTCTTTCCATATGGTTATTCATTTGATCCTCACAACTATATGATATTGAAACAATTACCCTGTGAGGTGGGTATAATAAGACTCATTTTACAGATGAGAACACTGAGACAGAGAAACATTAAGTACATGCCTGCTAAGCAAGTAAGTAGAAGGAATAGTTCTGGATAAATAGTATTGCACGTGGCAAAGAAATGGATCAATGGCAGATGGACTCCCCCTAAATACTTCAAAAAGCCAAAGATGAACACTTTGTAAATAAATCCTGTAAGTACTCCAGGTTGTAACTGGCCTCAGAACTGGTGTGCCTGGATTTTGATGATGAGCCAGAGAAGGAAGCAGCCTTGGCTGCCTGTAGGGTGAAGCTAGCAGGTTACCCGACTTCTCGGGGTTTGAGTCTTGTGTATGTGGAAACAGAGATAATAGCTCTTCTTATTTTATGCAGCACAAACACTTGACTTTTAAAATCTAATGACTTAAGGATAAAGTCCTCTTCACATCCAAAAGAGAGCCCTTTAAAATCCTGAGTGTCCACATTATTAATAATTATTTATTGAGTACCATAGTATGGCTAGCAATGAGGGCAGGGACAGAATTCAGGAAAAATATACAATCACATGGGTACCTGCTTAAACTCATTATCTCATTGAGGGGAAAAGATTTAAAGGTCTGTAATAAGTAGAGAGTGAGTGCCTCACCAACCTCCGAAATCAGTGTCCTGGGCAGGAATCCCTGCGGGAGCCCATCGTGTAGCTCTCTCCTTTACCAGCCAAGCACAGGTGGCTCTGAACCTCATCTCTGCCCCTTACTCTGTGTTATGCTCGGGGACTTAGGTCACCCCTTGGAGTCTCTGTTTTCTCATCTCTAAAATAAGATTATAATGATGCTTCCATTGAAGTAAAGTTATAAAGACTCAAGAAGAAATATCAAAGCACAGTTCGTGGCCCACAGGAAGGAGGCCATAAGGTTTGCTTTCCTCCTTTTTTCTAGGCTGAGCAAAAACTACCAGTGAAGTCAGAAACCAGGGTTCACAGAGGCTGAAGTCCTAACAGCAGTTGGCTCTGCAGAATTCATGGGACTCCTTAATGGAAGGGAGGTGGGAATGAGGCACAAGGGTGGAGCCGTGTTTCAGGGGGCTGAGAGAATACTGAGCCAGACAGGAAGTGAAGCAGATGCTACTGTGCCCTCCAGCACATTATGGCTTATTACAATGGGGTGTTCCTAGCACCATTGCCCTAAAGTGCTCACCAGGTCTCGAAAAGGCTGTTCAGGAGGAGCCAACTTGATGACAGCAAAACCCATGGGAGGCTCAGAGGAAGCCCTCAAGGAGACTAATCAATGTCACAATATTAGAATTAAATGCAAAGGAGCTCAAAGGTCATGGAGTCCAAGCCCCTAGGTGATGAATCTGTAGCTGGTATTTGGAATCCATAGCTGTGTGCCTTCCCTGAGAGCCCAGCAGTCATCCACCCTCACCCCTCAAAGTACACAGGAGCTCTGTATTGGGGCTGTAGTCTCCCTACCACTCCCTCATTATGGGCTAAAGTCGGTGCCCTCAAAATTCATATATTGAAACCCTAACCCCCAGGGACTTCAGAATATTGGCAGCCTTTGGAGATGGGGCTTTTAAATAGGTGATAAAGTTAAAATCAGGCCATCAGGGTGGGTTCTAATCCAATGGGACTAGAAGAAATTTGGACACAGACACACACAGAGGGAAGACCATGGGGGTATCATGAGAGGCTGGTGATCAGCAACCCGGGAAAGAGAGCTTGGGGGAAATCAGCCCGGCTGACACCTTGATCTTAACCTTCCAGCTTCCAGAGCTGTGAGAGAATAAACATTTGCTGTGTAAGCCCCCGTCTCTGGTGTTTTGTTGTGGCACCCTAGCCAACCAGTACTTATACACTGTCTGCCTTTCTGTCTTTCTGTGTCTGCCTCTGTCTCTTCATGGCCCCCACCATGGCTCCTTGCCTGTGTCCCTGCAGTAGCTCCCTCTTGCCTTGGAGACACACATTCTCTCTCCAGTCCCCCAACCACTGCAGTCTGTCCTCCACCCTCCGCAGGGTGATGGGTGATTCTAGCTGGAGCCATGGCTTTGTTTGTCTAAACTCCAAGGTCACTTTTACCCCTCAGCATACTTGATGCCCGGTGTTACTGCAGCACAGAGTCCCTCTCCTGGTTAAGTGTGTGGTCAGAATCAAGCATTTAGGGCCTTGGATGAACTCGTGATAAAGACGGCCACCCTGTCCTGTGGCGTCCCTAGCACTGCTGGGGCTCTTGAGTCTTCTGTGACCCAAGGTTGTCTGAGTCAATGTGGGGAAACCTCTCAAATAAAGAGGACAGGTAACAGAGATTTTTTTTTTCGAAAGAATTTAAAGTTGGATGGGAGCTGATCTGAGGTCTAGTTCATTTCTCTCTTAGTGTAGTATGTCAGAGAGTCATCTAGCTGGGGTTAGCCTTGATTTCTTATCTGGTTTCCATAGTGTGAGAATAATAGTAACTTATTCTCTGCAGTGATGAAGGCTAAATGAGACAATATACGTCATGCATCTTGCACTTCCTGCCACACAGAGCTTCCATGGATACTGAAAGATCAGCTGACACGTGCCTTCAAGGCTAAAATGAATGTGGATATCAATAGTGATGAGAAGAAATGGTCTAAAATAAAGAAACAGCATGTGCAAAAGTGAAGATTATGATGCTATGTCAGTTACCTTCAGGTAACTTCCAAGTTACCTTCCAAGGGACCCAAAATGCCCTTATTTTAGTGGAGTACTCGGGATGACTCTGCTGTATGACTCTTAATGCATAAGAGTCATACAGTGGGTTATGAAAGGAAGGTTACCTTGCTATATTTCCTTTATATCAAATTAAACCTGACTATGAGCCCATACCCTACTTGGCAGCTGGAATAGTCAAGCTGCATTATTTGGGGGCTCCCTGTCTCCCATAAGGCCTCATCAGATCACAGACAGCTTACATGGCCCCCAAAATGTCAGGAAGCCTCCTCTCTCACTCATTGAGGTCACTGCTCACATCCTCATCATCTCAGCTTCATTGGTCCTTGAAAGCAGGTGGTTCACCTGATCTGGCAGATCCAGGCCAGACATTTGCTCAGTCTGGGAGCCCCTCTTTTGGAATAAGCTGGCATACAACCTCTCCAAGAGCACCACCTGGAGACCCCACAGAGGTCCTTCATCTCCCCACAGAGCTGTCGGGTAGTGAGGTTGGGGCCTCTTCCTTGGGCCGCTGACCTCTCCCCTGTCTTAGGATATGGCCTTTCAGGGCCTGTTTCTGCTATTTTCCTCTCTGACACTTCCTCTGCTTTTCTGCCCCAGGACCCAATTGTAGCCACTTCAGCTGGCCCAGGCTTTCCCGAAATGTGAAGACAGCAAACTCCCACTCTTCCTCCTGCAGACTGGTGGCAAAAACACAAAGTCCACTTGAGACCATGAAGTCCAAGGATCTTTTCTTATTCCTGGAATATACTAGGAAAAATACAGGTAGAAACATCACAAAGAAATGTCACAATAAATTAAATTGCTTCAAGTACTGTGTTTTGAGAAACATTATTTATTTCTTCAGTATAAGACTAATGATACGAGACAAGCTTATGACAAAATGTTAGTAACAGGTCTTCTTTTTTTTTTCCCCAAAGAGTAAAACCAATGTTTTTTTTCCTGCTTTATACAATTCCCCTTTAAAATAAGAGAACCTCCAGGCTTCAAATCAGGATGCTGTGATAATAATCCTGCAGACTGTTAACTATAAATAAAGTTACTATACTGTATAGATTAGAGGTCATAAATAGGAAAGCTGGAAAAATTTTGGAGCTAATAAATGTATGGTGATTGCACAGATAAAGAAACTGAGGCTTGAAAAAGGAATGTGAGATATCAAAGTTTCCAGAGCTAAGTTCAGAAAACTTCAGTAGTTCTCAAGATGCAAGTTGCTCAATGAAATGTATTAGGTGAATTAGTAAGCGTGCCTGTATCAATTTGGATCATCTGTTAATGCCTGCATGTATCTGCTTTGTTCCAGGCACCGTGCAGCGGGTGCTGTGTTCTAGCTGCTCTGTTAACTGCCAGTTACCTCATTTGATCCTGATGACAACCCTTGGGTAGGTATTGTGGTTACCTCCATTCTATCTCTGGAAGAACTAAGAATGGAGGTTAAGTAACTTTCCTGAGGCTCCTTAGCTAAGTCTCTAGGACTGGAATGGAGCCAGGCAGCCTGACTCAAGAGCCCCACTGAGTGCTCCTCCACAGAGGACACAGCTTCTGCACCCCTGCAGGGAGAGGCCCCAACCACAGGATTGATATGGGGAAAAGTGGCCTTATTTGGCTTTTAATGAATTACTCTACCTCCCTTGATTTCAAAATAAAGGAGAAGGCTTAGATCTTGAGAATCCATTTGGATTCAGTGTAAGAATAACCATAGTTTGTATCCTGGCTGGGCTGCTTACCAGGTTCAAGATAAAAAGAAACAACAATGAATCCAACAAATCAACAAAGCACAAAGTCCAACAACAAAAAAACAAACAAAGAAAAGAAAAAGAAGGGCAAACTGGTCTGAGTTTGAGTTCTTGCTCTTCTCTGAGGGAGTTTGGGCCACCTTTTAGCTGCAGTGTGTCTTGGTTTCCTTACGGGTAAAATGGGTATGTTCATAACTTCTGTGGCCATTGCACAGTCCAAGAGGGCTGCACTTCCCTTCCCACATGTGCTTCTTCTGCTGTGGAGCTTACATTGCTCCCTGGAGCAGATACCTAAAGATGTGGGAGTGAGTGAGCCTCCCAGTGGTTCTATGCCCAGCCTTTAAGCTGGCCCAGCTGACACCAAATGGAACAGGGCTGACTTGCCATTTCTCAGCCCAAAGCACATCATAAATGTGTGAGCAAAATATCAGGTGCAGTGGCTCACACATGTAATCCCAGTGCTTTGGGAGGCTACAATGGGAAGATTGCTTGAGCCCAGGGGTTTAAGGCCAGTCTGGACAACATCATGAGCCCCCATCTATATTAGTCTGTTTCACACTGCTGATAAAGACATACCTGAGAATGGACAATTTACAAAAGAAAGAGGTTTAATTGGATTTACAGTTCCACGTGGCTGGGGAAGCCTCATAATCATGGTGAACAGCAAGGAGGAGCAAGTCACATCTTACATGGATGGTGGCAGGCAAAGACAGAGTAAGAGCCAAGCAAAAGGGGTTTCTCCTCATAAAACCATCAGACCTCGTGAGACCTATTCACTATCATGAGAACAGTATGGGGGAAACTGCCACCATGATTCAACTATCTCCCACCAGGTCCCTCCCACAACAATGGGAATTATGGGAGATACAACTCAAGATGAGATCTGGGTGGGGACACAGCCAAACCACATCACCATCTCTATAAAAAAATACAAAAAAGTTAGCTGGGCATGGTGGCACTTGCCTGTGGTCCCAGGCACTCTGAAGGCTGAGATGGGAGGATTGCTTAAGCCCAGTTGGTCAGGACTGCCACTGCACACCAGCCTGATTGACAAGAGTGAGACCCTGTCTCAGAAATAAATAAATAAAGCCATTATTTAAGCCACTAAGTTTTATGAGAATTTGTTGCACTTACCTACTTCTCAGAATTGAGAATATTGAATGAGACAAAGTGAAAGATATTTGTAAGTGATGGGGTGCTACACTGAATAGATTATCAGTCTCCAGTACCTTGAGGGTGAGGTAAAGTGAACCATACAAGCCCTGCGTGTAGGAGCTGTGACTGTGACCCATGTTAGTAATGCTCTGTCTGGAGGAGGGAGAGATCACTAGGAGCAGCGGTGACCTAGCGAGTCCCAGGCAGCATTAAAGCTTAAAACACAAACACAGTGTACAGCTGCACAAAAATATTTTTCTCTTTATATTCTTACTCCGTAAGCTTTTTTCTATTTTTAAAATTATTTATTTATTTTTAAACTTTTTGTATTAAAAATGAAGGGACAAACACACACATTAACTTAGGTCTACTCAGGGTCAGAGTTATCAATATCATTCTCTTCCACCTCCACATCTTGTCCCACCAGAAGGTCTTCAGGGGCAATAACGTGCATGGATCTGTCATCTCCGCTGATAGCAATGCCTTCTTCTAGACTACCTCCTGAAGGATCTGCCTGAGACTGTTTTATTGTTACTTTAAAAACTATATATATATATATATATATATATATATATATATATATATATATATGCACACACATAAAGAGTATATATATATATGAAGAGTGCATATATATATATATTCTTCGTATATATACACTCTTCGTATATATACACACTATATATGTGTGTGTGTGTATATATATATATACATATATATGTAGAAAGAGTACACTCTAAAATCACAATAAAAATGTATAGGATAACAAGCACATAAGCCAGTAACATAGTCATTTATTGTGACTATCAGGTACTGTAGCATGTTTTCATCTGCTTTGGAAAACTACTCTCCTATCTTACAGAATACAGTCTCCCCAAATCAGATATTTGTTGAATGCTCATTTCTTCTGGTGCATTTCTAAGAAGATTTGAAGTTCCTTCGGGAGTGGTTGCTTTTCCTTTTCTAACTGATTTTCCTCCAACTGCAATGATGCTTTCTCAGTTTAGAGGATTTTTATGTGATCTTTAAGTGCATCGGCTATTTCATCTTCCTGAGTTAACTTAGCATACGTTTGGTTTCCTCTTCAAAAGTTTTAAAGTAAATATTTAATTCAGCCACATCAATCATTTTCTTTGAAATTCCTTTGAGTCATCTTCTAGGAGGTCTTCATTTTCGTGGCATTCACAATATGTATTTTCAAGTTCCTGCTATCCACATTGTTTTTTCCAATAACACTAGCGAAAATTCTTATTTGTTGCAACTGTCCATCCAGAGGCTTAACCTACCTCTCTTTATAGTTTTAGAACATTTTTATTGTAATAACTTTACTCACTCTCCGTTTCTATCCTTCTACTTCCACTTTAGGCTTCTTGGAATATTAGATTTTCCCTTCGAAGCATCTTTCAGTGCTGTCTGAAGTTGTTCTTCATTCATCAGATGGGTTTTGAAGGATGTTTTTATTGCAGTTTCTTCAAATTGGATGTATCCTGATGCATCTTGTACAGACTGAAACTTCCTTGCAATGTCAACCATCGGTCAACTTGCTCTCAATATTGTGTTTTATCTACCTTCTTTTACTTCTTTTCAAAGGTGTCTACGTAAACATCAAGTGAAAAGTTGGAGATTTCTAGTTCTTTATTGGTGTTTCATGTGTTTTTAATCATTTGTTTTCTGATCTGGTTTGCACTGAAGTGGACTAAGACCTCTAAGTATGAATTTTTTAAATTAGTGCACTTTATTTCGTGGAGGAGTTTTGAAGCAAAATTGAACAGAAAGTACAGAGAGTTCTCATATACTCCTTCTCCCCTCATTCACAGTTTTCCCCTATTATTAACACTTTGCATTGGTGCAATACGTTAGTTATAGCCAATATTCGTACATTATTACTAAAGTTCATAGTTCATTGGGTTTGCATCTTGGTGTGAATTCCATAGGTTTTGTCAAATGCACTCATGTGTCTTCCATGATGGTATCATGGAGTTGTGTCATTGCCCTACACATCTTTTGTGATCCTCTTTTTATTCCTCCCTTCCCCAAAACCCCTTGTAACCACTGATTATTTTACTGCCTCCATAGTTTTGCCTTTTCCAGGATGTCATATAGTTGAAATCACCCAGTATGTAGCCTTTCTCAGTTTATCTTTGCCCACTTAACAAAATGCACTTAAAGTTCCTCCATGTCTTTCTGCAACTTGGAAGCTCGTTTCTTCTTCATGAGGAATCATATTCCATTGATTGGATGCAGCACAGTTCATTTATCCACTCACCTGCTGAAGGACATCTTGATTGCTTCCAAGTATTGGCAATTATGACTAAAGCTGCTATAAACATCCGTATGCAGGTTTTTTGCATGAACATACATTCTCAGATCACTTTGGGCACCAAATATGTTTTTAATCTACATTGCAGTTCTCAAAAATGTGTTGTCTTTCTTCCAGGGGGAGGGAAAATAGTGGCTAGCTTGCCTCTACTTGAATAGTTTATTAATAATTAAAAATATGACCATAATGATAAACACCACCATCCCCAGAACAATCTGTATGACATGGGCCTTGATGAGAGTCCCCTGGCAGCACTGCCCTGACCCAGCCCAGCAGCCCCTGGAAAGCTGCAACATACACCCTCAGGACACCAGCAGACCCTCCACGGCCTCCAGGCAATTGCTGAGGTTGCCAGGATCCTGTCGCCCACAGAAGACTTAGAGTTAAGACTCTAAGGAACACAGGATTGTTCCACTCAGAACCAAACCTGTGCCTGGCAGCCTGTGCAGCAGACCTCAGTGGGGGCAGCCGGAGGGCAGGTGCAGTCAGCCTTGCCTGATACACTTTCTTTTTGTTAGTAAACTTCCTTCTCATTTGGGTCCTGCCAGCCCTCATTTTGCCCACAAAGGCCACAGAACACTTCTGATTCTCAGCCTTCTCTGTCATTTGGATCGGTGACCTTGAATTGTGTTAGGGGAGCAATGCAAAAGGATTATGGAAGCCTCTACAAAGGGCTCCAACTTAATTCACTAGGTTCACCATTACACAGTAAGGAAGGACAACTGGGAAGAGCTTCCAATGGCACAAGCTGGAACAATTTTGGCAAGAAAACCAAGGTATTGGATTATAAATGCATGTATAAAATATGTAATAGGTTCATACTGATATAAATAAATGATTGAATAAATGGAGGAAGAACACACAAATCTTCCTCACTGAATAATTGAAGATACCACATGAAAGTCAAGGCCAGCTCCATGGGCAGTCACCCAGAGTCTGCAAGCTCAGAAGGGCCCTGAACTTGATTGAAGGCTCTGCTATGGCCATCCTAAAATTGTTAATCATGTTGAGCAAAGGGCAGCTCCCCATTTTCATCTGTGCTGGGTCTGACAAGTTATGGAGTCTTCCTGGGAAGTCTATACAAATGTGAATTTCTGGGCCCATCCCCAGGACCCTGTTTCTCTAGGCCTATGGTGGGGACTGAATACTTGAGTCTCTTACAAGCTCCCAGGCAGTGTTGGTGCTGTGAGCCCAGGAGGCACAACTCTGCCCTTCCCAAGAAGGGAAAATGCTCCAGAAGGAATGTCTGAGATCTAGAAAGAGATGGGAAGCAACGCAAATTGGGGCAGGGTGTTGTATAATACAAGATAAAACAAAATTTATATGACAATAATAATACGTGTTTTTTGTTTATAAAAGGATAAAAATTCATAACCGTAATAAATGTTAGCCAAGAAGAAATAAATAAAAAGAATAAAAAGCCGACTGCTCTAAGTTTGTTTTTAGTATATTAAGTAAATTTACATAATGTTAAGTGACACGTAAAAAGTAGATTTTCAAGAGTAACCACTAGAAATATAGAGTGCAGGAATATCAAACTATTATGAGAGAAAATGGAATAATGAAGATAACAGAAAAAAAAAGGAACAACAAAATGTCTTTTTAGAAAGCAAGATAAAATAATGAAAAAACTGGGAGCAATAGAAAGCAGAAGTGAAGAGTATAGAAACAAATTTAAATATGCCAATATTGATAGTCTTTCCAATAAATGTAAATCGACTAAACTTGCTAGTTAAAATATATTTTTGTATTTCAAATTATAGAAGGAAGCCTGTTATAGGCTCTTTATAAGAAAAACAATGTAGAATGTTTGGAAGAAAAAGAATGAAAAGGTTACATCAGACAAAAAGTTGTATCAGACAAAGTTTATATCAGACAAAAGCAAAGCTTGAGTAACTTTACTAAAATCAGACTAAATTGGCCTTAGGACAAAACTCATATTAAGTGTGTAACAAGGGACTATATAATAATAGAATTTGAGGCTAGGCATGGTGGCTCACGCCTATAATCCCAGAACTTCGGGAGGCCAAGGCAGGCAGATCACTTGAGGTCAGGAATTGAAGACCAGCGTGTCCAACATGGGGAAAACCTGTCTCTACTAAAAATACAAAAGTTAGCCAGGTGTGGTGGTACACACTTGTAGTCCCAGCTAATCAGGAGGCTGAGGTGGGAAGATCGCTTGAGTCCAAAAGGTGGAGGTTGCAGTGAGCTGTGATCACACAACCGTACTCCAGACTGGGCGACAGAGTGAGACCCTGTCTCCAAACAAACAAACAAACAAACAAAAAACCTAAATTATAGAATTTGGAAGGTGTAATAATTCTAAACTTCAATATACTTCAAAACAGTCTCAAATATTAAAAAAATTAAAATTGATAGAATTACAAAAATATTAGAATCATATTTAGAGATTTGCATGATTTGTTTATACATCAAATAGAAAAAATACTAGTAATATTGTATATGATAGGAAACAATGAAGTTATCAAATGTAATTGAATGGGCATCTCAGAATAGTGCATATGGAACAAATACTCTTTTGGAGTCCACACATGCAGGCACAAAAATATTTTAAAACTCTAAGAATGAAGATGCAAAAGCAGGACATGGGTTCCCCTTGGAGTAAGGTAGGACAAGTGAAGTGGAGGTGTGTGCACAAAAGGATACATGGATGAGCATTTTCCTAGTTTTTAGGTTGTGGGCTGTATTTTGGAATGCTCATTTTGTTGTAATATTTCCTAATTTAAAGTGCTACACACCTCATTTTGGATGTGTTACATATTTAAAAAAGAAGAAAAATATGGTTACTTCATAAAGCTATTGCTAAGAAATAATGCTTGGCAAAGATGCAGCTACTATCTGGCACGTAATAAGTATTTCAAAAATGTCAGCTCCATATATTTACCTACCAGAGTCCAAAGATTACCAGTAAAATGTTGTCCCTGCTTTCACAAACTCGCAGACAGTTAAGGAAAGTGAATCAGAAAGCAATTCTGTAATAAGTCTCTCAATCTGATTTCTCAGGACCCTGGATTCTTTTCACAATCAAAGAGAGCCTTTGCAAGAATTTTAAAAAGAGAATGATAGGCTTAAGCTTGATTTTTGGAAACATAACTGTCAACAAAATAGAGAATAGATTTGGAAGGGTTGAATACAGAGGGTAAGGAATAAGCAGTGGGACTAATTACATGGATCCCAAGAGAGATGGGGCTGGAAGTGTGGGAGGAACATGCGAAGGCCAGCAGGAGAAAATGTGTAAGATGTTCAGGAATGGAGTCTGACAGGTGTGGTGTCTCCAGGAAAAGGCCTACATGTCTCAGAAGATTGGTCTGTAGAGGCTGAGCCAGGCTGGGGATGGAGGTGGGGCTGTGTGGGAAGCCCTGCCTAGCAGGGGGTAGAGCCAAAGAGTCCTGGGCCTGCAGGGGAAGGAGAAGCCACCCAGGGAAGGCACAGGAGACATTTCTTTCCAAATCTGGGAGATGCCAAGGAAGACTAACAGGGAATGTGTGGTGGGAAGAAATGAACCAAGAACACAGTGTTGCCATTTCTAAGCCCAAGCTGTCCCTCCCAGGTCTCCAGCCAATCACCCCCAGGCCCTGCTCTCATATAGGTAGATTTTTTTAAAACAGCTATATCTGGCATTTATACAGGTTGCATTTCTTATTAAATTAGCACATTTTAAATATTTTTTGAACCTCAGTTTAATATTTCCAAAACTGCATCCTACTTGTATTAATCTGTTTTCACACTATTGATAAAGACATACCTAAGACAATTTACAAAAGAAAGACATTTAATGAACTCAGAGTTCCACATGGCCAGGGAGGCCTCACAATCATGGAGGAAGGTGAAAGGCACATCTCACATGGTGGCAGACAAGAGAAAAGTGTTTGTGCAGGGAAACTCCCCTTTTTAAAACCATCAGATCTCATGAGACTCATTCACTATCATGAGAAAAGCACAGGAAAGACCTGCCCTCCTAATTCAATCACCTCCCACCAGGTACCTCCCAAGACACCTGGGAATTGTGGGAGTTACAACTCAAGATGAGATTTGGGTGGGGACACAGCCAAACCATATGATTCTGTCCCTGGCCCCTCCCAAATCTCATGTCCTCACATGTTAAAACCAATCATGCCTTCCTAACAGTCCCCCAAAGTCTTAATTCATTTCAGAATGAACTTAGAAGTCCATAGTCCAATGTCTCATCTGTGATAAGGCAAGTGCCTTCTGCCTATGAACCTGTAAAATCAAAAGCAAGTTAATTACTTCCTAGCTACAATGGGGGTACAGGCACTGGGTAAATTCAGCCATTCCAAATGGGAGAAATTGGCCAAAGCAAAGAGGCTACAGGCCCCACGCAAGTCCAAAATCCAACAAGGCTGTCAAATCTTAAAGCTCCAAAATGATCTCCTTTAACTGCAGGTCTCAGATCCAGGTTACGCTGATGCAAGAGGTGGGTTCCCATGGTCTTGGGCAGCTCCACCCCTGTGACTTTGCAGGGTACAGCCTCCCATCCAGCTGCTTCCGTGATCTGGAGTTGAGTGTTTGCAGCTTTTCCAGGTGCATGGTGCAAGCTGTCCATGGATCTATCATTCTGGGGTCTGGAGGATGGTGGCCCTCTTCTCAAAGCTTCACTAGGTGGTGTCCCAGTAGAAACTCTGAGTGGGCTCCCACCACACATTTCTCTTCTGCATTGCCCTAGCAGAGGTTCTCCATGAGGACCCCACCCCGACAGCAAACTTCTGCCTGGGCATCCAGCCATTTCCATACATCTTCTGAAATCTAGACAGAAGTTCCCAAACCTCAATTCTTGACTTCCGTGCACTCGCAGGCTCAACATCATGTGGAAGCTGCAAGGCTTGCAGCTTGCACCTACTGAAGCCATGGCCCAGGCTCTACTCTGGCCCCTTTTACTCATGGCTGGAGTGACTGGGATGCAGGGTACCAAGTCCCTAGACTGCACACAGCACAGGGACCCTGGGCTCAGCCCAGGAAACCATTTTCTCCTAGGCCTCCAGGCCTGTGATGGCGGCTGCTGTGAAGACTTCTGACATGCCCTGGAAACATTTTTCCCATTGTCTTGGGGATTAACATTTGGCTCCTTGTTACTTATGCAAATTTCTGCAGCCAGCTTGTATTTCTCCTCAGAAAATGAGACTTTCTTTTCTGTCACATTGTCAGGCTGCAAATTTTCCAAACTTTTATGCTGTGTTTTCCTTTTAAAACTGAATGGTTTTAAGAGCCCTCAAGTCACCTCTCGAATGTTTTGCTGCTTAGAAATTTCTTCTGCCAGATACTCTAAATCATCTCTCTCAAGTTCAAAGCTCCACAAATCTCTAGGTCAGGGGCAAAATGTTGCCAGTCTCTTTGCTAAAACATAACAAGAGTCACCTTTGCTCCAGTTCCCAACAAGTTCTTCATCTTCATCTGAGATCACCTCAGCCTGTATTTCATTGTCCATATCATTATCAGCATTTTGGTAAAAGCCATTCAACAAGTCCCTACAAACTTACCCACATTTTCCTGTCTTCTTCTGAGCCCCCCAAACTGTTCCAACCTATGCCTGGTACCCAGTTCCAAAGTTGCTTCCACATTTTCAGGTACCTTTTCAGCAGCACCCCACTCTCCTGGTACCAATTTATTGTATTAGTTTGTTTTCACACTGCTGATAAAGACATACCCAAGACTGGTCAATTTACAAAAGAAAGAGATTTAATGAATCTACAGTTCCACGTGGCTGGGAAGGCCTCACAATAATGGCAGAAGGTGAAAGGCACATCTCACATGGTGGCAGACAAGAGAAGAGAGTTTGTGCAGGAAAACTCTTCTTTATAAAACCATCAGGTCTCGTGAGACTCATTCACTATCACAAGAAAAGCACAGGAAAGACCTGCCCCCATAATTCAAACACCTCCCACTGGGTTCCTCCCATGACATGTGGAACTATGGGAATTTCTATTCAAGATGAGATTTGGGTGGGGACACAGCCAAGCCATATCACTAGTCATTAAAAAATTTTTTTTTAAAGAAAGAAAAAAAAATGGGGGAAGATTCCCCATTTCAGAACAGCTTGCTGTTTGGAAATGAAAATTCTCTTCATGTTTACTGTGTGATTTGTGTTCATAAAATTTGAAACAGGTAAACAAAGGATCCAGGCCACTGTAACATCAAAGTACATCAAGTCAAACTGAACAAGGAAGAAAGGAAAGGAATCGTTGAACCAAAGGAGAAGGACTGGTATATAAATGGAATCAAGGAGGCAGTGGTGGCTGCAATCAACGCCTGAAGATAAAAGCCACAGCACTCAAATAACAATCCTCGTTAGAGTGACAAACAGACTGCAGCTCAGGGAAGTCTAACGTTTTAATTCTCGGAAACAACCCCTTCCTGCTTTTACATCATGGAAAACCATGCCATACTTGATTGCTCAATAAACATCCTGAAGACTGGAAAAAATTATGAAAAAGAAAAGAATGTCTTCTCAGTGGAGAGAGAGAGGTGAGCTTAATCAGAGAGCAAGGCTGACTCCCAGTCACCAATGAGGCAGGTAAAGGCTGAATATGTAAGACTGTGCCACGAATGTTTGAAGTGCATTCCATTCAGTTCTCACAGTGTCTTGGATACGTCGTTGCTACCTGTTTTATAAAGAAGAAAATGGAGATTTAGGGAAGGTAAAGGGGAAACAAAAGAGCAAAGGGAAAATGCAGCCTGAAATCAAGTGGATCTTTGAGTCAGACCCCTCTGTAGGATAAAGATTGTGACTAAGATTGTTATGGGTGCATTGGGACAGGGTGTCTGGGAAGTGCTCTGCTCATGCTAGACTGTCAGAGAACACAGGATCAGAGCTGTTTTTAGAAAACGAATTCCATTTTTTTGCTCTAGTTTTCAATGCAGAGACTGAAGCCTTCCAGCCTATATGTCTCCTGGCACATGGCCAAGAGTCAGGCTCTCTCTGGGGCTCTGGGGTGTGGCCAGTGCTGTGCTCAGACTCAAGGGGCTGTGGGTCGCCATGCTCCAGGAGCCAGGCGTGTCTTGCACTTGTGATTCCCCACACCCAAAGCTCCTCTACCAAGTCTGCAATGAAAATTTCATGCCTCCAGGTGCTGCATGGATTATTCATGAAGGCTTCAGAGCTGTCGCCATGGGAGCCAATTGACTTCAGCGTTGTTAGCATATTAATGACCTACCCTGATTTAGAGCTGGGTGGGCGGGGACACCACCTGGATTGTCAGTCACTGGGCCTGGATCAGCTTTTCCATTTGCAGAATATGTTGTTTGTTATTTCTTTCCAGACAGGCCCAGGAGTAATATTTACCTAATTGACTAATCCAAGTAAGCAGGAGGCCCCCTTGCAGCCTCAAAGGGGGTTGGTCTCAGGTCATAGCCTCCTCCCTTCCTCTCTCCACCCCACAGGCTGGGCTGCTGGGCCAGGCGCCCCAACTGGGGAGACATTACATCAGAACGACTATGTAACCAAGACCAGATCCCGCATCAGGCCTGGGCTGCCGAAGCAGCCTCTGGCATGGCAGGCAGAGGCTGGTAGATGCTGTGCAGATGTCAGGTCTAGAGCTGACAGAGATCCCTGAAAAGCTTTTAGCTACACCCCCTACATGGGTCATGGAAAAGTAGTACTAATGTATATCAATGATCATTAAGAAATGCATGAGAACTTGCAGAACCCAGCACAGACAGTGCCCAGCTCAGTGGGGGAAGGGTATCTGGGAAGGGCCCAGCTAATCCCTGTGCAAAAGCCATGGCATGACAACCAGGAGCCAGCAGAGCACCCAGGAGGGAGTCATGTCTACCTGGAGAGGCCAAGAAGGCTGATACAGCATTTGTAGGAGAAGGATTTAGATAATTCCAGAAAGAAGAAAGTGAGCATTCTCAGCCAAAGAAAAAGCAGTGAAGAGCCCTCTAATTGGCTCGGGGGAGTGGGGAGGTGTGGCCATGTCACAGTACAAAGTGAGAAGGAGCAGTGGAGGGTGGAGAAAAACAGGTTTGAGCCTTTCCTTTTCTTTTTTTGAAACAGAGTCTCTCTTTGAAGCCCAGGCTGGAGCGCAGTGGTGCAACCATAGCTCACTGCAGCCTCAAACTCCTGGTCTCAAGTGATCCTCCTTCGTCAGCCTCCTGAGTAACTGGGACTACAGGCATGAGCCGCCATACCTGGCTAACATTTCAAAACAGTTTTGTAGAGACAGGGTTTTGTTATGTTGCTCAGGCTGGTCTTGAACTCCTGACCTCAAGTGATCCTCCCACCTTGGCCTCCCAAAGTGCTGGGATTACAGGTGTGAGCCACTGTGCCAGGCCAAGATTGGGGCCTTTTATAAGGCTTTGAGTAACATGTCACAGAGTTGGCCAGGCGTGGCAGCTCATGCCTGTAATCCTAGCACTTTGGGAAGCCAAGGTGGGCGGATTGTCTGAGCTCAGGACTTTGAGACCAGCCTGGGCAACACGGTGAAACCCTGTCTCTACTAAAATATAAAAATTAGCTGGGCGTGGTGGTATGCGCCTGTAATCCCAGCTACTAAGGAGGCTGAGACAGGATAATCATTTGAACCCGGGAGGCGGAGGCTGTAGTGAGCCGAGATTGTGCCACTGTCCTCTAGCCTGGGTGACAGAGTGAGACTCCATCTCAAAAAAAACAAAACAAAAACAAAACAAAACAAAACAAAATGTCACAGAGTCTAGTATTTTTTTCAGTGTGTCATAAGGAAGTGTCACACTTTTGAGTTGGAAGTGTGGAAGTGACACTCACTCTTCTGAACCCACTATGGCAAAAGTTACCTCTCCAGTTGGCAGCAGTACCATGGCTGGCACTTTATCCACCAAACCAAAACACTGGGGCCTTTCTAGAAGCATTGCAGAGAAAGGAGATGCAGGAAGGTAGCTTGGCTTCTCTGCCATTCTGCACTGCACAAAGATACCCAGGGTGCCAGATGACAGGCATGGCCATTGCTCATTAGCTGGGTTCACAGTACCTCTACATGCCAAAAGGAGAACAAAAACTGGCAATTCAAGAAAAAACATGAAGCCCCCTCCACTTGCTGGGGACATACTAAGCCAGCCCATGTTAAGCTTGCATGTGCTTGGCATTGGCAATCACCTTTGTGAGGGGCAGCAAGGTTGTGATGGAGGCTTCTGTCAGGGAGGAAAGGGGAGCCCCTTGCTTCTCAAAGGGCTGCTGAAATTGTTGATAACCTTGCAAATCCAGTGGGAACATGTAGTGGAAGAAGTGGAAAGTGGAATAACATTGGCCTGGCAATGGTTAAACCAGCCTGTCAGTTTTTAATATTTTATAGCAAATATATGGATACACATAAGTGAGCCTAAATTATTGTCATTCTTTTGATTCTATTTAAAATAGAAGTCTTTTAGATGCTTTGGGTCACACAGAAAACTAAGTGTGGGGCCAGAGGGCTCAAAGTACATGACCTTCACCTTGAGAGATTTGCAAGTCTTTGCCTTTGCCTTTTGCATGATATCCCTCAACGCACTTTTTATGTGTTAGGCTGATTGTCCCTTGGGCAGCTCAGAGAACTTTATAGGAAGGACTATAGGACTTCTCAGGGCTCTGCACTGACTTGGTACTCTTGCAGATGAATATGCTCTGGAAAATTATTGCACAGGATACAAATTTAAGTTTTGAGAGCAAAGAATGCTTTCCAAATCCAGTCTATCAAACTATATATATATTACCTATAAACACACTGAAATACATAAATGATGTAATTGTGTTTATAAATAGATGGCTTCAGGTTAGACTGGAGAGATCAATGAATGTTAGATCATTTATGCCCCTAATAGACAACTTTTTCGAAACCATCATGTATTCCAAAAAGGAGACAGACAGACAACATCCAGAGATGCAATGTGACTTGCTAGGATCCTACTAGGAGACAGTGGCAAGAGGGCCAGTGGGCCTGCAATTCACTCCCACTGTAACCATGGGTATGACCACTGAGAACACAGGCGCTTGTCATTCTTGTTTCCTCCTCAATGGGACTTTAATCAAAAGGAAGTAAGGTGGCTGAAGCCTGGGAGGGGTAGAAGCAAGAAAACCATTGCTCATTTTCTTGATCCTAAGTCCTTCTAGGCACTCGTCCACCATCCAGTCTCTGAAATCCAATTCAAGCCAATGGCCTTAGGTCTTCCTTAAACCTCGCAATCTGTCAGGTCCATAACTTATCCAAAAATAGGAGGGAAAAAAAACACAGATAGACCATCTTTCTCACAGCTGAAGATTGTTCCTGAAGTAAAGCTTTTAAGCCAATGGAAAAAAAATAATGAAATGTCCAAAATTGCAAGTGCCTTAGCTCCACCATCTGCTGCCACAGCCGTGTGCCACATGCCTCCAAAGCCAGCTCGTGGGGCTGCTCCCAGTCTCCCCGCTCCAAGTTTGTAGGACTCATCATGGCTAACTCAATATTATATCTCCACTTCAGGTAGAGTGAGCTTTTGCCACTATTTTAATGAGCAATTTGGAGTAGACATAGGCACAAAGGCAATATCTATATGGTAAATATACACATATGTAATTAGATGGCTGCGAAATTATATAGGATGGTGCTTAAAGAAGCAAAGAGTTCAAAATTGAAATGGAAGCCTGGTAAATAACCCATTATGCCCAAAGAAATCCTGATTGCCTATTCATAGCTGAAATTTACATGAACCCTTGTTCATTAAAGAATGAATAGCTGCTAATTTGCAGCCTTACCAAAGCAAAGTTCAGATGACAGAATTTTTAAAAAATATCCTCTCAAATCAGAAATCTACCAGCTGTCCCACATAAATTAAATGCCATTGCAACTTCCTTAATATACTGGAGACCCTATTTTTAAATTCTACTATCTAATTAAAATACCAAGTAGAAAAAAAGATGCAGATTGCAGAAATCAAAATTTAATAATAAAAAAAGAAAATGGCAGGGAGAAAATCAGTCTATAATGGCAGGGAGAAAACCAGTCCATTTGTTAAAGCAATGGGTTCAGTTGCTTCCTTTTGAGCAATTTTTGTTTGTTTTTGTTTCTTGTTTTTTTTTTTTTTTTTTTTGTGAAGAATCTACCTGAGCATTATTCAGGGATTCGGCAAGGCCTCCTATTTAAATATCTGTGTTAAAAGTTTAAAGCAGGGAATGGGAGGGTGATCTTAATGTTTAAGGCAGAAGGACTCTTGCCAGTATGAAGCCTGTATCCAGCAAGGGAAGTGGATTCTTCAGGGAGGTGACTGGTGAGGATTTAGTGTGCAAAATGTCCAGCTTTGAATACATGCCGCCCTCTGCACAAGGCCCAGAACCTCTGTAGGTGGGAACCACCCAGGTGAAAGACCCTGTAATAGTGAGAGAGATAACGACTTCTTTCTACTGATGAGAACACTGAGGGCCAGTGACATGCTGTGGTTTGTCCAAGGTTATACAGCCAGAGTCAAGGCCGGAACCTGATCCGTAGCTTAGGATTCTTAGATGCTTGCATTGTATCTATAGATAGTAAACGGCAAAGAATTTATCTTCAAAGGTTAAAGGGCAAAGGATACACTTTTGCCTCTCTCCCACGACACAGACAACTTCACTTTAATATAGCGAGCTTCCACAAATCAGTACAACCCACACAAACACCAGGAGGACAAATGTGCGATCATTAAAAAGCACTAAATAACAACAACAACAAAACTAAACAAAGAAACTAAAAAGGATATCCAATTATGAAACAGGTTTAATTTTATTAGTTCTCAAGCAAATGTAAATTAGAATTCAAATTGAGAACCATTTGTCACAGAGTTCACAGAAGTCAATCATTATAACCAATGCTAGGGAAGCTCAGCAGAAAACCCCCACTCCTCAGTCTTCTTGGTAGGAAGGTAAATCTCCCTTGCTTTTCTATGGGTGAGGATGGGAATATATATGAAAAACCTTAAAAAATACTTATTTACGCAACCAATTCCATTTCTTTATAAATTTTCTGAAGAAAACAGATATGTGCACAAAAATATTTGTAATTCTAAAAATTGGAAATGACCTAGTTGTCCAAAAATAAAGATCAGTTAAATTTTTGAACTATACAATTTATGGATTCTAGATTATTTTACTGTAGTACTGTATCTTGTGGTTAACAGAGTGAGCTCTGGAGCTTTTGAGAATTCAAGATCTGGCTCTGTAATTTGCTAGGTAGGCTGTCCTCAATCAGTCACTAAGCATGTCTTTTTCTTGGTGCTTCCATTTGTACAATGGGGAAATCATATTACCTACTTCAGAAAGTTCTCATGAGGATTGAATTTGTCAATGCTTCTTTAAGTTAAATCACTTAGATTACATTCTGCTACATCATATATCCAAATTATTATTATTTTAGCTATTATCATGAAGCTCAAGGAATGATACTGTCAGAGTGTATTTTATTTTTAATAGAGTTTCAAGTAAAGAAAAATCTAAGGATATAGCCCAAGATAGAAAAAAATGATCATTTTTATGCTTATCTGTATCTTCTATTTATATATACTTTGTATTATCTGTATAATAAAGTGTTTTTAAGAACCTTGCATATGGCCAGGCATGGTGGCTCACGCCTGTAATCCCAGCACTTTGGGAGGCTGAGGTGGACGGATCACGAGGTCAGGAGATCGAGACCATCCTGGCTAACATGGTGAAACCCCCGTCTCTACTAAAAATACAAAAAAAAAAAAAAAAAAAAAATTAGCCGGGCGTGGTGGCAGGTGCCTGTAGTCCCAGCTACTCAGGAGGCTGAGGCAGGAGAATGATGTGAACCTGGGAGGCGGAGCTTGCAGTGAGCTGAGATCATACCACTGCACTCCAGCCTGGGTGACAGAGCGAGACTCTGTCTCAAAAAAAAGAAAGAACCTTACATATGTTTTCATTAGAATGCTACACAAGAAAAGAAGATGTCAACATTCATGATATAGCAGTCTGTGTATTCTGGTCGTTAAAAGATTGCTTATAGCCTTGGGCACCGTGGGTATCTACGCTCTGCTGCATACCTACTTGGGCAGTTTACTTAACCTCTTTAAATCCCAATGGTATAATAATAAAGTAATTGTTTGTAAATTAAGTGAGATAATCTGCAAGAAATATTTGGCCTAATACCAAATAGGAATACACACTCAATAAAAAATATTAGCTAGTGTTACTAGTCAATACATGTCAGTAGTTATCAACACTAGTTATTAGAATGAGCCACATATGTATATTACTAGATTGAGCTATGCAGTATCTAGAACATGTGAAAATTAGTGGCAGACCAAGGGACAAACACGGTATACCACCCACCTATTCATATGCCATGGAAATGGTTAGATCTACCTCATGATCTAAAATGTGTAGAGTTTGAAGAATTAGTATGATTTAGATAAGTGCTTTCGTTATTTTTAACTCTCAATTTTTCACAGGCAAACATAATCTTTGTCAAAATGACAAATAAAAATTTGGAAACACATGAGTTTCTCAAAGAAGCTTTCATTACAAATGCCATTGTTCTTCGTTCATTTACTTTTCAGCACATTAAATAAAAACAAAATGATTGTCCTCCGGAACTAGCGAAGTTTCCCTTTCAAACTTGCTTTAAAAGGCAACAAAACAAATAAATGAATGAATGAATTCACAAATTAAAGGATTATTATTATAGGTGTTGAGGATATGGACAGAAGTTAGGTATATAATAAAGCAGAGATAGCAAAATGTTGATGGTGGACTATGGATGGTGGGCATATGGCTACTCACTGTACAGTTTTGTTTTTTGTTCTTAATTCAATACTGGGTAAAAGTAAAAAAAAAAAAGACAAAAAATACATGCATTGCACTCATTATCAAATCTGGACATCTGAGTCAATCTTTCTGTGATGGGAGGCACAGCTGTGGGCTCCAAGCTTGTACATACACATTAGTATGCTGCCGATGCACTGTTTCCCTCCATGGTGGACGGTGGCGAGAAGCTCTGGCTTTATGAACATTGCTTATTCCTAAAACAGATCCTCCTAGTAAATCTGAAAGACAAATAAAATCGAACAGGCTTGGATTTTAATTCAAAAAATAAAACCATTGTTTTAGGGACTTTATTTTTTTTTCCTGCCACCCACTAGACTTGCATATACCTTTCAACGAACCTTTGAAAATAACATTCTTTCCTGCCTTTATAGTTTTAATATTTCAAGGTGGAATCAGTCCTGGTCCCTGCTGCCAGCCCTGCTACTGCTCATCAGAGCCCGACTGTCTCCTAGTGGCTCGGCTTGCTGGAGGGCATCATCCTTCAGAGAGTCTGGAGGGATACATTGTGAGCAGGGTGGAAGCCTTCTTAGGCCAGGGTTGGCCAGCAGCCCTTTAGAAACCTTACCTTTCTCAGTAGCCTTCTTCAAACACACACACACGCACACACACCACACACACGCACACACATGCGCACACGCACACATGCACACACGCACACACACACGCGCACACACACACGCACGCACGCATGCACACGCGCCCGCACACGCACACACACATGTGCGCGCACACACATGTACGCACGCACGCGCACACACACACACACACATGCACGCACTCGCTCCGTGATTGTTTTAGTTATGCCAGCTCTGATCTTGGCTGAACACCATTGTGGGTTTGTTAAGAAGCGATGGCCAAACCACAATGTAGTATCACTGTGCTAATGCAGAAAAGACCCGAGTATGATCTTTCAAAAATAAAGTGTTCACTAGTCTGCAAAAGCAAATGAGACCAGAGGACCCATATTGCCCATGCTCAGCTGCCCTCCTCTCCTGCGGTGTTGGGACCAACTTCAAGAGATGGCATGTGGTTGTTCCGTGTGCAGAACGTGGACAGGGTTGCTGAGTGACTCATTGCTTGAATGGGATGGGCGTCATGTGTAGATAAAGAAAAATCAAATGTCCATTTGCATCAAACAGAAACAGGAGAGCTTGGCATTAAGGTAAAATGCCCTCTTCTCCACCCTCAAAATATATGCCTTATCTTGAAAACATACCTGTTCAATATAAATAACATTTTATTAAGTGACATAGAATATCATTGAAAATGTTACTATTTCAAGAATATAGCTTTTGATTTTTTTTCATAATAAATGGGATATGCTTGGGGAAGATTAAGACAAGAAAACTCTATTTCATGCTGGGAAATGGGTTAATGATAATGAAAAATAAGCAATTATTAAGTAAATGGATAAACCGGTAAACTGTAAAGATGATAGAAATTTGCAAAGGATACAAACTAATGGCATTAGGTTTTCCTGAAATCTGAAACCCCAGGGAAATGAAGGAAAGTGGAGCCTTCTTCTTCAGGACGCAGCCATTGCTGTGTGGCCTTGCCTGTCTCCTCTCCACCATCTTCCTGCACAGCGACCCAGCCTCCAACACCATCCCCATGCCATGTTGTCATGTTCACCCGAGATCCTGAAGGACGGATGTGTCCCTGTTAAAAAGGTAGTTGGGTAATCAGAGAAAGAGAAGCCTAGTACAAGGTGTTCTGGCTCTGCTTCAGTCAAGGGTTCGTTGAGGAAAACACATCAGTTATTTGGAGAGACCATTTAACATAAAAAATAGAGAACTATAAAGGGAAAAGGACCAGGGAGAGAATAACAATGAGAGAGAAACTGCAGGAAGCCACTTGGCATTTAGGACTGGGGCACAAAAGGAGATGTCGGAGGTTATCAGAACCTAGGAGATTGCAGAGCACCCTGTAGAGCAGAGAGTCAGGCACTTGAGGGACGGGCACTCTCCCGTAATTTCTGCAAGTGTGTAGGAATTCTGGAACCTGGAGCCCATTGCTATTGGAACAAATTGCAGCTTTAGCAGTGAGGAACTTTAGCATGAGCGCTGTTGACGGGAAGAAATCCACAAGAAGAGGCCAATCTCCCCTCCCACCACCTGCTCTCCAGGAGCCATGTCTGAGGCTCCACAGTGACACAGCCCAGCAGGAAGCAAACTGCAAAAACTGAAATAGTGTTTTCAGAATTCCTGTCCCAGCCTCACAGAACAGAATATTAGAAATGGGGGATCAAAGCTGAGAGGCCTTAGCCCTGAAGACTTCTACTGACTTGAGAAGGTCATTTATCCACATTTTAAGATGCCTGTATTAGTCACTCGACCATAGCTGGGTTCAAAGGGTAGAGGAAGCAGATGTTGGAGAAGCCTAACAGGGCCTACCGCAGCAATGGATAGCGCATCCTGCACCTCAGCTTAGAGCGTCCGCATCAAACAACTGACCTTCCCCTGATAAATCATTGTCATTCAGTCATCCCACCTATCTAAGCCACATGCTGGTGGTTTATATTTTCCATTTAGACAACATTTGGGAATGAAACATTCTAGTCATTTATTAATGTTTTTGAAAATATAGCAGTTTACTGGCTATGTGCTGTGAATGTAGAGATGGGGAAGGGTGGGGTCCCTGCCCCTTCGGAGCTTATACAATAAGCAGCAGAGTTTCAAGCAATAATAATGCAACTTCCTGACAAGATAGCATCATGTGAGTGGTCTGAATGAAGGGCAAGGTGAAGACAGGCAAACTGAAAGAATAGCTTATGTGTACTTTTTCTCTCTGGGTGAGCCCTTAACACTAGGGAGGGTATTGTTTTTTTTTTTTTTATTTTGTTTTGTTTTTTTTTTTTGTATAAGTGGTTTGAATGGAATTACATTGATGAGAAAAATATTAATAAATGATAATTCTACCCTGCAATCTTTTTCTTCATCTATTTTTTTCCAATTATTCCTTTGCGTTTATGATTATTTTTTCCAAGGGCCAGTGGGTTATAGTTCCAAACCAAGTTATAAATTATTTAAAGGTATGAAAGAAATTGTATGCTGAGTCATAAGATTTTACTAGCAGAGAAGATTCACACACAAAAATTAAATGCCTTAATTGGCCAGGTAAGTGATGTAAATAAATAAAGTTAATCAGGTATAAATAATAAAGAGTGGACTTTGACAAATAAGAACTTTTTTCTTATTATTTACCTGCTACACAAATAAAACACCTTCCAGATTAGGAAAAATTTTTAGCCTACCTGTTTGCTGTCCATAGATTATCACAGATTCTAATATAAATTCTCATTTTATAGCTGAATAAATGGGCCTAGGGCAATTAATTGATTTCTTTTTCATAAAACAAATTAGTAACATAGGTCAGGACAAAAGTTACCGACTCCGAGGGCAAGAATTCTGCACCATATATTTCAAATGAATGGGTGTGATGGTGGCCTCCTCACCACCAATACTATTGGTGTTTCACATTGCTGATCTGCAAACCCTGATACACATAAATGTATTTGCAAATGCAGCTTATTCTTTGTGTCTCCACCCCTAACCTAATAAATGCTTACTGCTGTGTACTAGTTACAATAGTCTCTGGATCCAATGAGACCCTTTTTATTTTCAGGGTTTTTTTTTGATAAGGAAAATAACTTAAGCCTCTGTTTCCCATTTTAATTACTGAAATCTCTAACAATGACACAACTGTCACGTATACATGACAGCAAATGTATATAATCATTCATTCATTCATTCAGACTTCTTGGAAACAACACATTTAGCAATCTGAGATGATGGAAAATACAGTGTGGTTCAACACTGGTTCTTTTTGTCATTTTACACAGACATCATGTTAATATTAGACCAAGACACCAAACTTTTAGTGCATCTACCCAGTTTCTTTTAAGATTTAGCATTTTATTTTAGTCTCTTATCTTAGTTTGGACCACTTGTACCCAGTACTCTACCTACTATAGACTATTTAACTTACATAACAAAATCAAAAGAGGTTTCTGGCCAGATTTATAGAGGACATAACTGTTTATATTATCAAAGTGTTTGCATAACCAAAAGTACAATAACAAAGATGAAAATGCCTCCTGTTTGTTTGTTTAGAAAATAGTACTTCATAAGCTTGTTGCATCTTTAATGTTTTTACTACTACAGCATGACAATGAGTGTCCAATAGAAAAAAAAGAAAAGTATACTTGAATTATGCTAGTTAATCCATCACAGTTTAATCTAAAAATGAAATTTCTACAGAAACAGGAACTATTTTAACAAAGAAAAAAAAATCCCTCATCCAAACTTCTTTGTAGTGGTTACGGCTGCAAATTTGCAGTGTTTAGAAAATTACACTATCAACAAGCTTTGCTTTATGAACTGAGATGTACAAAATCTAGAAAGCAGATGAAAGTGAATTATTTCTTCAAAAATTTAGTAAAACTTCTGGTAATCAGAATTCAAAGCAAATATGGCACATAACAACTCAAGCATAAATCAAGATGGAGAACATGGAGAGTTTGATTTCTTAAATTTTCCAAAATGCTATCATTGCAACATATAGGATTTCTCCCCTATTTTAACTTTACCAGTTTCAAAGGAAAAAAAAGCGAGTGGCTTACATATAGACAACACATGCGTGAGTGCACACACTCACAGGGTGGCAGGGAGACTAATTGGTTCTTCCCATGACCCACGTCTCACTTTACTTATTAAAAGAAAACTGCAGGCGGGGTGCGGTGGTTCACGCCTATAATCCCAGCATTTTGGGAGGCCGAGGCAGGCAGATCACAAGGTCAAGAAATCAAGACCATCCTGACTAACATGGTGAAACCCCGTATCTACTAAAAATACAAAAATTAGCTGGGCGTTGGGGCACGTGCCTGTAGTTCCAGCTACTTGGGAGGCTGAGGCAGGAGAATCGCTTCAACCCAGGAGGTGGAGGTTACAGTGAGCCAAGATCTTGCCACTGCACTTCAGCCTGGGTGACAGAGTGAGACTCCATCTCAACAAACAAACAAACAAAAAAAAGAAAAATGCAGAACTCCTCATTGGTTTTCCTTTACGTCATGATTTGTTACCTTAATTGCTGCCGTCATTGTTATTTCTTGTATTTCGACATAACAAAATTCAAAAGCAGCTTCATTCAGGAACATGTATCTAAACAGGGGTACCTAGGTAATAATAACTGCCAAATTCAGTGATCAAACTTTTGGGTTCCACAGTAAGATATCATGTGAAGCTCAGAATCATGTCTCAGACCATTGAAATTACTCGTTAAAATACAAATAGCTGAAGACATGATGTAAAAGATTAAGTAGTTGCTTTTGTAACATGTTTACCAGTTAAAGTCACAAAATATTCCTCATTATTATTCATGCGGGCAATTGAGTAAAAGATAGTGCAGAAATCAACTTTAAATAAAAGATTATTCCTCCCCTTCCTCCCACTCCCCTATACTCTACAAAATATTTTCCCTGGGATGAGGCCTCGAAAAGACCACTACATGTTAGTGTGACATGCACTACTGTCTGCAATTTAAAAAGCTGACTTTGTGGTGATTGTAACTACATTATTAACATATCCACACGCATAAATCTAAAAAAGGTCGCAAACCTACAGTACATTTACAAGATATTGTTTACATTTGACCGCTGATTTGTGTGATGTAGAAGTCGTAGATTCGGTAAAGCACTGTAACAATTTAGGAAGGTATGTAAGTCTTTAAATTCTGGACAAATGTTATGTTTTAATCTATGAAATTGCGTGAAGGCTAACTTGAGAGACTTCCTATCATTCTATAATTCCTCAGGCTGAAGAAATCATTTTTAGGTCACTTTCTTATAAATATTACCCTTTGAAAGCACTTACAATGCCATTTGTTCCACATATTATGATCTTAGCTTACATAGGGCTGATCTCAATTATTCATGGAATATCAAACATGATAGGAAGAACAAACCTGAGAGAAACATTACAATACAACAGCAAACTTGCTCAAATTTTTTTTTTTTTTTTTTTTTTTTTTGGAGACGGAGTCTCGCTCTGTCGCCCAGGCTGGACTGCAGTGACGCGATCTCGGCTCACTGCCAGCTCCGCCTCCCGGGTTCATGCTATTCTCCAGCCTCAGCCTCCTGAGTAGCTGGGACTACAGGCGCGCCAGCCACCACACCCGGCTAATTTTTTTTGTATTTTTAGTAGAGACGGGGTTTCACCGTGCTGGCCAGGATGGTCTCGATCTCCTGACCTTGTGATCCGCCCGCCTCAGCCTCCCAAAGTGCTCGGATTACAGGCGTGAGTCACAGCGCCCGGCCAAACTTGCTCAATTCTTTATCAGCACTCTATGCAAAAAAACTTCCTAAGCCTTTCTCCTCGTTATTTTAGCAATGAATTGTGGAAAATTTGCAATTTTATCTTGACATGAAAATATTTCAGTGCGTGGTGATCTTGCCTGATGGGTTTTAGTATTTTCTGCATAATTGTTACAGGAACTCTTACATGATTCTCTTCCATTCTGTTGTAAAGGCCAGAAAAAAGCAGCAAACAGAGAGGGAAAGAGCTTACCACCAGAGCCATGTCTGAAGGCTTTCAGAGTAGGTTGGTATTTCCCTCCTTCTGGTTGTCTCCATTTTCTTCTTCTAGATCATAAAATGTAGGGGTTTGCTGCTGTGAACAGTTGTTGTCTGTAGGATTTTTTTCCTGCAGATTAAAGTCCTATCTCTCCTTAATGTATTTCTCTCTGCATTATTTGACTTGCTCAGTTCCTGCCTGAATGCATCAATGAGCTCTTGATGCTGGAAGTTGTTTTACAATTTATAAAGTAAAAATAAAGAAATCATGAAAATCAACTTTTTAAAACATTTTAATAAGAATTTAAAGAGAGCAAACTCAAAAGTTTTATTTTTTATTTTATTTTATTTTTTTATTTTACTTTAAGTTCTGGGATATATGTGCAGAACGTACAGGTTTGTTACACAGGAATATGTGTGCCATGGTGGTTTGCTGCACCTATTGACCCATCCTCTAAATTCCCTCCCCCTGCCCTCCCTCACCCCCCAACAGGCCCTGGTGTGTGGTGTTCCCCTCCCTGTATCCATGTGTTCTCATTGTTCAGCTCCCACTTATGAATGAGAGCATGCAGTGTTTGGTTTTCTGTTCCTGTGTTAGTTTGCTGAGGACAATGGCTTCCAGCATTATTTATGTACCTGCAAAGGATGTGATCCCATTCCTTTTTTATGGCCTCATAGTATTCTGTGATGTATTTGTACCACATTTTCTTTATCCAGTCTGTCGTTGATAGGCATTTGGGTTGGTTCCATGACTTCGCTATCTAATCTTCGACAAATCTGACAAAAACAAGTAATGGGGAAAGGATCTTCTATTCAATAAATGGTGCTGGGAAAACTGGTTACCCATATGCAGAAAATTGAAACTGGAACCCTTCATTACTTATGCATTATACAAAAATTAACTCAAGATAGATTAAAGACTTATATGTATGAACCAAAACCGTAATAACCCTAGAAGAAAACCTAGGCAATACCATTCAGACATAGGCATGGGCAAAGACTTCATGACAAAAATGCCAAAAGCAATTGCTTAAAAGCCAAAATTGACAACTGGGATTTAATTAAACTAAAGAGCTTCTGCTCAGCAAAATAATCTATCATCAGAGTGAACAGGCAGCCTACAGAATGGGAGAAAATTTTTGCAATCTATCCATCTGACAAAGGTCTAATATCCAGAACTTACAAGGAACTTAAAGAAATTTACAAGAAAAAAAAATAAGCCCATCAAATAGTGAGCAAATGATATGAACAGACACTTCTCAAAAGAAGACATTTATGCAACCAGCAAGCATATGAAAAAAAAGCGTAACATCACTGATAATTAGAGAAATGCAAATCAAAACCACAATGAGATACGATCTCACACCAGCCAGAATGGCGATTATTAAAAAGTCGAGAAACAATCGATGCTGGCAAGGCTGTGGAGAAGTAGGAACGCCTTTACATTGTTGATGGGAATGTAAATTAGTTCAACCAGTGTGGAAGACAGGATGGCATTTCTTCAAGGACGTAGAACCAGAAATACCATTTGACCCATCAATCCCATCACTGGGTGTATACCCAAAGGGATATAAATCATTCTACTATGAAGACATATGCACACGTATGTTTATTGTGGTTTTAAATACACACACACACACACACACACACACACACACAGAAAAACATAGTCAACCCTTCATATCCATGGTTCCACATAAGAGTCAACCAAATGCAGATATTTGAGAGAAAAAAAATAGCAATAGAAAATCATACAAATAAAAAATACAGTATACAACTATTTACATAGCACTTGCTCTGTATTAGGCATTATAAGTAACCTAGAAATGTTTTAAAGTATACGGAAGGAGGTGCCTAGGTTACATGCAAATACTGCACCATTTTACCTGAGGGACTTGAGCATCTGTACATGCTGGTATCTGAAGGAATCCTGGAACCAATCCCCCATGGATACGGAAGAGCAACTCTACACATGTATATGTGCCCCCATTGATGAATAATGTGATGTAATTTCTAAGAATAAAGAAGAGCAAAATATTTGATATGGAAAAAATAAGAGCACTAAGATTTTACAGCTTATCTTAGATTTATAAAGTGACCTAAAGGACCCAAATAGTAATTTTAAGACAGAAAATATTTCACTCCAATGGAAAAAAAAGTGAATTTTCTTTGTAAACTGAGAAAAAATAAGTTATTAAATGTTAATTGTTATAAAGGGGAGGCGATATTCATAAAAGAAATAACTCTAAAATGAGGCCAAATGGGTTCTAATAGTATACCAAAGGTTAATAATTACACTTTGTTCTGAACATTAATGTATATAATTAGATAACATACTTTCATTACAAAAATGAAAACAAGCTTCTGCTGAAAGCAAACTGATGTTAAGAGGTATATACGGTTTCAATCAATAACAAAGCTTCTAGGTATTAGGTAGAAAAGTCCTGCTAGTACCTTGTTCTTGCAGTTAGTTCATTTTCTGCCTTCAGGTGGGACCTGAGAGAAGGCAAATATGGATGCCATTTAAAAGACACTGGTTCTGAAGGAGGAAAAAAAACTAGTGCAAATTGATCTCACCCTGCAGGAAATCTACGATCATGCAGAATACTTTAGGGCAATGGTTTCACATAATTCATCACTAGTGTGAGTATGAATTGGAATACAAACAAAAATTAAGAACACTTTAAAATATAATATCACTACATGGAATTCTATCATAATTTGACTTCCATTCATACAGGGTAGATTATTTGGTCAAATAGTCTATTTTTAAAAATCAACTAGTTTCTTAAAAAGGCAAACCTGAAAACTAATTTTCAGATGTGTGTTAAAATATTTGTGCCCTGTATGTTTAGAGATCTGCTACTGAAGTAGATAACTAGCAGCCTCTTCTACCAGTAATATACAAAGCCTAATGGTTAATTTCATGCCCGAAGTTTCCATCAGTGCAGATCTATAGTATATAATGAAATGGACAAACGTTTGCTTAATTAGGTATCAGATCTTTCAGATGTTTTGTTCTGTTGTATTTGTAAGAGACATTTTCAAGTCCTTTCGAAGCAAAGCTGTTCAAAGGACAATCCATTTAGATAATTTTAAAATTGATATTGAAACTATTTTTTCATCAAAAGTTCTGATATTTGTTAAATATGCTAGTTCTTATTGTTAAAGACAATGTTATCATATTCTATATATATACATTCATATTATAGATACATATTAATGTGTGGTACATTCAAAAAATATTTGAGGCAACTTATGTTAAAAGACAGATGTTCTATAACAGAATTTTTTAAAAAGTTAAATTTTACTTGAGAGAATTTTAAGTAAATAAAAATGATCAAAAATTACATAATTAGCCCCACTGCTTTCAAAACCCCATTAAAATGCCAGTAAGCATATTTTAATGGCATAGATTCACAAAGGCAAAAAGTCCAAGAAAGGAGACAACAATTATAGAATTCTGGAAGCTGGGAGAGATGAATGTGTGATAATCGACTTAGCCCATCTGTACATAAACATGTTCTTGGAAATAAAAATCATAATAAAATAAATATAACAACTCAATAGAATAATTAAAAGATAAAGTTAACAAACTGTCCCAGAATGAGAAGGACAAATAAATAAAAGCCAGAGAAAGAATACAAGAATTAGAGAACAAAGTCAGTGTGTTAGTATCTAAATGAGAAAGTTTTAGAATCAAGAAAGTAGAAAAAATAACCAATAAAAGAATCAAAGAAATAATAAAAGACAATTTTCTAGAATGGAAAGATTTTCTACATTTAAGACCCCAACATCATCATATATACAGTAAAATAAATGAGAATAGGCTTAGCCAAATTATATCGTTGAGAAATGTGTAAACACTGAACATTAAAAGAATATATAAATTACTAAAGGGAAAAAAGTTTGCATTTAAATAATTAGTTTAATTTTAGTCATCTCTCCAGAAACAGGAAAGTTAAAACACTAGAAGAGTTTTAGAACAAAGTTTTAAAAATTCCTTGAAAACAGAAAGTATTTTGATGATTTCTTTTAAAAATAAAAACTTAATATAGTATCTGATATGATACAGATTTGGATGTTGGGAGAAGGTGTGACTTTGAATTTGTCATAAATAAACAGAAAATTAAGCAAACAAAGAAGCGAGATAATTATTATTATCAGGGCCAATTTTTAAATAGGTGTGCAACCAATAAAAAGCAGACAGAGAATACCACATGGCTCAGCGGTGAAGAGCATTTATACTGTCCCAGTAATGTAAAGACTAAAGATTGATGTAAAACCACAATGTTGTTATTACATCGGTAGGATCGGGAGACAGAAGGGGTACTTGTGCATGATGACAGTGGGGAAGGAGGTAAATTATGTTTAATTCCTCATCTTTTAATTTGGAGTACTAACCGGTTATGTTAAAAACTGAAAAGTTAAGAAATAGCAACTGAATCATCTTATTTAGGGATGTAGAATTAAAATACAGAAGAATCACCTCAAATATTTGAAATAGTTCTGCACAAGAATAAATTGGTTCAGCAATTCAGCGTGGTGCTATGTACTTTTAGAGAATTCTGTGTATTGCATAGTAATTTTACTAATCATTCCTGAGGTTTTCCAATTTTCAACATAATGAGCCAATATTCTTTATAGTTGGTTGTTTGTATTTTGGAATATATGCTGGTTTTCCTCCTCATGAAATACTTTTTTTCCTATTTGTCAAACTTTTAGTTAATTTCATTGGGCTGCAAGGAGAATAGAGTAGAAATCATTATTCTGTCTTCCTAAATTGGAAGCATTTTTATAATGACTATTTTCTCTCTGGGTCCATGACGATGCTGAAGGCCGTCATCATCAACAGTGGGCCTAGGTAATGATAGTCCACAGAGCTTCCCTTCTACTTCCATAGTTTTTCTGCTTCTTGTTTGCTATGGATTGGAAAGCAACCAAAATCATCTGATAAAAGCAATAGACTATGAGTAAGATCTGAAGGAGTATTCTATGAATACATGTTTCTGCTGTGGAAAATGGACTTTGTGATCATTACATTGACTGCTCTGAAGCCGCTTCTGCTTGGTTCTGCCCCTTGCCTATGTTTTTTTTGTTTTTTTTTGTTTTTGTTTTTGTTTTTGTTTTGAAGTGGAGTTTCGCTCTTGTTTCCCATACTGGAGGGCAATGGCACGATCTCGACTCACGGCAACCTCCGCCTCCCGGGTTCAAGTGATTCTCCTGACTCAGCCTCCTGGGTAGCTGGGATTATAAGCACGTGCCACCATGCCTGGCTAAGTTTGTATTTTTAATAGAGACGGGGTTTCTCCATGTTGGTCAGGCTGGTCTCCAACTCCTGACCTCAGGTGATCCACCCGCCTCGGCCTCCCAAAGTGCTGGGATTACAGGTGTGAACCACCATGCCTGGCCCCATTGCCTATGTTTTATGTTGCATGAACCTTTTGGATAAGAATTCTGCAGACATATACATTAAGAGTTCATGCGTTTTCACATTTTTTGACATCTGTGAATGGAGAATGAATACCATTGCTTAGAGTTAGTATTAATTATGTAAACATACAGGAACCCTGAAAGTCAAAGCTGTATTTTAGTCATTGAATTGTTCTTAAAACAATAATCTTTTAAGTAAAAAAATGTTTGATAAGAAAGGTATACAATACATGTCTTAATCTTGTAACTGAAATAGACGAAAGATGGTATGCTAGCTCAGACAAAATATAGGTATGGTTCATACCTTGAGAGTTTTGTTTGAAAATTTGCTAACAAATTGTAAATAATTAGGAAGATAATCCAAACATTATTTTAATTAAGAATGGAAAATATATTTCAAATTGCATCTTGATAGTGAATGATTCATAGTGAACACCAGAGACTAGTGGTTAAAAGCATATTTAAGCTGTATGTGAGCTCAGTAGTCAGTGATGTCTGCCATGGCCACAGGATGAAAAATAGTCATGTTGTCACCAATCCTGGCCAAATTTCTGTAAAATCTTTGATAATAAGTCCTGGCTAAAAATAAATATTGACAGAGACATAAAATAATATGCTTTAGTACTTATAGTGCTATAATGTAGGAAAAAATAATGCATGCTTTGTTACAATGTTATTTTGGTCTTATTTGCTCTTTTAAATTTATTGTATGATGCAACTTTAAAAGCACAGTGGTATCTCATGTGGAAAATAGTACACACCCAACTGAGATATTTTAAACAAGTTGTTCTTGCAGACTTGTACATAGATTACATATTGTAGGGATTTTGAAATTATATTTTGAAATAATCAAGTACAGATAGATTTTCTTTTATATGAAATGTATTATATTTTCAACCCAATAAAATAATACACACTCAATATTTTTGAAAATAAATAAAATAGGAAAAGTTGGAACCTAGAAGTAACCAGTTAATTAAATATTTAGCAGATTGCTTTTAATTTTAATAGTATTATTATATCATTAAATTTATTTTTTAAATATTTATAATTAATGCAAGCTATTTTTGTGTGCTTATATTAGTATACAGTGCACATTTTATTCAGTTTCTTTTCATTGGGTTTTAGACTGTTTCCGAATTATAATAAATAATTATTTAGTAACAACTTATATTTAATTATCAAATTGGATATTCCCTCTAAATATAATTGCAGGTCAAAATGCTGCTAAAGGGATAATTATAATTTAATATATTGTTGAATTCAATTTGACAGTATCTTGTGGGAGAATTTGGGCATTAATGTTTATGAGAAATAATAGTCTCTGTTGTTTTTTTCTTGTAATGTCTCTATAGTATCTGGCTTTGTCATCAGGGAATGCTGGTCTCATAAAAGGATTTAGGGAGTGTTCTCGCCCATCAATTTTGTAAAAATGTTTGTATAGAATTTGTATAGTAATTTTTTACTTCTTTCTTTAATGCTTGCTAAAATCCAGAGAAGACTAAATTTTCTCTTGTTGGAAAGTATTTAATTACAAGTCCAACTTTTAATAGACATAGAACTCTTCAGGTTATGTATTTCCTCTTGAACATATTTGGCAGTTTGTGTATTTTATGGAGGTTTGTCTGTCATCTAAGCTGGTAAATTTATAGGCCTAGAGTTATTTGTAATACACTTTTATTATTTGTAGGGATGTTCCTTCTTTCATTCCGTGTATTTATAATATGTGCCTTTTTTCTTTCCTTTTTTGGAGGTGTGGGGGGATAAGTTAGAGGTAAATCAATTTTACTGACTTGTATTCAAAGAACAAATATTTGTGTTGACTCATTGTCTCTATTGTTTTTTCTTCTCAATTAGATTGAATTCTGTTCTTCATTATTCCTTCCTCCTGATTAACATGGGATTGATTTGCCTTTAGTTTTCTAGTTTAATAAGGTAGAAGCTTAGATCATTGTTTTGAGCTGTTTCTTCTTTTCCAATATATACATTTAATGCTATAAATTTCCCTCTATACACTCTTTCAGATGCATTCCACAAAATTGTATATGTTGTCTTTACATTTCCTTCGGACTCATAATATTTTTAAATTTCTTTTGTGACCTTATCTATGAGTTTTTTTTTTTTTTGTTATTTAGTTACCTAAATGGGTTATTTTCAGTGTGGTATTTAACTTCCTAATATTTGGGGATATATATATATGTTTCTGTTATTAATTTCTAGTTTTATTCTGTTATATTGAGTGACTATATTTTCCATTATTCCAATTTTCTCATCTGTTAATGCTTGTTTTATCACCCAGAATATGGTTCATTTTGGTGGATATCCCATGTGCCTTTGAAAACAATGGATATTCTGTTGATGTTCATACAGTGTAACTTTCAATTTGATCAAGTTCATTGATGGTGTTTGTTGTTCAGCTCTTCCAGATGATTAATGATTTTCTTCTATTTGACCTGTCAACTATAGAAAAAGACATATTTTTCATATCCAACTAGAATCATCTATTTGTCAGTTTTTACATTCAGCTACATATATTGTGCTGAATGCATTCTGAAGCTCTTTGTTATGTAAATATGCATTTAAGATTGTTACATTTTCTTTATCATTGTTCAGTTTCTTCTCTATTCCTAATAATATACAGTGCAACAAAGTCTAATTTTTAAATAAACTTTTAAAATTTTATTGCAGTTTTTAGGTACACAGAAAAAAATGTCATGGATAGTACAGAGATTCTGTATACCCCACGCCCAGTTTTACCTATCATTAACATCTTACACTAATATGGGAATGAGCCACTTTTAACACATTATTATTAATTAAAGTATATATTTTATTCAGATTTCCTTTGTCATTACCTAACATCGTTTTACTGTTGCAGGCTTTCTTCCGGAACCCATTTAGTTGTCATGTCTCCTAACTTAGACTCTTCCTGGCCATGACAATTTCTCAGACTTTTTTTTTTTTATTTTTTTTTATCAACTTGACAGTTTTGAGAAGTACGAATCACGTATTTTGCAGAATGCCACTGAGAATTTAACTTATTTCATTATTAGATTCGAGTGATGGGCTTTGGGGAGTAACACTGCCATTCCCATCACTTTCTATTAAGGAAACATAGTATCAACATCACTTATCACCATTTTATCTGTAGAATATACTTTCTAAAATTTCAGTTCTTTTCATCTGCCTATGGTCATTGGAAAAAAGTCACTATGAGCAACTCACACTTAAGGAGTGAGCAGTATTGCCCTACCTTCTTGAGAGAGGAGTAAGAGGGGTGTCTACATTAAGTATTTAACATTTTTCTGCATAGGAGATTTGTCTACTCTCCAAAATTTATTTTAGTCATTCATCTGCTGTTTCTTAGAGTGCGGAATGATAGATATCTATTTTATACATAGGTTTATAATCTAATACTCTTTTATTTATTTAGTTGCTCTTTTTTTAGGATATGACCATTGCGAATACTTTCAGCAGGCTCCCATATTCCTTTAACCAGCAGTTTCCAACTTTCTTGGCACTGTCTTCCACCAGTTTTGTGGAGAACAATTTTTTTCCATGGATTGGTGGGGTTTGGGGAGTGGTTTTGGGATGATTTGAGCACATTACGTTCATTGTGCACTGTATTTCTATTATTATTACACTGTAATGTGTAATAAAATAATAATACAGCTCAGCATAATGTAGAATCAGTGGGAGCCCTGAGCTTGTTTTCCTGCAACTAGATGGTCCCATCTGGAGGTGATGGGAGACAGTGACAGATCATCAGGCATTAGATTCTCATAAGGAGCACACAGCCTAGATCTCACGCGTGTGCAGTTCACAATAGGGTTTGTGTTCCTATGGGAATCCGATGCCACCACTGATCTGACAGAAGGCAGAGCTCAGGCAATAATGTGAGCTGTGGGGATCGGCTGTAAATACAGATGATTCATTGCTCATTCACCTTCCAATCACCTCCAGCTGTGCAGCCCGGTTCCTAACAGGCCACAGACTGTTACCGGGGTTGGGGACCCCTCCCTTTAACATACACCCATCAGTGTGTGTGTGTGTGTGTGTGCGCGCGCACGCATGCACACATACTCACTTTCTGTCACTACAGATAGTCCAGGCTCATCTTGTGTATTTCCTGTCCTAGAATCAGCCATTTCTTCAAGGAGCTCTAGTTCCTTTTATTGGAGAAAGATATTAAAAACCAAGATCTGGGTCTTATGTGTGCTCATTGCCACTGGGATGTTGTTACTTCTAGGGCATCTCAGCAGAGCAAGATAATATATGCATGCATACTAACCCATGAATACCATGTATACACATAATCTGTAAGTATTTTTATATACGGAAGTCTACTTTTAATAAAGCCATTACATAAAGCCTCCTGAGCTTTGTTTCATTAGTTTTTTAATGAAATATTTTCCATTCTACTTTTAATTCTCCATGTTCTGATATTTAAAACTGGTGCCTTCCTTGACTTACTTAGATTTCACATAAAGTGAAGTGGTACAATATTTGTCTTTTAGTGTCTGGCTTATTTTACTTAGGATAATGTCCTCCAGCTTCATTCACGTTGTTGAAAATGGCAGAATTTTCATTCTTTTTAGGCTGAATAATATGTGTGTGTGTCCACACTAAAGAATTTCCATTCTTTTTAGACTGAATAATAATTCAGTGTGTGTGGACACACACACACACACATACACACAAATATTATTTCATTATCCATTCATCTGTAGAAGGACATGTAATTTCTTTATCTTGGCTATTGTGAATAATGCTACAATGTACATGGGAGTGCAGATTTCTCTTTGAGAGAGTAATTTTATTTCCTTGGAATATATACCTAGAAGTGGTAATCATTTCACAATGCGTATGTATATCAAAACATATTGTACAACTTTCATATATATATAATACTTTTATTTTGTGTTTTGTCAGTATATCTAAATAAAACAGTAAATTGATTTCTTATAAATAGCATAGAGTTTGGCACCACTTTTCCACCCAGATGACAACTGTCATTTACATTATTGCAATTTTTTTATAATTAGATTAAATTCTACTATTTTTCTAGCTATTTTAAATTTGTTACATTTATTTTTTATTTCTGTCCTATTTTTCTGCCTTTTTTGGAATGAGGATTTTTTTATCATTTCATTTTATTGCCACTTTTAGCTTATTATTTATAACTTTAAAAGATAACTGGCTGTCCTAGGGTCTATTATATAGTTTTTAATTAATTGCATTTATTCTGCTTTGTATTCTCTGAGCTTCTCGGACTTGTTTTGTAATTGTCTTTTTTAATTTTTGGAAAATCCTTAGGCGTTATCTCTTCCTACATTTCATTTCCTCCTGAGATTCCAATTCCACCTATCCTAGATCATTTGATACCGTCTCACAGCTCTTGAATACTTTGCCTGTTTATTTATTTGTTTCTTTCTCTCTCTTCATACTCTGTTTCCTTTGTGTTTCAGCTTGGATGATTTTTTCTTATTAATCTTCAAGTTCATTGATTCTTTCCTCATATGTGTCACGTCCAATGGTGAGCATGTCAAAATCATTCTGTTACAATGGTTTTAATTCCCAACATTTTCATTTTTCTTTTATAATTTTAATGCCTTTGACAAGATTATCAATATTATCAGTCATGTTTTCTGCTTTTTATTCTAGAGGATTTCACATATTAGTCATATTTATTTTATATTTTCTTTGTGATAGGTTCGACGTTACCATCATGACGGTCTGATTATATTAATTGTTGGTTCTTTGACAGTATACTACTTTTACTTGCTTTTGTGTGTGTGTGTTGTAATTGTTGTTAAAGACAGATCTCTTGTATAGCATAGATTGAAGCAAATAATGTCTGTGCCTAGAAATTGACATCTCGTTTTCTCCAGGCCTTTGACATGGAGTTGAGCCAGTCTAGTGAGGACTTGAGTTGCTTTTCCTTTCTGTTATTGCTGTGGTTACTCTCAGTGTACTATAGGCTTCCGCTTCCTCTGGGATTACCCTGTGCTTAGGGTAGGGCCATTTCTGCCAGAAGGTTTTTCTCAAAACCTGCTCCACCCTCGGTTTTAGGTCTTTGCACCTTGCAGCTCTGAGATGGTCTCCTTGTGCTCCTGGCCCTCCACCCGCAGCAGCAGGAGTCCACTGTTAGCGCTCCACACTCCATAGTGTGGTTAATAGGGGCTGTTCCGTATTTTCCTGTCTCAGCTTCGCTCTTATGCAGGAGCCGTGTACCCAACTCGTGGTTTTGCCTCTCTGCGTCCTGTTTTTCTCGGGTCCAGGAGACTTCTCTTGGGTACCCAACTCATGGTTTTGCCTCTCTGTGTCCTGTTTTTCTCACGTTCAGGAGACGTCTCCTGGCTTAGGACCAGGATCTCTTCCTACCTCTCTTCCAGGGGTTGAGCATTTTCATCTGCTCTCATCATATATGTCTCCATAATTTTTCTACACGTGATTTCAAATATCTTTTAAAAGCTTCAAAATAGGCTTAGAGGAAAATAGGAAAAAAAAAACCTTAGAAATAACGTTTGTTCACTTCAAAGTTTTTACTGATCACTAATATTTACGATTTTGAGGCTGAAAAATTAAATAATACCCTCTATAGTGTTTTCAGTTGGGACTCTATTCATATACTTATTTAAAATTAATAAGCTCATGATGCAGAATATCACAAAACACCAGTGAGCTATAGTGAACACAGTAGCTATTTCTCCTAACAGTTGAACTTGCTAGCTAACACCACAGATATAAAGATACTAAGACCTCCTTCCATTCCAAATGACTTGTATGAATTGTCCACATAATCTCTCAGAGTATCTCTTATACTTGAGTACTTCATGAGAAGTATTGCATCAAATAAATTTTGCATCAAACAAATTGCATCAAATACATTTCGTGCAATTTTATACATTTTTAATTCTGGGACTGAACATAAAACATTGACAAAATGACATGATCTCCCAGAACTGGACAGCTGTTGAACTGGTGCCTTACAGAGGATGGGCATTTGATTATTCTGTCATCAGCTTTTATTATTTCCAATAGTAGCAAAACTATCTTGTCTTCTCTCATTCTGTGGCCGTTGTGGAAATAACATTGAAAAGATGAGAATTATTATGTGTAATCAGATTGGTAGAATTGTAACATGCCCTAAATAATTCTATCTACCTAAAATATTCAATATCAAACTGCTATATGTAATAAAGCATCTTGAACCACAGCCTTCTCCCCAAAGACCCACAATCAAATAATTTCTCAACACACCAGAACCTAAGCAATCATTCAGCAGACCACATTCTCACAGTTACTCGCCTTTCCAAGGCTCCATTGCTTCATTACCCAGCTTCGATTCTAAAATTCGTCATCACAATCTCCTTGCATTGCTCTTCCTGCTCATCTTTTTAGAACCCCAGCCTCAGGTAAGTCCCAGTCTCTGTGCACCCTCTGCCATCCTCATGTGGCTGAGTGATTGAGAGAAGCATGGCCGAGAAGTCTGGCCCCACTGTATTTGCCTCTAACTTAAGTGAACCGTTAGGGCCACCACCAGTTGTCACAGAATTTTTCTAATGCATTCTCTTTCCCGCTCTCCTAGATATCTAAGTCAAAGCTTTCCCTTTCTTCTCAAATATTCAACACCGTGTTCTCATTCTCATGCTCAACTGATGACTTTGTCTCCTATAGCCCTGGGGAAATACAGCTAAGCAGGAGGGCAGCCCCACACAGGCAGCTCCACACAGCCAGCCTATAGCCCCTGGCCCCTCACACTCTTCTGAACACTTTCCTTCTCTCCTCTCCCTGTGGATGGTTGCCCCCAGGGCCATCTCTTGCATTTGCCTGTTAGATCCCATTCTTCTCTCCTACTCAATGTTGTCATTTCAGCAATTCTGCTCTTTTTCCTTTATCAACTTTTCTCTCCAAAGCACGCAAACATGCATTTATAACTCACATCCAAACAAACCAAAGCAAGAACAAAGGCAGCCTCTTCCACCCACTTCTATCTCCTTAGCAGCCAGATTCCATGATTGAGTGTTCTCTGGCCAGTCTTCCGTCCTCTCTTCTCCTTTGCTTAAATCTGTTCCAGTTGTGGTTTCCTCTCAACCATCCCATCACAACAGCTCTCTTCAAGACACCTCTAAATTCCTGGCTGTTCTTTTTTCATTTACTTTCATGGTTTGTCTCATATTCCCAACAATGAAAGCTAGACTATCTTGTCTTTTAATTTTTTCCTCATTTTTATTTAGACTAACTCTCATGGAGATCTCTTCAATTCGTCTCTTCAATTCGTCTCTTTGAATATCCATAGGCTGACAAAATATAAATTAACATCTGCATTCCAGACATCTCCCCTTAATTCCAGACTCATGCCTTCTGAACGTTTTACTTGGATGTCTGATATATGTCGGAAATTGCAGAATTTAATCTTGGACATATTGATTTTCTTTCCACTAATAAACAACAACTACCCTCCCCTTAAAAAAAACAACAAACAGAAAACTAACCAACCAACAACCAAGCAAACAAAAAAGAGATATGTTTCTTCCATATCTCAGTAATTGGTGCCATTCTCTTGCAGCTGCTCAGCCTACGAGTCCCGAAATTGTAGCCAGCTCATTTGTGTCTGTCACCTCCCGCATTCAATCTATCAGTAAATGCCTTTGTCTGTCCTCACACTTTTCACCGTTTCTGCTGTGTCTACTACTCACCTCTCAGGTGCATCTCGGTTCTGGATTTAACTCTTCACTGATCTCTCCGTGCTTCTGCCCTGTTCCTGTAAGTCTGCCATCAACACTACACACAGAGATTCCTTTAAAATGAATATCAGGGCTGGGCGCGGTGGCTCACGCCTGTAACCCCAGCATTTTGGGAGGCCGAGGCAGGTGGATCACGAGGTCAGGAGTTAGAGACCAGCCTAGACAACGTGGTGAAACTCCATCTCTGCTAAAAATACAAAAAAAAAAAAAAAAAAGAAAGAAAGAAAGAAAAAGAAAAGAAAAAAATTAGCCAGGTATGGTGGCGTGCACCTGTAATCGTGTAATCCCAGCTACTCTGGAGGCTGAGGCAGGAGAATTGCTTAAACCCGGGAGGCGGACGTTGCAGGGAGCCAAGACCGTGCCACTGCACTCCAGCCTAGGAGACAGAGCAAGACTCCGTCTCGGGGGGCAAAAAACACATATTGGATCACGTCAGCTCTGTGCAGGGTCGTCCTATGGCTTCACTCACAGTAAAAGCAAAAGGCCTGACATGGCCCGGAAGTCTCCATTCTATGCGCCCATCCGAAACACGTGCTCCGCCCCTTCCCGCCTCTCCTCGCCTCTCCTCTTTCACTTTGTTATCGTCCTGCTCTACTTCAGCCTGAGCCGCGCCTTCTATGCAGGTCCTTACAAATCTCAAGCTCTCTCCCAGCTGAGGACTTTTCATCTGTTGTCCCCTCTGCCTAAAACGACCCTCTCCCGCACATCTTGCTTGCTTCTTTTCAGATGACTTTAATACGTTGCATTATTTGAGACCCCTTTTCTTACCCTCCTTCACAGAGTAACACTCCACTGACACAGAGGTACTCTACATTCCCCCTCTTTATTTTCTAGAAACTTACTTGTTTCTTGTCCATCTTCCAGGAAGTAGCATGCAAGCTCTGTCAAGTCAGGTACTTTATCTGTTCCGTTCACTAGTGCCCTATGCCTTGAAAAGTGCCCGGTACATAGTAGAAAAGCCACAAATATTAGTAAACAAAAAACGCTTTAGTGTTTTTTAATTTAAATATGTAGCCTTTGTTGTAATCTTAATAAACCTATGATTGAACAATCTATCAAAATGTATTCAATTAGCGGTGTTGAGTCTGTGTTCATTTTTTTTTTTTGGAACTGGTAATTAAATTGTCTTTCAAAGGGCTAATCATTTTCACATTTTAATGTCCAAAGGTGGCTGGTTATTCTTCAAATACATATTAAAATAGTGTTTACCATCTCAGGTGGACCGATATATTCAAACACATTCAGCTGAATAGAAAAGCGCTTTTAATTATATGCTAGTATATTATCTTCATTAACTTGATCAATTGGCCTTAGAACTTTTCTCATTTATTTCTTTAGAAATCATATTTGAGGGTCTTTCATGTGCTAAGCACTGTTCTAATCCTGGAAGAAGTTACCAGCAACAGTGTAAAACATTACTTCCTTGAGGAGTTCAGAGCCTAAGTAAAGAAGGAACTTGTGAATATGACTGTATATCACTCTCTGTGATACCTAGAACAATGGAGGGGGAGGCAATGCTGAAGCATGAGAAGGTATCTTAGAAAATAAAGGAAGTCTTCGCTGCCCAGAAACTGGGTTCAAAAAAGGCAGCACCTTTGCTAGCATGGAGTATATGGAAGGATGCTTAGAAGGTGGGAACAGCATGTGCAAAGTGCATGGAGTGAGTAGTTTGGTGTGAATGTAGGTCAGGCTGAGAAGGGTGAGGTGTAAAGTAAACTCAAACAGCTTGGAGAAAATAAATGGCATAAACTTAGGGATTGGGTTTGCTTTTTCCTCCCTTAGAATTTAGTATGCACGTAATGAATAATTGTTAACTAAATCAATAACTGGCAGAGGTTTTCACCTCTATCTGAATACATGCAGAGTGAAGCATGTAGTCACATAAAAGATGAATGATTGTCAAAAAGTTGTGTGAGTTTGAGTCCTTGGGTGGGGGAGGTAAATACAAGAAATAAATTTGTGATTTTTATTTTTTAATGTAAAAATAAAATTTAAAGATAACATATAGGAACAAAATTTAAATAAAAAGCAGATTATTTCTTAAATCAAAATTAGAAGTATAAATACTGTAAGAATGAAGACCATAAATTGAAAATGTGTACATTTCAGTGGTGAGACTAATTTTCATATATTGTAGAAAAGCCATTGTCATAGCATACAAGGAAAATAATAGGTCTACCAAAAGAGATCTGGAAAGGGGGTGTGTTTGGTTTTTGTGTAACAAAGCAAAGCCACGCTGTGTGAAACTGACAAATTATGAAAGGGAAGAATCAACTCATATTTAGTTGTTGAAGGTGCACTTTATAGTTAGAAATTATTGAAGAAACTATTTTGTTGCTATGCAATCCCACAAGTCTAGTTAGATCAGGACAGTTGCCTGCTTTAACACTCAGTCAAGTCCGCCTTTATTCATGGGCCTCCATTTTATTCCTTCCAACTTCCAAGACCAATACACATTTGTACATTACCTTTTTATTTCCTTCTTTCTATACCTTGATCTATATTTTTATATCTTGATCATATCACAATTCATCCTTTTTATTTCCTTCTTTCTATATCTTGATCTTTTTATATCTTGATCATATCACAATTCATCCTTTTTATTTCCTTCTTTCTATATCTTGATCTTTTTATATCTTGATCATATCACAATTCATCCTTTTTATTTCCTTCTTTCTATATCTTGATCTATCTTTTTATATCTTGATCATATCACAATTCATCCTTTTTATTTCCTTCTTTTTATATCTTGATCATATCATAATTCATCCTTTTTATTTCCTTCTTTCTATATCTTGATCATATCACAATCCATCCCCCAATTTTGTATTTTCTCTTTGTTTTTTCTCATCTGTGATTTCACTCCCAAAGCTGCTCAAATGTATTCCCTTCCTCCACTGCTTACACCCACGATGCCCATCGGAACGCTTATTCTACTCCAGCATCAACCCAAGTCGCTGCCTTTCTGCCAAACAGAAGCACAACTTTCCTGTCTGTCACTTGGACTTAAAAGCTCTGTATTATGCTTATTCCTCACTTTTATTCACCCCATCTAAACGGTTATTATAACTTGGAGACAGAGGCGGGCAGATTGCTTGAGTCCAAGAGCTCGAGACCGGCCCGGGCAATATGGTGAAACCCCCATCTCTAGAAAAAATGAAAAAATGTGCTGGACATGGTGGCATGTGCCTGTAGTCCCAGCTAGTTGGGTGACTAATGTGGGAGGATCACCTGAGCCCAGGAGGTCAAGGCTGCAGTGAGCCGTGAATGCACCCCTGCCCTCCAGCCTGAGTGACAGGGTGAAGGCTCGTCTCAAATAAACAAACAAACAAACAAACAAACAATGCTAAATTTGCTCACTCTTGCTCCAAACGTCTCCCTAATATGTCATCTCATTACCTTCAATATTTCACAATTGACCAGTGGGCATGCCCTCTGCTGTTCTGTCCCCAGCCATTTTCCTGGGTTCCCAGTGTGAATCTGCTCTAATAAGCTGCACCTGATGACATAAAGTTACCCTAGTGAAATCCAGATTCAATTAATAGCACAGTATTCATAACAAGGCTAGCATTTAGTGAACACCTGCTCCACTTGTAGACACCCAACAACACTTGCTCAAGTTGTGTCTTGCTCAAGTTCACACTTTCTAAATGTGAGAGCAGGCCCCTAACCAAGCTTCACAGACACCTTTGCAACACAGCCTAAGTGATGATCACCAAACACATTCAGTGATCCTTGGATGTGGCTCTGATTGTTTTATTCTCTCCCCTATGCATCTATTTCTGTCAAATTTTCATCAGATTGCTACCTCTTTTGTGTTCTTTCTATGGATCCTAAAGCTGAATCTGTGTTCCCTCATTTAGAGTCATGTAGAAATTTGCATTTCTGTATTAAAATTCAGCATGCTCTATAATGTACTAGAGTCATTTAAATACATACTTTTGGCACTTCAAAAACACTTAACGCAATATTTTGCAAGCTTTGAGAGGACAGTATTTGGTTAAAGCATCTGCCCTAAGGCAGATGTCCTGGCCTTCAATATTTGCTCTGCCACTTACTGTATCAATTTCCTTAAATAAATTACTTAACCTCTCTGTGTTTTATTTTTCTCAGTCGTAAAATGAAAATGATAATAAGACCTATCTCCTAGGATTGCGTGGCTACAACAAGTGAATACCCATACATTTGAAATAGTGCTTGAAACACAGTTAGCCCTCAGTAAATTGAACTACTCTATTTGAGGTTCATGTCTAGAGTGTAGCACATTGCCCTTCATAGAGGTCAGCTCAGTATTTGTTGGATGATTGTAGGTGAAAATTGGAAAACAGATTCTCACCATCACTTTCACTGTGTCAAAACAGGATTTGTAACTGCATGTTATATTGAAGAAATACTTTTCTCTGCATTTATCTGTTTACTTATTCCACAGGCGTCATTTATCTGTTGGATAATTCAAGATTTCAAGATGAAAGTCACACTGCCCTCCAGGAGCTTCCACTCTAGCAGAGGGTGGGAGATAGACCAGCAGTTACAGTGCAGTGTGCTGAGGACTGAGACAACAATCATGGCTACAAGGATCACAACCAGCTCTGCCACTTGCCCTGTCGGTTCATCATTTGCAACTGTACCCAGTGCTTCCAGCTTGGGCCTCTGCATCTGCCAGCCTAGGGGGTTGGGATCTTTTTAATTCATGGACAGTGTTAGGTCTGGTAAGAGTGGACCCTCCCTTCCAAGAATTCTGCTTCAACACAAAGTTTAGAAATAAGGCTGCCAAAAAAAACAGATCTTTCCCTAACACAGAAATCAGAAGTTTAACCTAAGAAAACAGTGATAAGAACTCATAATTCTCTTAATAATGAATATACCACTATTGAGGCATGCAGTTTACTGATTTAGAACAGGTGCCTGGAACAGACTAGAAGAACTTGAAATGAGAAAGTCTTGATTAAACCCTGAAAGTGTGCATGGATTTCTTACACACAAAGAAGGCATCAGGGCACTGTTTCTAGGTCTGGGGAGAATAAAAGTGGCCTATTTTTCACCAGTGTTAATTGAGTGTTCACTATAGTGCTTAGTAAGTACTAGGTACATCATACTAGGTCCATCAATTCCATAAATCTGAATGAATACATTATCTAAGTTAATACTTGCATCTCAGCAACATGAAATTATTATGGTTCCCATTTTTTCAATAGAAAAAATGAGTCGAGAGGTTTAAAAACAGCTAGCAAATGATGGAACTGGCTTTTAGTCACCAGAATGATTCCAATTCTCTGCTTTTAACTGTTGTTCTGACCTGTCTTTGATGGAAGTGGAAGTTCACAGAGACCCCCGCAGGAGGGCAGGGGTGGGGAAACAGAGCAAATCTTCCAGGCCTGGGATGCAGGTGGGCTGGGAAATCCTTCCCTGCAGAGGTGACTATGACCCTGAGCCCTGGGGATACAGGGGGGTGGGATCTGGTGGAGGCTTTGTTACGCCTGGTAGTAGAACTGGAGGTGTGTACGTGCACAGCCTTTTCTGAAAAGTGAAAAATTAATGAAACAGTGAAAATTAATGCAACAGTGAAAAATTAATGAAACAAGGGCTCTTGTGAATGAGGCACATTGATATGAAAACCTATTCATTGCCCATGTGTGTACATGCACAGCCTTTTCTGAAAGTGCCAGTGTTCAGAAGGCAGGTGTGTGTGTGTGTTCGTACAAGTATGAGTGTGTGGGGCATCTGCGTGTGCACCCACGATCAGGCAGCATGATGAGTGATGAGGCTACAGAGACAGTTCAGGGCCACAGACTTAGCTTATTTTTGAGGCAAGAAGTGTGGATCTTATTTTGAATTCTACAGAGAGCCAGTAAAGTAATTTAGAAAGGGAAGGGACATCGTTTATGTGTTGGAAAATTAGCTCTGATTTCTTTGTGAATGATGGGGTAAAATAGACATGCTGGAGGCTTTTCCAGTGTGAAATATAATTCCTAGTGTTCTTAGTTCTGTAAACTGAAATATTTCTATTTAAAATTGTTGATTAAGCTTGCTTCTCAAAACTAAAAACAAAACATATCAAAATCAAACCTGCTTGCCCTACACTAGTTTTTTTAAATGAATAAGAATTGTATGTGAGTTTCCTGGGGCTGCAATAACAGATGACCACAAACTGGGAGGCTGAAAACAACAAAAGTTTATTCCTCCACTGTTTGGAATCCAAGTGTTGATGAGACTCTGCTCCCACTGAAGGCCCTAGAGAAGAATCCTTCTGGCTTTGTCCACCTTCTGGCGGCTTCATAACCCTTGCTGTGCTTGGGCTAGTAGGTACATTGCTCCAGTTTCTGCCTCAGTAGTTACATAGTGTTCTTCCCTTTTTGTGTGTCTGTCTCCGTGTGGCTTTCTTCAAGGGCACCAGTCATTGGAGTTAAGGCTCAACCTAATCCAGTATGACCTCATCTCAACTAATTACATCTGCAAAGACTCTGTTCCCAAATAAGATTACATTCTGAGGTTCTGGTGGACATGAATTTTGGGGGTAGATATTAACCTACTGCAAATATTAAATCTCATTCATAAAACTGAGGTGAAAAATATTGAGTCAAATAAATGAATGCTTTAAGTAGACAGTAAAAAGCAAAAATAATCAAATTAATAATAGTCTGGGAATTTTTCATCCTTGGGATGTTTCACTCCAAGTTGGTGGTGGTGGTGGTGGTGGGTGGGGGAGGGGGGTTGTGTGTGTATATGAGTTTGTGTGTGTGTGTGTGTGCACATTTCTTTTCAACATCCAAGGATGTTTCTGATTCCAGAGTTGTGGTTTATGTCATAATATGTTGCTGTAATTCACAGAGTAGGTATTCACAGCCAAATTTTCTCAGGTTTGTGAACACAATTTTTCACAGCTACATTTTATGTCTTTTCATCATAGCCTCATGAAGTGCAGCTGCAATTACCAAGTGAATTTTTACGGAAGCCACATTTGAGTATGAAATGTGTATATGATCTTATATCATCTTGTCTGGAAAACACAGGAGAAATAGTTGTGCAAAAAGGATATGACCAACACGAGAGTCTAAAGCTCTGAAAAAAAAAGTGCCTTACAGGATAGATGATGAATATTCAGGAAGCCGTAACTCTCAGTTAGGGAGTTGTTTCACTTTTAAGAGGCAACAGTGAAAAATTAATGAAACAAGGGCTCTTGTGAATGAGGCTCATTGATACGAAAACCTATTCATTGTCCAAGCATTGAGTAACAGATGTAATAGGATTTGGGTAGGCACTGGGGTACAGTGAGGAAGGAAGCGTGCACTGAGCTCTGGCCCATTATGGCCGTCTCTCCAGACGTCTCTCAAGAGCAGATTAATGTTTCTTTTTGAATCCCATGTTTGTTAGTGTCTAGAATTGGTGCAAAAGTCCTGCTTGCTTCCCACTCTGCCTTTTAATCACTTTTTCTTCCTACTTCAAAAACTCTTCCTCCCTTGAAGCTACTGTTCTTTGGGTGACACCAGTCATGCAGGTGTTCCCCAATCTCTGACTGTCTCCCTTTCTCACTGATTAGCTCTGATTTCCTTGTGAAATCTTTCCTTTCTCTTTGGACACTGCAGTGCGTAGCCAATGGCATGTCTTTCTGACTGGACTCCTGTCATGTTTCCAGGTGGTTTCATGAGCTGTGTGGATGACACAGTTAACATCCCAGTCCCTTCATCTTCCAAACTCCTCTTCTCCAGTGACCATAGTTTATTCGTGTGTACACCTTGTCACCCCCTACATCTTGCCACTCTCAAATCAACCACCATCAAAATCTAACGCCACCTCCCATCCTTTCAGCTCATAGTTCTTACAGTGTTATTTGCACATCACACAAAGAGCTTTATCTAAGATTTATTTATCATAGTGAAATATTTGAAATGGTTCAGTAAATCATGAAATATCCATTTGGAACATTAAAATCTATTATGTGAAATTTGTAGTGATACAAAGGTGTGAATAGCAATACAATGTTACACTGTAAAATGATAGAAATCAGAATTGTATGCTGATGATGACTAATGAGTTTGCAGAAGAAAATCATGAAAAGGAAGTGTTGCAAAATATTGATAGTGGTTTTTTTTTCTTTTTTTGAGATGAAGTCTTGCTCTGTCACCCAGGCTAGGGTGCAGTGGCACAATCTAGGCTTTTGTTGTATCTGATTTTTAGAGTACTTTATTCTATGTGAATTGGAGTAATTATATAGTAGAATAAATAAAAATATTTGAATTCAACAACTATTTATTTGGGGATTATTATATCTGTGCTCTCTGCGACTGCTGGAATTATAGAGAATTTTAAGTCACTTTTCTATGAAGTTCTCAGATAGAAAGATGGAAATATTATATAAGTTAAAATTATTTTATATTATAAGACAAATTCAATTTCTCCTTGTTTTAAAGCATTAGCTCTTTTTAAGAAAGAGTAACTTTTGGAAAGCTGACATACACACCCACCTGTGTTTGCATGCATGTCATATGTATGCATATATATATGTATGCATGCAGTGTGTCTGGATATATGTATGCATGTCTGTCTGTGTGTATTTTTCGCCATAATCAAAATTTGATTATTTAGTGAATAAAGTGGAATGGCTTAAACTCTCTTTCAAAATGCATGGATGTGATGTGGAATTGGGTACATGCCTTGAAGCTGAGACTGGCCACCTGATCTGGTCCCAATTTATTTGTGAAGAGCATTCATTGTAAATAGTGCCATTAACAAAGAAAATGCTCAGCAGATGTTTCCTGTTTGTGTAGCTGTTCCCTGACGATTACATGTCCAAATCCATCAAGCATCATACACAGCATCTGTAAGCTGGGGAGTGGGGGCTGACTTAGATTCTTCCTGGAGCCAGTAGAATCAGTTTCCTCCACTGTGTGGGGAAATTTGGAGGGGGCCTCAGAATGCCTTAACTGTGTTCATTCCATAAGTCAAAAGCAAACAAATATTCTCACTTTAGGAACACTTTATAATGTTTATTGTGTGTTTATATTCATGCCCAAATAATAACCAGTCCTTTGAGGGAAGTTCACTGTATTTTTGAACACTCATGTCAATAAATTGTGTAAGTATCTCAGTTCAGATAGTGATTTGGGCTATGATGTGAATAGTAACCACAGTAAGAAAGTGAAGACAGACGAAAAGGTATGGAAATGGAATCTATGAGAAAAAAATAGAACCAAGAGAAGCCTGAAATTCATAATTTATTCTTTTCTAACCAGAAATATTAGTTACCTAGTTCCAATTAACTTGCATTTATTGTAAATATCTAAGTGTATCCTTGGGTGTGTGTGTGTGTTTATTGTCCATTCATTTATTCTGTAAACATTCATGGAACACCTTCTCTGCAGGGTTCACTTTTTAGCTGCTAAAGAATCACAGATTAAGGCAAGGCCTGGCTACTTCTGTTTGTTGGGAAGTGAGGAAGCTGGCAGGAGAGAGAGACCTTGAAATACACCTGCCCCACGGCATCTGGGTGCAATGGAGGACAGCAGTGTGCACGCATGCACGTGTGCACACACACAAACACACAATCTAATAAAAAGAAATAAAGGAAAAGAATAATGGTGGCTGCTAGATGAACTGCTTAAAAATATCCTCCCCAGTATGGAGACTCCTTGAAGAACTAAAAGTAGATCTACCATTCGATCCAGCAATCCCACTACTGAGTACCCACACAAAGGAAAAGAAGTCATTATATGAAAGAGACACAGGCACATGCATGTTTATAGCAGCACAATTCACAATTGCAAAAATATGGAACCAACCTAAGGGCCCATCAATCAACAAGTAGATAAAGAAAATGTTGTGTATATATACGTGTGTATATATATATACACACGTATATATACATATATATACACGTGTATATATATATATACACGTATATATATATATATACGTATATATATATATATACACGTGTATATATATACATACATATATATACGTATATACATATATGTGTATATATGTATATATACGTATATACACGTATATATACGTGTATATATACGTATATACACGTATATATACGTGTATATATACGTGTATATATATACGTGTATATATATACACGTGTATACACGTGTATATATATACGTGTATATATATACGTGTATATATATACGTGTATATATATACGTGTATATATATAGTGTGTGTATATATATATACACATATACACCATGGAATACTACTCAGCCATTAAACAGAATGAAATAATGACCTTTACAGCAGCTTGGATGCAGCTGGAGGCCATTATTCTAAGTGAAATAACTCAGGAATGGAAAACCTAATATGGTATGTTCTCACTTGTAAGTAGGAGCTAAGCTATGAGGGTGCAAAAGCATAAGAATGATATGATGGACTTTGGGGACTCAGGGAAACGGGATGGAGGGAGGTGAGAGATAAAACATGACATACTGGGTACAGAGTAAACTGCTCAGATGACAAGTGCACCAAAATCTCAGAAATCGCCACTAGAAGAACTTATCCTGTAACCCTAAACCACCTGTCTCCTGTAACCCAAAACCACATCTATTGAAAGAAAATAAAAATATAAATAAGTGTTTTCCCAAGAGAAAGAAAATAAATTTAATATTGAGCTAAAGTGGAGTCCTCAAGGTAGAGAAAGGTGTTCCTGGAGGAGGGACAGCACTGCTCAGGTGGAGAGTCACAGGGGGCGGTGGACTTCTTGGGGAAATGCACACTGGCCGGGGGGGAAGCTGAGGGTGAGAGGCCCTAGGGTGCATTGGCCCAGAGTGGAGCTTCTAGGACCAGGCTGGCTGGGAGGGTGTCTTAGTTCTTCTACAATAATCCCTGTGAGCTGGGGTAATTGACTAAATTTTCCATAGGCAAGATTGCTTTCCTAATAAAAATAGTTATAATAGTATCCACCTCAAAGGCTTGCTGCAAGTCAGCTGAATTAACACATGGAAAACACAAAATCACGCTTGATGCAGTTTAGTTCCCTTTACTGGGACAGGGAACAATGAGAGATGAGAATTCAGGAGGAAGAATGGAGAGAACGAAGTCGTGGAAGACCTAGAATGCCATCCTAATTACGTTGAATGTTCCCGTTTAAGTCATGGAGAATTGTGGATGGATGTTAGGAAGAGGAACAATTTTACGTTTTTGAAAGATAACGGCATCATATTACTTAGACTTGATACAATTTTGATCAGGTAGGTTCTTTTGATTTTCAGCTCACAGCACAGCATTTAAAAGTTGATGAGATTTGTATTGCCATGACTTGATTTGTGATCACCCATGTTAGCTTTCTTGGCATTGTGCTAGATGACCTCCGAGTTACTCCAAATTTAAAGATTCTGTAAGCAGGAGTAATGCAGTTTGGAGAACAAGATAGCAATAGGGTTTCCTCACTGAAATTTCACTCAGTTTCATAATTTTCCTGATGCTTTACATTTTCTGTTTGTTATTATGCTTTGTGGTGGGTGTGACTGCCCTCCTTTTCATAATGGCGGCCTCAGGGAAGTGTGATATTTAAGCACCTGGTTAGGAAGCTAGACTGGGTGCAAATCTAGCTCCACCAGCCAGAAGCTGTGTGATTGTGGGCAGGTTCACAAGCCTCTTGGTGCCTCCTGTCCCCATCTGTGATGTGAGGGTCATAACCATGCCTGTGCCATCTGTGACTGTGAGCATTTCTTGAGTTAACATGCAGTTAGCATGGTTTCTGTGCACAGAGCACCACATCAGCGTCAGCCCTGATTATCATTACTGTGTGGCAACTGTGGCTCAGGGGGTTAAGAACATTGTGATGTTCCCTCAGCCATATGTGCTCATCTAGAACTTGAATTCAGACCCAATTCCAAAGCTCATGCTTCTTCTATCTTTCTGCACTCAAATACATGGAAGGTAGTCATGAAGGCATTGAAATCCTCGGCTTTTCTGCTTCCCAATGACTCGATCAAATAAAAGAGTTAAATTTTGACATGAAGGAGAATTATATAAAGTGTGAAGGTGAACTGTGTAATTGTAGAAATGGTTGTATTCTGTAATGGGATGCTGCACGTTATTTTTACCCTGGTAGTTTGTAAGAGTAAGATAAATATCTGCCTGTGGTTGTTTTAAACGAGGAGAATAAGAAAAATCTAATCTCCTACATTGGGCGAGATGGGTGTAATAGAAGATTGTATCAGATTGATATGTTTAATAGCTGATGGCTATAATTTTCCAGCACAATAAGCTGAAGTAGCCCAGATTTTAATATACATGTTTATATATATATATATAGAGAGAGAGAGAGAGAGAGAGAGAAATATTTTGAATGTAGAGAAACAGACAATGTTTTCTATTGCTGTAGAGGGAAAATTTATTAATTCCCCAAAGCATAATAATACTTTTTTTTTTTGAGATGGAGTCTTGATGTGTTGGCCAGGCTGGAGTGCGGTGGCGCGATCTCGGCTCACTGCAACCTCTGCCTCCTGGATTCAAGCAGTTCTCCTGCCTCAGCCTCTGAAGTAGCTGAGATTACAAGGCAAGCGCCACCACCCCCAGCTAACTGTTTTGTATTTTTAGTAGAGACGAGGTTTCACCACGTGGGCCAGGCTGGTTTTGAACACCTGACCTCAAGTGATCTGCCCACCTCGGTCTCTCAAAGTGCTGTCCACTGCGCCTGGCCAATAATACATTATTTTAAGGTGACAGAGCAAGACCTTGACGCTAAGAAAAAAAAGTGAATAAATAAAAATAATTTTCATGAGAGTAGTAATCAAAATGGTTGAAAGAAAATCTTAAATATCAAAGTACAAAACCAACAATCTTTACTTAGCTTTGCTTTTTCTTGCTCACTTCTTCCACCTCCAGCCCAACACACACACACACAGACATATGCACACACACTCACACATGCATACACCCAAGCATACATATGCATGCATACAACACATTCACACGCTCACACATGCATACACACAAGCATATATATGCATGCATACACACATACACACAGTCATATACACACTTACTGGTCTCAGGAACATGCACAATTGATAAAGAACTCTTAGACTCAAGCCAATAATTGTCACCAGTAAGCTAATTTTTTTTCCCTAATTAAAAGCTTGAAGCTCAGGAGGACCAAAACAAATGCAACAAATGTACTGGGAAGACTAAATGCTCATCAGTGCTTTGCATGTCAAAGGCTCTGAATCTGGCTAAATGAACTTCAGGTTTTTATGAGACAGAGGCAGATGAAGCTGCACATTTACCACAAAGTGAATGTCTTCATTTTGAAAGCTTCAAAGGGGGAATATTAGGTGCTTTAAAAACTTCTTTGTTCTCTTCTAAGAAAATAATTATGGCACAATTTATCCTAATTCAGATTTTAAGCCTTGATTAGAGATGTACAATCTTACCTTCAAATAAAATCTATAATTTTCTGCAGTGCCTGTATTCATTCACTCATTCTTCTTTTTAAATTACAGCAAATTGCTCCAATTTTAGTTTCTTGTTGTGTGCATTTAGGCCACTCAGAAGGCAGCCTGCTCCTTCACCTATGCGCACCGCACAGTCACTGACAGACAATGTCATTTTAATTTAGAGTGGGGAATTCTGTCATTTGGCATGGACGTTTGCCACAAGAATGCCATGTTGCCCTAAAGAAGGAGATGGAAAAGTAGCTGTCTCACGTCAGCTTCCAGCTGTTATTTCTAGATTCCTAGGATTTTCCCTTGGCTTTCTAGAGCTCTTCCTTGTTCTACTCTGCTTTGTATCAGCTTTTTATTCAACAATACTTTCTTTCATTTGATTTCAAATCAATACATGTTTGAGCGCCTATGAAGAGTAGGTCCTGTTTTTTGTGCTTGGAAAGGAGATGACAGATTACAGTGGGCAGATGGACAGAGAAGATGCTACCTGCTTTCATCATGGAACATCCAGGAGGGAGTTGGCGTGTTGAGAGGACGTCTACTCCTGGCCCTGGAATGAGGGTGCTCACCTATTTGTCATAACAAATTCTTGGGCTATAACACTCTCCTTACTGTGCCCATGAGGAAGTGGGCTTAGTAATTGCTGATGAGTGGCAGACCTAGAATCTGAACTCAGAACTTTGAACTCAGAATCCCTGTATATCATCACTGACTACACTGAAGGAAGGCTAACTAATTTAGGAAAGTATTAAAATAGTAATTAGTAGTGGAGGTGAAACTAGACCTAGGCTTTTCTCATTTAAAACTGTACTGAGTTTCTCGTTGTGTTACTTTTCTGCAACAGGCTCAGACGTATACTCAAAAGTTGTTATTTCTTTGTTATTGTAGTTGTCTGTATATAGATGAAAGAATTTATGCATTTCAGAGATGAAAACCTTGTTCAGTTTTACAAGCAGCATGGTCCAATAGATACTTTTTGACCTCACAATGTTGATTACTTTATATATTTTATGTATATATAATTTATTACATATATGATCGATAGGTTTACATAGTTCAAAATTCCTAAAATGTACAATTGTAGATAATAAAGATTCTCTCTACTTCCATATTCGTCTCCTGTGGCCACTCAATTTTTCTTCTTCCCCAAAGAACTCTATTTCAGACACGTCTTGGGTACCCCCTGAGATATATGCATATTTGAAGAAATAAGCATATAAGATTTGCCCACTTTTATTCAAAGAGTAGAATAATATACACATTGTTTTGAGCTAAGCTTATTTCACTTAGGGATAGACCTTGGCCATCATTTAATATTAGGAAAGAAATAGCTTCCTCAGCCTTTCTTTTTGTTGCCTCATCGTTTTCCATTGTGTAGATTTACCATAATATACTCAGTGGGCACATACTGCAGGCATCTAACTCTGACGATCTTTTGCTGTTAGGAAAATGATTCAATAAATGGCATTTCACATATTTTATTTCATATGTGTGCAAATATATTCGTAGGAGAAGTTTCCAAAAGTGCAGTTGCTGGGGTTAATTGTATTTTCATATTGATATAAATTACTAAATTACTCTCTATAGAGGTTATGCCAAGCTGCCTCCCGTGAGCTCAGTGTGGCATTGCAGAACTTTCTCACACCCTAAGAAACACATTACATTAAGCTGCATGTTCTTTATCAGTTTAAGAGATAGAAATGCCATTTCAGTAGTTTTAATATGATTTTCTTTTATTATGACAGTTGAAACAACTCTTTGCATAGTAAAAGCCATTTGGTTTTTCTTTTTGAGCTATTATGTTTTTGTCCGCATTTCTATAATTTGTTGACATTTTTCTTATTAGTTTTTAAAAGTTCCATACATATTAAAGACATTCACTTTTTGGAACTTATCTCCTACTTCTTTTGCAGTTTTGTTGTTTTCCTTTGGCTTTGTTTAATTGCTTACTTAGTAATTGTTCTTTATGAAATGAAGTCTTTCATGGCTTCTAAATTTTGTGTCACACTTAGAAAGACTTGCTAAACCATGCTATTATACCGAAATCCTGCCATGGATTCTTCTAAATATATTTGTAGTTTGAATCTTTTGCCTTTAAATGTTGGATTCATTTGGAATTTATTGTAAGTTGGGGGATAGGAATTTAGTCCATTTATTTTTTCCTAGATTGCTACCTTATTGACATGAAACTTTTATTCTTTCTTAAATAACTTTTCTTAAATAATTCCTTCTTAAATACCTTTTAAAAAGGTAAATTTGAAATTTATATGATTTTCCCCAGTGATTTGCTATGACACCCTTGTCACATCTAAACTCTTTTGTTTGAATGTATTTCTGAAATTTCTACCTTTTTACGTTGATTTGGCCAATTCCAATGCCACTAAAACAGTGATTTATTTATCATAGCTTTACGACATGTTTGATAGCGGATAGCACTATGTCTTAATCTGACCAAACTCTTACAATAAAATACCATAGACTAGGTAGCTTAAATAACAGACATTTATTTCTCATAGTTTTGGAGGCTGGGAGCCCAAGATCAAGGTGCTGGCTGATTTGAATTCTGGTGAGAGCTCTCCTCCTGGCTTAAAGATGGCCACCTTCTCACCTTCCTGCTATGTCCTCATGTGGTAGAGACAGACAGAGAGAGAGAGAGAGAGAGAGAGAGAGAGAGAGAGAATGAGTACACTCCAGTCTCTTCCTTTTTTTTTTTTTTAGTAAGATCACTCATCTCATAATAGGGGCTCTGCTCTTGTGTCTTCATCTAAACCTCATCACCTCCCAAAGTTCTCACCTCCTAATGCTATCCCACTGTGGGGTTAGGGCTTCAACATATGAACTTTGGAGGATACAAACATTCAATTCATAACAGAAAATTTTTAATATGTTTTAAAAGCTTTACTACTTTTTGTTTTTTGTTGTTGTTGTCGTGTTTTTTTTTTTTTTTTTTTTTTTTTGATGTGGAGTCTCGCTTTGTCACCCAGGCTGGAGTGCAGTGATGCGATCTCAGCTCACAGCAACCCCCACCTCCCAGGTTCAAGTGATTTCCCTGCCTCTGCCTCCCCAGCAGCTAGGATTACATGGCCTGGATTTTTTGTTTGTTTGTTTTTGTTTTTTTTTTTAGTAGAGTTGGAGTTTCGCCATGTTGGCCAGGCTAGTCTTGAACTCGTGATATCAGGTGATTCACCTGCCTTGGCCTCCCAAAGTGCTGGTATTACAGGTGTGAGCCACCGCGCCCAGCCAGCTTCATGGCTTTCTGTTTTTCTTTATTTATTCAGCATTACTTTTGTCTTTGCTTATCCCTTTTGTGTGTATTAGCCTACATCTTGAATTGAATGTATATTGAATTAATTTATATTCATTGTAATTTTATAAATGTTTGCTTTTAAGGCTATACATTTTTCATGGGGCATAGTTTTATCTGTCGCCCAGAGATATTAAAATATACAGTGTTTAGTATTATTACATTTCAGCTATTTACAAATTCAGTGGGAATTTCTTTCTGACTTAGGAGTATTTCTCCACACCCAGAGTCAAGTACATTGTTGGCTCTTGTACTGGCCATTAACTATTGGTTTTAATGCTTTGTAATCAGAGCATTTGAGACAGAAACACGTTTTAACTCTTTGGCATGTACTAGGGTGTATATATGTGTGGTGTTTGTGGCTATATTTGTGTCAATTTTTGTGAAAGGTCTATGTTACTTGAAATAAGCATTTTATCTATTTTAGGACACAGGTTTTGATATATCTGTTAGGTTTAACTTTTATTTGGATCTTCCACATTTTTATTGACAAAAAAACTGATATAAATACAAATCTCCATCTTCTAGTGTGTTTCCAGTTCTCTTTTTATCTCCTGTATTTTTGCAGAATAAATATTAATTTTGAATGTATTGTTGCATAAACACTCATAGTGTTATACTCTATCGGGAACTGTAAACTTCACTTAATAAATAAAATATTCTTATTTATGATTTATATAACCTTCTCTTAATAAAGAAAATATTTATTCTTATTTATGATTTATATATTATATATTTTGCATCTGCATTGAAAGCTATTTGACAGTAACATAATCTGCTTCATTTTATTTGAATTTTCCTTATGTTTCCCTATTTTTTATACTTTCAAATATTGATAATTACTTGCTTTGGTAGTATTTAATAAATGCAGAAAATAGTGCAGTTTTGCTTAGTGATATGATCTGGAGTTTGTTTTTTTTTTTTGTATTTTGTAATAGATGCACTTAGCCTGTTAATACTTATTACTCTGGCTAAACATAAATGGTTTTAATTCTGTCATTATTTTATATTGTACTTTCTGCCTTTAAGGATTTAAATAATTTTTTCTCACCTTTGACATTGTCAAGGAATCTAAATTGTTCTCTGTTATGTAACAATAATGTCTGTAATTTATTTTATTCTTATTCCTACAGTTAAATATTCAATATTCAGAGCCATTTTTAACACTTTATTAGTTGAAATCTGTTCTCTAATGGTCCTTGAGAAGAACTAATGGTAACAATAACTCTGTTCTTAAATATTTAAAGTAGTTTGTCACCATTTAATTGAACAAGAATAAAACTGAGTAAAAGTTATGGGACCACACATTATTTTCTTAAGTAATCTTTTCTTGTTTCTACATCATCTTCCAGCATTAAAAATTGTAGATGACAAAATCTGATGTAAGTTTTCCTTTATAAGTGACTTGCTATTTTTCCAGTCTACTTAAAGTAATTTTAATTATTTTCAGCAACTTAATTAGCTTATATTTCAGGATAGGCTGGTTTTGTTCTCTGTGACAGTGGTCTCTAACCTTCTTGGTACCAAGGGCTGGTTTTGTGGAAGACAATTTCTCCATGGCCCAGGAGACAGAGGAGGGGTTGGCTTCAGGGTGACTCAAGTTCATTAAATGCATTGTGTGCTTTATTTCTATTATTATTATACTGTAATTGATATATGATGAAATAATTATACAACTCACTATAATAAAGAATCAGTAGGAGCCCTGAACTTGTTTTCTTGCAATTAGATGATGCCATCTGGGGATAATGGGAGACAGTGACAGATCATCAGGCATTAGATTCTCACAAGGAGCATGCAACCCAGATCCCTCGCATGCGCAGTTCACAATAGGGTTTGTGCTCCTATGAGAATCTAATGCCTCTGCTGATCTGACAGGAGACGGAGCTCAGGCAGTAATGTAAGCAATGGGGAGAAGCTGTAAATACAGATGAATCTTCACTTGCTCGCCCTCCGTTCACCTCTTGTTGCTCACGCACCCTGGTTCTTAACAGGCGACAGACTAGTATCGGTCCATGGCATGGGGACTGGGGATCCCTGCTGTATAAACAACATAGCATTGAGTCTTTCAATAACAGGAATGTTAATTCCCTAACCTCTTCCTGCTTCAGAGACTACACTCATGCATATCTTCTAAAACTTTTTTATTTTCTCTCTAATCTCACACTGCACAAATATAGTTGCAGCAGATCACATAGGGCTATTGAAATTTAATATTAAATTAATTAAAATAAAACATGTAGTTCCTCTGTTGAAATAGCCACTTTTCTTTTTCAGTGCATATATTTAAGGTGTCTAGTGTGATCTTTTGATATACATATTAAAATGGTTACTATGGTCAAGTAAGTTAACATATCCAATATCTAACATAGCCACACTTTGTGTGTGAGGTTCAAGCACCTAAAATCTACTTCTTAGCAAATTTTCAGTATGCAACACAATATTATAACTATTATATAATTTGCAGGTTATACATGGGGTTGCTAGACCTAGTCATCCTAAACAGCTGCAATTCTGTGCCCTTTGACCCACATCTTTCCTTGTGCCTCCCTTCGCTGACTATGGTAGCCACAATTTCATTCGTTTTTACATAATCTACTTTCCTTTTTAGCTTCCACATATAAATGAGATCATGCGGTATTGTTTTTGTTCCATGACTGGCTAACTCTATTTAGCATAATAAAAATTCATCCATGTTGTTGCAAATGGTAGTATTTCGATGATTTATAAAGTTGATTAATACTGATTTTGTGATCAGTAGCTCCATGTGGCTGGAGGGTACCGTGATGGACAGTGGAGCCATGGAACGTTCCATCATCACCGTGCGTTCTGTGGAGATTACTGACAATTCTTTTCAAAGTTTTTTTTTAAAATATATAATCACACTTTATTTCTTCTTGCTTTATTGTGTCTACTCTCCATGTCTATTGTTATATTTTCAACAGAGTGAATTATATATCAGAAGATTTGAACACGTAAGTAAAAAATATTTACTTGAGAATGAGAATAAAATATTCAAAGCAGTTGCAGAGAAAATAACTCTGTTTAGGGGCTCTTGAAGGAAAATGTACATCTGTGATAATGTCTTATTTTTATCTCTCACATTTCTGTCTTTTGTAGAAAGACATGCTCAAGGTTGTCTCAAAGAAAATTATGAAGTGATTTATGTTTGTCCCTGGGGTCCCCAGCTGTTCCTTTTTGTGTGTCTTTCTTCAAATTACACATGGCTCGCCATTTCCCCGTGGCTTCTCCCCCTCTCTTATTTCCTCTTATTATTAGGTTAAGATTTTATATCAGTCATCTACATCTTAGTGTGAGTGAGTGGGAACAATTTTTATTCTAAATTTGTTCTACACATGGAAAATAAATGGCTTTGCTTATTGAGAAATGAGGAAGCGAGGAGGAGGGCGAATATCATTCATGAGGCCAAAGACCCCTCTCACTATGCAACATCAAACATATTAAAACCTCAGTAATAGAACACCATGGGGGATGGTAGTAATAACTTACATTCTGAATGTTCACTCGAGAGTTGAAGAAGAAAAAGGCATCAGTCAAAGCAAGTTTTACTTGGCCTCTACTTATTACATATTCATTATGGGCCAGGCATTGAGTAGAGGTGAAAAGATGACAAAGTGTGTCTCTGTGTTTAAAGAACTCCAAGTCCTCTGGAAAACTAACAATTGACATAAGAATCTGCTCCCTAAGGTTTTTCTTAAACTTTTGATCAGGTTTCAGAAAAGTAGCGCTTAAGCATCTCTTCACGACCATGAAGCTCGAATTCTGGAAGTTTAGGAGGAATTCACAGCCTTTCACTTTTGGCATAGACATCCTGAGAACCTTTCCTATCTTGTTCTAAGCCACCTGAGAGTTGTGAAATTGTAGCATCTTCTATTCTATGATATAGTTTATATGTTAAAACCAATTATTCATACGAGCCTCTCATTTCTTGGAAAATTTAGAACTGAATTTCAAGGAGTTACCAAAATTTCTTGGAGATGGCATGCAGTCTTATGTTCCTGGGAAATAATCAGAGTGTTTAAAACAAGTTCAAAGAGAAGTCATCCTCTCAGTGCTGGTTTTTATAACTCGGCCTGTTCTCCAGCATGGCAGGGAGATGGATGATGTTCAGAATATGGAGGTGAATTATGTATTTCTCCTTGAGTGACTAAATGTTGTGTTTATTGTATTAATGATAATGGCTTATATTTACAGGAAGCAAGTGATAAATGTTTGTGACTCATTTTATATCTACAGTTGTCTCTTGGTCTCCATGGTGGCTTGCTTTCAGGACCCCCCTCTTTAAATACCAAAGTGTGTGGAAGCTCAGGTCCTTTGTATAAAACGGCCCCGTGTTTGCATGTAACACACACACATCCTTCTGTATACTTTAAATCTAGATTGCTTATAATACCTAATATAATGTAAATGTTATGCACCGTTATTATACTATATTGTTTTTATTTGTACTTTTTTTGTTGTGTTTTTACAATATTTTTGATCTCCGGTTGGTTGAATCTACGGAAGAAGAAACTGTGGATACAGAGAGTCAACTCTATCTTTCACCATGCTACAATATATATTGTCTAACTGGTAGGGTCTGAATGTTTGTGTCCCCCAAAACTCCTATGTTGAAATCCTAACTTCCAAGATGATGGTATTAGGCTTTGGGAAGGTGATTAGGTCATGAGGGTGGAGTCCTCATTAATGAGATTAGTGACCCAATAGAAGAGGTCCCAGGCGGCTCTCTTGTCCCTTCAGCCATGCAAGATTACAGGCAGAAGGCAGCCATCAATGAACCAGGAAGAGAGTCCTCAATAGACTTCCTTGTTCATGAACTTCCAGAATTGTGAGGAATACCTATCTGTTGTTTGTAAGCCACCCAGCCTAACTACTTTGCTATAGCAACCTGAATAGACTGGTTCTAACTTTATTTAATAGACAAAGAAACTGATGCTCGAGGAAATCGAAAGACTTATCTAAGGTCACTCAATTTTTATGTAAACCACCTCTCTGGATCCCCAATCCATATCCTTGTATTCATATTCTGTAATATTTGATGTTTCATTGCAGGCTTTCAGGCCTCAAACTTTTCCTGAGTGTCGTTTCTTCAAAAAGAGTCAACACCAGGATAGTAAAATTTCCTCCCACTTCCCCTTCCAGCACATTGTCCATGGTCAAAGATGTCGTGAAAAACAAATTAAAATGAAGTCCAGTCCTACCCCTGCTGTTCTCTGTGTGAACCTGCGTTCATGGCTTCACTTCCTGGAGCGTCCGCCTGCATGTGCAAAGTGAGGGCATTGGTGCTGTGTGCTCTGAGCACGCTGTATGTCAGTAACACTGTGTTACTCCATTCTGCAAGGCCATGTTCTATGAGATGGAATCATCTGTATAAAAGGCTTGTCCCTGTGGGAAGAAGTTCCCAGGCACTAGGAGGAGCTTTCAATGACCTGGATAGCTAGAATCTAAGAGGCCAAGAACAAAGTTGTTTGAGGGCAAGGGTTCAATTGGATACTCCTCTATTCACACCATAAACTCCCCAAAGTGACTTCCGCTCTAAATTCTGTGATGTTTATATCATAATTTTTCATTTGCATTATGTCCCTTGCTAGCATTATTTGAGTGATACTTTTTAAATAAATATAACATATACCTTTGTTTTCCTAGCATCTGTTGTACCTATATAAGTTCAGCAATGTGAGCCTGATTTAACAGAAGCATCAATGCCAACATCAATGCTGATAGAACTTAAGGTTTCTGGTTTGATCAGTATAGTACTTACCCTTAAAGAGATTGTAGTAAAATGGCAGAGACAAACATTGATACAATTTACCATGACACAGGTAGTAAGTGCAATATTAGCAATAGGCACCAAGTGTTTAGGGCACATAAAGGACACACTCCTGAGCCCATCCCATGTCCCAGAGTGTTGCATTATCTGGAAGGCTGACTTTAAGCTCCATTTTTCACATCCACATTCAGTGTATCTTTTTGTTTTCTCTCACCTATTGTCATTGCTTCATACCCCGTTGCCTTCTCTGTGCTCCGCACTGAACACAACACGCCTCCTCCTGCTGCTGGCTATGCTCCTTAGCCATGACAGCCATGACACTCAGATGTGGCTCCAGAGCCTCCCCCTACCAAGTCTGCATCAATGCTCTGAAGCCCCCACTCCCCCGGGAGAGGCAGCTAATCCGAAAATAGGGCTTAAAACACTGTCTCTAGAACCAGCCTCTCTGGCATCCCCACTTACCAGCTCTGCAACAAAGAGCAAGATCATTATCTATGGCTCAGTTTCTTCATCTGTGCTCGTAATGTTTATGTCTTCAAATTAATATGCAGATCAAATGTACTGAATGTGTGCAGCAGTCGGAGCAACACCTGGCACTCAGTGACTACAGTGTACATGCATAGCTCTATACTATCTTTTCTATCAAGAGACAAGTCCAGAAGAAAATACTGGACCCCGAGGAATGCCAATAAGTAAAGAAGAGCAGTGACAAAGGACCCAAAAGATGGCCCAAACAGAGAGGGAATCGTTAAAACAGAGAAGGGAATGAAACATTTTGGGAAGAAGGAAGAAAATGTTTTTACGAAGCTAGCACATACTGCAAAGAGCTCAATAAGGTAAAGACTGATAATAGTTCATTGGTGAAGGTGTAAAGAAGACATCGGTGGTCATGGCAAGAAGAGCTCAGGACATGTGCTGGAAGGAGAAGCCACATTGCTTTCATTTGTGGAGAACCTGGGGTGTAGATTTATCATGTGTGTCTGAAGTTTGAATTGAAAAGGATGGAGAGAAGATGGTTAATAGTGAAAAGAGAATAAATATTCGGGACAAGGATGTTGATGATTAGAGACTGAAGAGAATGAACATGTGGTGTAGCCGAGTTTGAAGAGACAGTAGTATAAAGTATTAGTCTAGTCTTTATTTTGCCTGCTTCTTAAACTGGTCATGATGAAAAGCATCTGGTTTGGACTAAAAATCTGCACATGGGAATTCTAAATCCACACATTCCTAGCAGTCAGATCCAGCGCCCATCAGTTCATTTATCCATATCCTTATTTAAAAAACATTTCTGAGTGCTTACTCTGTGACGGACATTGTTCCATGTAGTAGAGATACATCATGAAACAAAGAGCAGAACAAAGCAAATTTCCCTGGCTATCCCAGGGATTAGTGATATCAAGCTAAGTAAAGTTCCCAAACCAGTAGAATAATCAGACCCATTTTAGAAAGTTTTGTTTCAGTATTGGAAGTGCTTTGATTACATAAGTACCAGGTGCTTCTTTAGACATTTTGTTATCAGAAAAAATAAAGAAGAAAAGAAAATAGAGTTATTTACTTGCCTGCTTCCCTCTCAGGGTGGTTATAAAGGTCACTAAAAAGGGATTTCTTTGTAAATGATAAAAGACTAAGTAATGGTAGAAGGTTTTGTTTTATGATAACAACAACAGTCATGAGAAGAGGGTCATATTCCAACACCTGTTGCTTATTATGCAAAGTAGTATAGTGGAAAGAGGACTGAATTAGAAATTGGAACTACATTTTCAGAATGAGCTCTTCCCATTGAGGCCGCATGGACTTGGTTTTACTGGGTATCTGTCATTGCCTTGTCATCCAGCATCAGGAACTTCTCCTTGTGTTTAAGGGAGTCCCTTCTGCATGGGTGGCAATGAGAGACAGACACTCAGAGAGGAAGAAGGTCACTGGTTCTCCCCTTTCCTCTGCCCTGAGATGGCGCACAGTGTCCCTATTCACTGTAGCAGTGGAAGTACAGCGTCACCGTTCACTGCAGCGGTGGAGGTACAGCGTCACCGTTCACTGCGGGGGTGGAGGTACAGCGTCACCGTTCACTGCGGGGGTGGAGGTACAGCGTCACCGTTCACTGCGGGGGTGGAGGTACAGCGTCACCGTTCACTGCGGGGGTGGAGGTACAGCGTCACCGTTCACTGCGGGGGTGGAGGTACAGCGTCACCGTTCACTGCGGGGGTGGAGGTACAGCGTCACCGTTCACTGCGGGGGTGGAGGTACAGCGTCACCGTTCACTGCGGGGGTGGAGGTACAGCGTCACCGTTCACTGCGGGGGTGGAGGTACAGCGTCACCGTTCACTGCGGCGGTGGAGGTACAGCGTCACCGTTCACTGCGGGGGTGGAGGTACAGCGTCACCGTTCACTGCGGCGGTGGAGGTACAGCGTCACCGTTCACTGCGGCGGTGGAGGTACAGCGTCACCGTTCACTGCGGCGGTGGAGGTACAGCGTCACCGTTCACTGCGGCGGTGGAGGTACAGCGTCACCGTTCACTGCGGCGGTGGAGGTACAGCGTCACCGTTCACTGCGGCGGTGGAGGTACAGCGTCACCGTTCACTGCGGGGGTGGAGGTACAGCGTCACCGTTCACTGCGGGGGTGGAGGTACAGCGTCACCGTTCACTGCGGCGGTGGAGGTACAGCGTCACCGTTCACTGCGGCGGTGGAGGTACAGCGTCACCGTTCACTGCGGCGGTGGAGGTACAGCGTCACCGTTCACTGCGGCGGTGGAGGTACAGTCTCACTGTTCACTGTAGCGGTGGAGGTAGCAGTTCCCTTGAGGTCATGGTCCTGCTACATACGCTCCAGTAGTGCCCACTGTGGGGCAGGAGGTGGGCATCTGCTTCCCGTAGTGGGGCGTGGTTAGGGGTTTGATTCTTAATGCGTAACCTTGACACTGCTGGTTTGGGCCACCTGACAGTTCTGTGATGGACTGATGTCCTTTCAATCAGCTTATCTTCTGCTTAAACCAGCCATAGTTAGTGTCTATTGCAGGATTTTTTTTTTTTAGGAAAGAAAGCAAAATAAACCTTGACTGAACCAGTTGGATAAATTCTCATCCTCTCTGAGCCACATCTTGTAAAGTGGGGATCATAAAAGTAACATCTTTGTCTTGTAGGGATCAAAAGATGCCATTTGACGTATAAACCTTTAATATTCTAAGTGGCTCTGTTAATGGAAGGGAGGTTTTGGGGTTTAGTTTTGTTGGTTTATTTTCTGGGGATATCGTTGCTTCTGTGTTGTGCGAACCCTGTCTTTTCCTTTGTCCTGTTGCTCCTTCCAGCGAGGCTCTGAATCGCAGCTGATGCAGTGCATGGGATGACAACGAGGTCCCGTAAAATGAGGCCTCTGCTCAGCAGCTGCATCAAGTTGCTGAAGTTTCCCAGGAGAAATTCTACGTTTGGCTGCTCATCCAAATCTTGTCTCAATACTCTAAGCTGGGAAAGAAATTAGAAACCTTTGTTGTTGGAATCCCTGGGGGGGCTGGAGGACAGAGGCACAGAAGAGTGTGTGAGAAGGATAAGAAAAGAAAGAGGACAGGAGCCACTGTCCCGTTTACTGAGCACTTACTATATTCCAGGCACTGAGGTGGACATTGCCTACACATGATTTTATTTCATGCTCCACTGGACTGGAAGATCCCAGGAGAAGGGTCTTGACATTTTGCCCATTGTCTCAATCCTAGCAACTAGCCCAAGGTTTGTCAGACAATCAGAGCTCAACTACTTGAATGAGCAAATAATCAATTGAATAAATAAATAAGCAGCATTTTGTGATTGGGATTCCAGTCTCCAAGCTGCAGAGGATTGAAAGACAAAGTAACCCTTCCAAGACCACAAGCTAAAAAGGACTGAGCTGGATTGGAACCAAGGCTGGCCTAACCAGGAAAGTCTGCATTTTTTTGTACTACCCCAACAGTATCAATCCAAAGAGATACAGGAGGAAAATCTCAACGTGAAAGACAAAAAGGAAATAAAGAAGCATCGACTTTAGACCCAAAATAAATGTGCAGATTGAAGGACGTGACTGCAGACAGCACTCTCCTCTGGACATGAGGTGCTAAGTGGAGGGTGAGAGGTGAGTGACACACCAGGGGCCTCCCTCCCTGACCCAGTTCTCTTCCATCGTGGCCCAGCACCACCTGATTTGATTTCTGTGCTGCTCCTCTGCCTTCTTGGGGGACATTTCATTCATTTATGCTTCTCTATCAAAAAGTTTCTCCCAGCATTTGTAGTGTGAGTTTATTTTTCTTCCTTTCTAATAATTCCTGCTTGATTCTTTTATCTCATCTGGGTAGAGGCAAGATGATTGAATAGATATTTAGAGCACTTAATCATTGGCATAATTCAATTAGATGCCCTCTTGAGCTGCTTCAGTACTGTTTACTTTTGCTGTAACTTAGTCTACGCATTCCGGGAGAGTGCACTTCTGACCTGTGTCTCAGACGGAACCCTGTGGGTGCCATCATCCAGCAGAACAAATCACAGACCCCAGAGAGCCCTCGGAGTCAGGCTCTCAGATCTGGTGACTGTGAGGACATGTCAAGGACGCTTCAGTGAGGATAACACAATTTGCAAAGGTGTGACGTTGTGCAAAAGCCACTGCTGTTCAGAAAAGATCAGGAATCCAGGTGGCTGATGTATATAACAGGAAATGAATATTCATTGGTAAGATTGAGAACTAAGAAAATCCATGATTCTGGAGCAGTAGTTAGGGTCACGTTGAGAGGGGCCTTAAATGTAAACAAACATGCTTTAGATGAAAGAAATTTTTTTTGAAAAGCATAAAGGAAGGATGAAGAAAACTGAAGGTAGGAAAAGTAGAAAGAACACTGTGGCAAAAGTCTCTATAAGCCAATCAGATACCAGGAAAAGTAAATCAAGATCTGATTGGAAATTAATACATACCACTGTTAATGTTATTGTACGGTTATTAGCATTGTTATTAAGCTACTTTTTGTTGAACATCTACATGGAGGTGACACACTTTACTTCCACTCAAAGCCCATTGGCTGAATCTGGACACAGAAACCACCTGCCTTCATGGGAGTGGGGAGGCTGTGGATGGCACATGGGTCTGTGTGACAGATAAAGAACTCTACAACAGTAGAAGTGTTCATTTGCATTCCAACAGATGAGCACATGGACTCAGAGAGGCCAGGAATGCATTTTTAATAAAAGACATTTAGACAGTTCTGAAAGATATTAACTGTATTGAGGTTTTATATGAGATTGTTTCACAAAATAGCATCTGTTTTTAAAGTGATGCCCATTGAAAGATATTTTTACACACAGGTGGAGCATTCGGCTAATATAGTTTAGTCCTGCTAAACAGAGGGGCTGGTGCAGCTCAGTACTAACACTCATGTCATTAATTCCTTATAGTTTATGATTCCAAGGAAAGCCCTATGAATATCACATTTATTTGTGTAGTTTACATAAATACCTTTAGCTGTCATAATTTTAGATGAATATGTCATTGATAAAAATTACGGAAATCATATACTAGGCATATGCATGGGTCATACTGCCAAAAATAAATATCAGTTCAAAAATGTGTGGAATACAAGAACTATGAAACTTTTAGTACTGAAAACTTTAGTTCATAGGAAAGAGAATTTGCTTCATTATTTTCACAAGGCATCATGTCGTAGTGAAATTAGCATGGGATTTGAAATTATAGGGTCCTGGGTTTAAGTCTAAGCATTTTCCTCTAAAATAAAATATGGAGAAGTTTAATTAATCTCTTTGAAATTCAGTTTTTTGACTCATAAATTGAGATAATAGTCTCTGCCTTATTCTCCAATCTTAAGATTAAATCTGACTTCATCCAGAGCTGAGCAGGACGGTCACTAACATGTATGGGGTCCCTGTTGTGTGAAATTCATCGTGATAGGCACTTCTTATGAGCTCCTTGGGAAAATGTATGCACACCCCTGCAACTTACTAGCATCTCTTTACACTTGAGAAAGCAAAGACTCTAGGAGTTTGAACTCTTGATGAAGGTCACGGTTTATAACTGGCAAAGTGGAAAACAGAATCCATATCCCTCATTCCAAAGCCTCTCTTCTTCCAACTGCATAGAATCCCTCCTGATTTGGATCCACAGGAGGCAGTTTTGTCTTTCCTGAAATAATGTATGGTTCATATTTTTGGATGCTAATTAGGCTAGCATTAATTAGTTATTTTTGTATTTTAAAAAAACTGATATCACTTCAAGAATAATGTAAAGATCTCTTGCTTTCCTTTTATAAAATCCTATTCAACCTTTGGAGCAAATATTAACCATCTAGACACGGACATCTGGAAGACTCAAGAACTTTTTTTTTCACTCTAAGAAAGTTTTCACTTTCTCACCATAATTAATCAATGCTGAGAGAGGATCCACGTCTCTACCAGAGTTAAATGAAAAATCCATGAGGCCAGCTGGACAATAAAAGTAGGTGAGGTCATTGTGACCATAGTCTCGCACCAATTTTTTGAGCCCTTTTGGGAAATGTTCTCAGTCAGCTGAGAGACAGTAATGCCCCCTTTACTGAGAATTACCCAGACATATGGCACAATGTGGAAACATGGAGAGACAGAACAGTTAGCAGTTGCTGCTGTACTGTTGGCTTATTTCCACTTTACGGCTTCATATGAAGCTAAAATATCATGCTGGGGACATATGCTTACCGGCTCTGCACTTACTGCCTGCAGCTATAAACTCCTGTATTCTAATGGTAATTCTACAATCTGTTCTTTGACAGCTCGGGGGGCCAGATGATATGCTTGCTACTGACAGGGACATCACTTTCATAAACATTGACTTCTCTGCACCTGAACATTGGAGTAATCACAGACAGAGTCGACACCCCATGAAATAGAGTCAGACTGAGGATTCAGGGAATAAAATAGCCAACTGCCATCCAAAATAAAATTCTTTTTATACCCAGCAGAGCTATGTTAACAGGCATTTTCTTGCAGGGGTAGAGCTCTCCAAATTCAGGACTGAGGGCTTCAGAAATTTCTCTTCCTTGTTAGTAGTCCTGGAGGAAATCACTCTTGGAAACCTGTGCTTGTGGAAAGTCCATGTTGTACTTTCTCTGCTTGCTGGGCTGGCTCTAAGCTCAATACGTGATAGTGAAAAGAGAAGTGGACACAGATTCAGAAAAACTGGCTGCAAGTCCTGCAATGAGAAACTCTCAATGTCTCACACTCTATGAACATGCTGTTTACATTTTGTTCCTGAATCTGAATTCTCTGTTCCTTGTTATGGCTATTCAGTTGTATCATTGAAAAAAAAATGATTTATCTACTCAATGATAAGTATTTTGGGGAAATATAGTACACACATATACACACAGTCATATCCACACATCTATGTATATGTGTATGTATATAAATGTATATTTTATATGTATAAAATATATGATAAATATAAATATATTATTTATTATCACATGTAAGTATATTTTAAATACAGAAATATATACACATTGATATGGTTTGGCTATGTGTCCCCACCCAAATCTCATCTTGACTTGTTGTCATCCCCATGTGTCAAAGGCAGGACCAGGTGGAGGTAATTGATCATGGGGGCAGTTCCCCCATGCTGTACTCATGCTAGTGAGTGAGTCTCATGAGATCTGATGGTTTTATAAACTTCTGGCATTTCCCCTGCTTGCACTCACTCAGTCCTGCCACCCTGAGAAGAAGATGCCTGCTTCTCCTTTGCCTTCTGCCATGACTGTAACTTCCCTGAGGCCTCCCCCTCCAGCTCTGCTGAACTATGAGTCAATTAAGCCTCTTTCTTTTGCAGAGGAACCCTAGTTATTGCTGTTCTTCAGTTTGGGATTTTGTGTCTGTGGCAGCAGAGTTGAATGTCCACAAAAATTCACACCACTCTAAGGGAAGTGGCCAGGAAGGACCAGAGTGTTACTTTGAGTTCTCTTTCGCTTGCAGAGAGCACCAAGATATTATAATATGGGTGAATTTGGATAAGAATCACTCGTTAGAAACAGAAGCAAGTAGAAAGTCAAGATATGGAGCTTTGAAGGGTGAGAAGAGGCAAGAACTTCCAGACACTAGAAAGAAAGGGATTAAATTCAAAATGATTTTGAGTAACTAAAACAAGACAAAAACTTAAAAACTGTAGTTCAACAGAAGGACTCAATAAATAAGCAAATGTTAGGTTCAGAAAGATAGCTCCTTCCTAAGCCTATTTTTTCAACAGTCTCAAAGGTAGCCACCATTAGTGTGGAAGAGATCAGCTTAGGCAAAGAAGGGGCAAATGTAAAGCAGGTGTGAGAACCCAGTCTCGTAATAAACTTTAAATACTGACACATGGAACTAACTAGCGTCAAGTAGATTAAAAGCCTACATATTTCTTAGAAAATTTTATTTCCAAAGAAACTATTACTGTAGGCTTAAGAATCTTTGACAGTAAAATCACCCTTTCACTCTCCCAAATCCCGCCAGTGTGAAGTTGCCTGTGAAATTTGTGCAAACCCGAAGAAGGGTAAGCTCCCAGAATCCTGCTGTGGATATGATCATAGAAGACAATCTCCCAGAGAGCACAGAGGAAAGGAGGCGAGAGAGTCACTGCAAGGAAGCAGAATGAGGACATAATTGAGAAAGTTCCCCTACTGCTAGGATGAGGGCAGCTGCCCAAACTGCTAGGGATGGGTTGTTGCTGTGTTTCCTCTTCTTCCATTTTATAAATGGGGTGAAGGGATTTTATTTTGTTTTTCCTGTAGCTCTTCCACCATTGATGAGGGGGACAGACACATTTTCCTTTAGCTTACAGGTCAGCAGAACGTGGAGTGTGACAGAAGTGAATAAATGTATGCCAAATTGCATCCCTCCATTTGTATTACTTTGCTAGGGCTTTCAATAACAAAGAAGCACTGATCAGGTGGTTTAAAAAAATTATTTGTCTCACCATGCTGGAGGCTGGAAGTTCAAGATCAGGTTATCAGCAGGTGCAGTCTCTCTCCAGGCCTCTTGCTGTGGCTTGAAGCCACTCACCCTCTTGCTGTGTTCTCACCTGGCCTCTCCTCCATGGATGGGCATGTTCCCTTGGGTCTTGCCACTTCCAGTCAGATTGAGTCTTAGTCACCTTTTCAATGGCCCAATCTTTAAAGGCAGTTGCATTCTGATGTACTCTATGCTAAGGCTTCAACATACAGAATCTGGGGGAAGCACAATTTAGCTCATAAATCCCCTGTCCAAACAATAACCAATTATCACTGAGAAGTACCTTCCCAGTAAGGAAATACATCATCTAGCACCTGTCTCATATAGGCATTGCCGTGAAATTCCATCTTACGAAGAGGTATGATGTAGTTTGCTTCAAAAGGAAGGATTTTTTTTTTTAGAGAATTGATATTTTTTCCTTCACAATCTTCCTCTTCAACTAGCTGGACATAAACAATTTTGATGACCAAAGAGAGTTCAGAGCCACAGATGGGAAAACAATGCATCCTCTGAGTCACTTGTGCAGGAACGATACCCACAGCGCAGGAATGCCAGTCTTGGGAGTGTTAGTCAGTGAACATTAAAGATAACTTTTTTTTTTGACAGTCTTGCTCTGTCACCCAGGCTGGAGTGGTGCAATAGCGCAATCTCGGCTCACTGCAACCTCTGTCTCCTGGGTTCAAGCAATTCTCCTGCCTCAGCCTCCCAAATAGTTGGAATTACAGGCGCCAGCTACCACACCAGACCAATTTTGTGTATTCTTAGTAGAGACAGGGTTTTGCCATGTTGGCCAGGCTGGTCTCGAACTCCTAACCTCACATGATCCATGTGCCTCGGCCTCCCAAAGTTCTGGATTACAGGCGTGAGCCACCGTGCCCGGCCAAAGTTACATTTTTATTGACATATAATTTATATGCCACGAAACTCACCATTTTAAATCAAACAATTTGATATTTTGTATTATAACAACAAAGTTGTGCAACCATCACTACTATTTCCAGGATATTTTCTCAACACAAAAATACACTTTCTACCTATTAGCAATCATTCTACCCTTGCCAATGATCCTATTAGCAAGGATTTGCCCTTCCTCTCAGCTCCTGGCAAACCCTAATCCACTTTCTTTCTCTATAGATTCAGCTATACTGGAAATTTAATATACGTGGAATCATATGATATACAACCTTCTGTGTCTGGCTTCTTTCACTTAGCACCCTGTTTGCACCTGCATTGTAGTATTTATCAGAACATTGCTCCTTTTATGGCTAATTAGTATTCTATTTTACTGTTTCACCATCTATGTTATTTCATTCATCAGCTGATGCGAGTGTGCATTGTTTCCATCTTTTGTTTATATAGATAACACTGCTGTGAACATTTATGACTAAGGTTTGGGAAGAACATACGTTTTCAAATCTTTTGAGTTCATACCAAGGAAGGGAGCTGCTCAGTAAAATACGTTCGATTTTTTGAAGTGCTACCAAACATTTCCAAAGTGGCTACACTGTTTCCTCTCCCACCAGGAATGGACACGGGTACTAATTTCTTCATGTTATTGCCAGCACTTGTTATTGTCCCCCTTTTCAATTTCAGCCACCTTTGTGTGTAGGTGGAATTTAATTATGGCTTTGATGTGCGTGTCCCTAATGACTGATGGTGTTGAGCATAGTTTTACATGGCTGTTGGCCATTTGTGTATCTTCTTTTGAGACACTATTACTCTAATCCTTTGCCCATTTCTAATTGGGTATTTGTCTTTTTATTGCTTTGTTGTAAGAGTTCCTTATTATTCTGGATACTAGATGCTTATTAGATATGTAATTTGCAGATATTTTATCCCATTCTGTGAGTTGTAAGGTTTTTTTTTTCAATGTTCTTGATGGCGTCCTTTGAAGCATAAAAGCTTTATATTTTGATGAAGTCCAATTTATCTATTTTTGTTGTTTTCATGCCTTTGGTGTCACATCCTAAAAGTCTTTGCCAAATCCTAGGTCATGAAGATTACCCACCGTTTTCTCCTAAGGTTTTGCTCTTATATTTAGGTTTTTCATCTATTTTGTGTTAATTTTTGTATTTGTATGAGGAAGGTGTCCAACTTCATTCTTTGTATGTGGCTATGTAATTGCTCCAGTATCATTTTATAAAGGGCATTCTGTCCCCATTGAATGTCTTGGTGCCCACACCAACAAGCAGTTGACAATTGTTCTGTGTTTTCATCTCTGCACCTTCGATTCTAATACACTGAACTGTGAGTATCCATCTGTCAGCACCGCATAGACTTTGTTACTGTAACTTTGTAGTAAGTTTTGAGATTGGGTAGTGTGAGTCCTCCAAGTTTGTTCTTTTTCAAGATTATTTTGGCTATTCAGGATCTCTTACAATGTCATGTGAATTTGAGGATTGGCTTCTCCATTTTTTAACTCACATCATCACTTCTAGTCAACATTGTACTAAAAATAGTAACAGTACAATAACAAAAGAACAAATGAAACATATAAGAATTTGAAAGTATAAAATCAAAACTTTATTTGCAGAGTATATTATATACTTACACTATATGTACAGATAAGTTATTAGATATACTATTTTTTTCTCAGAATTAAGAACTTTTATCATCTGCTTTGTATGTGGAAAGATCCCATCCTTTAAAAAACAACAAATGAATAACTTACAGATGCACAAAACCACAAACATAAACCTCACAACATTGGGAAAAACAAGGCAGCAACAAACACACACACACACACACACACACACACACACACACACACACACACACTGGATTATTCAATAACAGCCAAAATATTTTATAGGCTTATTGATCATTTTTTAGAAATGGGTAATAAAGGAGAGAGAATGAAAGATAGCAATTATGCTTCTTGATCTGTGATGGTTTCACAAGTGTATTAACTTTGTAATAATTCTATGCACATTTTTATATGAGTTATACTTCAATAAAATAAAAACTGGAGTACTAGGTTAAGCCTCATTACAATCCCAGAGGATAAAAAATAAGAAATCAACTTACAAGATCAAAAAGTGTCATTTTGGGTTTTATCTTCTAAATTATATTGTGAACTAGGTATTCTAATTTCAACTGCCAGGCATTTTATTGGCATTGAAACCTAGACCTGACTAATTATTAAGAGTTCAGGTTTGTCTTGATGGTTATACTATGAACTAAAAATTTATTTTACCAAATACCTTCAGATCTGAGCTTGGCATTGGAACAGTGAAGATGGTCAGAAATAGGGATCCAATCAGGAGCAGTCAGTAATATTACACTCTCTTTTACTCTCTTTTTCTCTCAAGATAGTCCCTGTGCTCCTGTTTAAGGCCGGGGAGGGGAGGGGAAGGGAGGGGAGGAGAGGGAGGAAGGAAGGAAGAATAAGAGAAAAAACTTCCTAGAAAGTAAAAAAGATATATTTTATATGATCATTCATCTAATTAAATAAACGAATCATTAGATAAACTGTATGTTCAGAACTTTTCAAGCTTTGCTTTTAATAGCCAATACCAAGTTTCTGGAATTGAAGAAAAATAATTTTCTCTTTTAAGATCCTTTTTTTTACCAAAGTTCATAGTTCTTAGATGATTTTGGCTGAAGTCAGATTTATTGCTAGGTAATTTTGTGACCTTTATCTCTTCTCTTGGCACTGAAAGAATAATAAACTTCAATGAAAATGTAATAAGGACATTAAAAAAATTTAAAAAATCAAAGAATAAAAATGAGCTCAAGAATAAAAATAGAAAAGGTCAGAGAAAAGATGGTTCAAAGGAAGGTAATTAAAAAAAGATCAAGCACACACAAAATTGCAATACTTGAACAAGAAGAACAATAGGGTGGAATTGAACTAATATTTTCTCCATAAGCTAAGAAAATATTCCAAAAATAAAGAAAGACCTGAATACACACACATACATGTCTGTATGTTGTATGTATATGTACATATACAATACTTATATATATATATATACATATATACACACATATATAAACATTGCTATGCAATATATTTATATATACAAGAATGAAGCAGAAATTTCAAGAAACTTAGAGAAATAAAATGTCAACCACACACTGCTTAAAGTATCAGGGTTAGAGATAAAGAGGTTCTGAACATGCAAAAATTCAGGGACTACTGTAGACACACGATCTGTCTTCAGAATCTACTAACTGACTCGTTATTAACAGCCCATGAACAAGCGTGGGATCATGGCTAGCAGAAGAGTATGCAAACATTGTACAGCTCAGAAAGTAGAACAGATGCAACTAATAAAGATAGATGAAGTTTGGGGTGAGGTGGGTGGAGGAGGAGAAAGACAAAAGTGGAATAATATCATTGATTGTGTTTACTAGTTAAGATTCAAAGAATAATACTCATTATGAACCAGGTGAGAAAATGGTGAGGTAAGAAAAACTCAATGAATATAACATTGTAAACACAGTATTTATAACATAAAATTATGGGACAAAGTGGAGAGCAAATATCTCAGTGATATTAATAAAAGTAAACGGGCTTAGCTTACCTATTATGAGAAAAAAATGTAATATTAAATTATAAAGCAACACTAAGCTGCATACTGCATAAATGCAAGACACAGTGGGAACATAGTTTCTCTATAAATTTTAAAATACATGGATGAGTGGCCAGGCACAGTGGCTTATGCCTGTAATCCCAGCACTTTGAGACTGAGGCAGGTGGATCACCTGAGGTCAGGAGTTTGAGACCAGACTGACCAACATGGAGAAACCCCGTCTCTACTAAAAATACAAAAATTAGCCAGGCATGGTGGTGCATGCCTGTAATCCCAGCTACTCAGGAGGCTGAGGCAGGAGAATTGCTTGAACCTGGGAGGTAGAGGCTGCGGTGAGCCGAGATCACACCATTGCACTCTAGCCTGGACAACAAGAGCGAAACTTAGTCTCAAAAAACAAACAAAAAATACATGGATGGGCAAATATATACCAAACTGTGGCAACAAGAAAATGGGGATGGCAATACTGATAGCAGACAAGTTGAATTCAGAATCAAGGAGCGTGATGTTTATAATTTATTCTCCAATGGTTTGAGGGAAAGAGAAGAGAGTGTTGCAAAACCATGAATCTGAAAATGAAAATTTAGTGAATCTGAATTTTCTTGCAAGTTTTCTCTAAGGTCAATATTGTTTTATTATCAAATATAAAGCTAATATGATGTTTTGAAATTTTGACAAGGAATAATTTTGGAGTTCATGCAGCATAATGAAAATTTGGAAATTGGCAAATCTAATAATGATATCTCAGGTTTATTTTTAAAATGCTATTAAACGCTTAAAAATTGTGCTAAGTGCTGTGTATTCTCTGCCTGGAGCATTACTTAACAATCCCTATACTTTCCTGGCCCTTTCACTCTGCCTTGTGTTGGCACCTGCTGTTTCTGAGCTCACCTGGATCTTGCTTCCCTCTTGGTATTGTAGTTATTTCTTTCTATACATCTCCTTCTATTAAATGAAAAAAAATTAAAAGCAAGTCCACTTTGCATTTTTGCATCCTCATAGACTAAAGCAGTACTTTTTACCTTATGCGTATATGAGAAATATTTATAGAAAGAGCAGAGAAAAGTGGCCCATGTCACATAGAAATATGAACTGAGTAGGGATTTGAAACCTGGCTCTCTAGACAGTAGCTCTCTAGACAGTAGCTCTCTAGACAATAGACTGTACAGGTTGTGGGGAGTAAAGAGACTGAAGCCTGGGGCCCTGATGAGATCACATTTTCTCTCTGTTGCTCTGATGTTGGGCAACATGTTTAGCTTTAATAAGCCTAAGCTTCCTCCTACGCATTGTGGATACAATAACACCATTTTGTCCTATGTAAATGAGTTCAAATTCAATGCTGAGATCTCTTCTAAGAGGTAGATGTATAGCAGTGAATGAAACACAAACAATATATTTGTGTGTACGTATATTTGTGTGCATGTGTATATGTATGCTGTGTTAGTCCATTCTCACATTGCTATAAAGCAGGGGTGTCCAATCTTTTGGCTTGCCTGGGCCACACTGGAAGAAGAATAATTATTTTGGGCCACACATAAAATTCACTAATATTAATGATAGCTGATGAGCTAAAAAAAAAAAAAAAAAAAAACTCATAATGTTTTAGGAAAGTTTACAAATTTGTGTTGGGCTACATTCACAGGTGTCCTAGGCTGCATGTGGCCTGTGGGCCACAGGTTGGACAAACTTGCTATAAAAAAAAAATACTTGCGACTGGGTAATTTATAAAGAAAAGAGGTTTAATTTGATCATGATTCTTTAGACTGTACTGGAACCATGATGCTGGCATCTTCCCAGCTTCTGGGGAGGCCTCAGGAAACTTACAATCGTGGCAGAAGGTAAAGGGAGAGTAAGAACTTCACATGGCTGGAAAAGGAGCAAGAGAGAGCCAGGGCGGAGGAGCCACACACTTTTAAACAACTGGATCTTGTGAGAACTCACTCACTGTCATGAGAACAGCACCAAGCAGATGGTTCTAAACCATTCGTGAAGGATCCACCCCCATGATGGAGTCCCCTCCCACCAGGCCCCACCTCCAACATTGAAGATTACATTTGACATGAGATTTCGGTGGGGACATGGATCCAAACAGTATCACATGCCAAACAATGATGAATGTTAGGAAGAAAAGTCATGCAGAGTAAAAAGCTAATGAGTACCACGGAGCAGGGGGCACAGGGCGGAGAAGCCCTTTGGATTGGATGGTAAGGAAGGAACTCCCAGATGTCCAGACTGGGATGGCTTCAAAGCTGGGACTGGAACAGCATGAGCCTGAGGATACACAGTGGAAGAGCCTGTGTTCAGAACAGGTGCAAAGGCGAGATCACGCAGGTGAACTCCCATAATCCCTGGAAAAGAAGCAACACAGGAGGCATTAGATAATGTCCTTTCCATTATTTGTATGAAAAACAAAAGTGTGTGGGAAGAATGAAATTGATTAAATACACAGTGTCTGACATACTAGGCACCCATACATGACTGTTTTCATTTACTTAAAGTGTGTGCTCCCTGGATATGTGTGGCGGATCGTGCATCGTAAGGATATTTCTTTTGTTGTGTGCTTTGGTTACGGAGAGTCGGTGAAAGTGAACAGGAGTGTGAGGTGGTGGTGGTACAGTTAAGACTCGAGACATCATAACTAGTTTCCTCCCTTTTTGCTTTACATTAATGATACATTCCTATAGACCTATCCTTGTAACAGATAACATGGCATTTTACTAAGCCATGTCCTGCTCCTCCTCCTGCCAGTGGCCTCAGGAGAAAGGAAAGATGAGACCGTGGCCTGACTTCCCTGGGGAGGGGACCTCTCAGCTGTTGCCTTGAGGAACAACAGCAGAGGGAGGGTAGATCAGCTGCCTGGGGGCAGACTGCGTTCACCATGACCTCCCTGCTGGGGGGTGGGTTCAAGTGGAAATAGAGAAGAGAAAGTCAGCTTCCCCCACAGCCCCACCCTAGGAGCAATGAACTGTGCAGTGCAGGGCACCAAGAAAGGAAGGTAGTGCAGGTAGTACTAGCCAGACAGGCTCAGGCCACAGTGAAGAAACTTGAGCCCTGTGGTTGGTTACAGGACGTGAGCAAGTCACTTCCCTGTCTCCCCTTGTTTTTCCTGTCGATGAACTGGAAATCATTTGGCCAATCTTCTTAAAATCCCTTCCACTTTTGAAAAATTTGTCACTCTGGCCTGTTTTAAAAATAACATGAGGTCATGGACATGGGAGTTTGTACAAGAGAAGTGTCATGTGGATATACAGTAGGACATGCTGTTCTCTCCCTGTGACCCCCTTTTTCAGAAGCCTTTTTCTCATTGACAAACCATCTTTCACAGGGAGTCCACGGGCCCTCCTGGTGAAGGGCTGTGCCATCCCGGGGGCCAGCAGCTTTTCATGTTCCTGTCACTGTTCAGGCTTTCTGTCTCTCTTGCTTTCTTGCTTTTCCTGTAATATAAAATAATATAGAAGAGGTTTTTTAAAAAAGAAATCTATCAACTGCTAGGTACCTACTGAATATAATTTCTGCTGTAAAGGTAAAAAGAGCTCTGAAAAATAACAGATGAACATAGACCTAAAGAAATTCTCACCTGCCATTAAATCTCCACTCAAAATCTATTTAAGGGATTTTTGCTAATTTTTTAAAACTTTTTAAATTTATCTTTATTTATAAAATAATAAGTCATTTTGGATGGAGAAAAATTATAAAACAGACTGGTATAGGTGTTCCTCAGAAATAGCTTTCTGTCCATCCTCACCTTTTGTTAGTTGTAATTAAAATTTGTGCATAATTTGTAATGATGGCTTCTTTTGCATCAAAATGTTATTGGATAGGATATATTCAGTTGTTCTTTTGTGTTTGAACCTCAAAGTTATTTCAAGTAAACAAATGTTGTTGATAAGATCTCTATGAGCATCTTCCTTTACCTGGTTTTGTTTTTGTTGTCAAGCTTCTTTCCCAGTAGTGCCAATTGTCAGGGTCCCTGCAGTGCAGAGGGGGGTCAATTTCAGCACAGCTTTTCACCATTGGGCACCTCTAAACTAGAATGATTCAACACATTAAGAGGCATAAAATACTACATGTCTGTCTTTTGCTTTTAAATTGTGTTTTACTTCATCACTATCTAGACTAAACTATTTTTCGACATAGGCTTATTTCTTATCTGTATCACAAAATCAGAGAATTCTGTGGGAGCACTGAAAGGGGAAAAAGAGAAGGTGTATGGAGTACCTTTTATTTTCTTGACCAACAAATTAATCCTCAGAAAATCACAAGCTCAGGCCCTCCCCTGCTCGGAAGTTACACACTCAGGTGGTTCATTTCCACAGCACTTGTGGGAGGAAGCAAAGATGGGCCTCTTGATAGCAGGCAGCAGCAGGAAGGGATTTCGAAGAACTGAAAACCAGAATCACGCTTCCTAGGAGTTAATGACAGAGACAAGGCATTTCAGCTGCTTTTTAGAAAGCTCCTTTTGTATTAACATTTTTAAAGGGTTATAACACCAAATTATTTTTAATAATACTTCTTTTGACAAAATAATAATCATATGTAGAGAGATTTTGGATAGAGGAATCTCATAATAAACCTCTGACAACTCTTGGCACTAGGACATTCATTCACATTACTGTCTAATGCTAAGGTAGCAAAATGTCTGTTAAAAGCCTTATTTTTCACCCTGAATACATTCAACTCATGTGAGTATATTGGAGTGTATCACATCTTCCCCACAAGTCTCAAAATGCCCTGTTGTTTGTGTCAAAGAATCTGACCATACTTTGGCATCTGATGGTGATATGCCAGGCCACACTGTGTCTCTGCTTCAGAGGAGATGGATGCCCTGTTCTTTCTCCTGGGTGGCGGGCGTGGGTGGGGAGGTTATATTTGTTAATCATCCTCTTCTTAACAGATTGTGCCTGGGGCTACGATAGGAAAGAAGGCTGGGATCCAGATGGGGCCAGCCTCAAGCATTTCCCAAGTAAGTATAATAGGACATCAAGGACTCCACTAGCCCTGAAAGACCATGTCAGGAGAAGAAGCCAGTGCTTCAGTCTAACTGGGAAGTGACGGGTGAAAGGATGAAGACCAGGACCCTTAGACAGACAAAGCGAACACACACAGATGCAGGAAAACAACAGCTGCATCTCCAAGAAAGGACTTGGTTGTGCTCCCTCTAACACAACACAACCTTTTCCTTCCCATAGTGTGCACTGAACTTAGATGGGCTAAATGCCAGACTTTGAAGAATCCAACACATTTCTTTGCACACATAAGCCCTCAACAGTCAATGGCTTAGTTAATCCTATTTTTACTCTCACTAATTATTGCTGGAATCAGAATTCTTACATCAGCACTCCTAGCACCTTCCTCCAGGAAGGTCCACTGACAGGGGACATCATAGCCAGGGACGTATAACCAGGAGCAAGGAGGGTTAACTGAAAGATCCAAATGTTTTGTAGTTTAATCCATGAGAGCCTGGCACTGGGTCCCTCTCCTGGGGAGTTATCTTGTCTCAGGGGCCAGAGCTGGAGGTTCTATGGGCCAAGGTCCTTTTCACCTGACCACTGCAATAGGCCCAGCCAATATTGGACTCCATTTTCTTAGCAAAGCATTTATTAAACCAGCTGATGAGTAAAAATTTATCATTCAGGGAGTATCTTTAAATGAAGAGACTTTCCCCTCAAACATGCTGGGAGAGTAACCAACCTCTTCCATGACATTTATTGGCACTCATCCAAAGCGAAAGAGTGGTGGAAAGGGAGTGAACTTTCTCATCACCTACTATGAGCCAGGGGTTGTATGGAAGAGTTTGCAGAGGTTATTTAATGTTATCATTAAAACATAGCTGGTTAGGGGTTATTATTGGAGTTCTACTGGTGAAGAAATTAAAGGTAGAGGAGATAAATTCACTTTTCCAAGGTCACCAGCTATTGAAGGGCAGGTCTGAAATTTGATCTGGTTCTGGTATTCAAAAAAATCATTTTCTCTCCTTTTTGCTGTTTGCTTAATGACAATTTTACTCCATGGACAGATCCCCAAGCTGAGCCCTTATCCTCTCTCCCCCAGGTATTCCTATGTGCCTCAGTGGTCACCACGAGCTCTTGCTGCTCTCCTGAGACCCTGGCTCCACTTCCGAATGCCTAACAGTGCTAGACAATGTCAATTCTAGCTCATATTCTCAACATGCTGGCCCCACACCCACCCTCACAGATAATACAGTCACCATCTCTCTTAAGTGAGAAGAACTCCTTTCTGCTTTCATGTTGAATCCTGCATATTGAGAATAACTATTAATCATCATGCAGTTGTTAAATGCTGCCTTTAAGGTGAGAATGCCACTACATCCTGTAGATGATAGGAAGATGTTTAAGAAACTGGGCTTTGACTAAAAGACTGAACGCCACCCTTAGTGAGCTAGATCTTATTAATTGTCTGACTTGGAGAAAATCTCTTCACTCATCTGAACTTCATGTGTAAAATTAAAAATAATTCCTGCCTTGCAATTCTGCCATGAAGAAATAAGATGATGTATTGAATGTGTCCAATACTATATATAATGGATTCTCAATAAATGGAGCAATTCTTGCTATTATTAACATTGATTATTTTTGGCAAAATATTAATATAAGTAGTATGAAATATTATTGCAGGTTTAAGTTGGGGATTTAGACCAGAGAACCAATACTAGAACTCTTTCTCTCTGCAGATGACTGACTCTCTGTCCCATTCTTTTCCTTTCTAAGTCCAAGACTCTGCTTCCTTTCCCCCCTCTTCCTTCTCCCATCTGCCCAGGCTCCATGCACCTTCATGCTTTGATCCATACCTGCCCTGCTTGCTCCAGCAACATGATTTCCATGTGTTGTCATTCTCCCTCTCTCTCTCTCTGTCTCTGGTTCCTTTCTTAATTTTTAGTTGTTTGCCTAGATGTATGGGACAGAGGGAGAGAGAGACTATCTCAAAATGGCTTTGTTTAAACTTTACTCCTATGCTATAAATACTTTCCAGTAACAGTAAGCCTTGAGATCAGAAACTCACTGGTATTTATTTATAGGCACAGGGTCTCCCTGTGTTGTTCAGGCTGGTCTCAAACTCTTGCCAAGAGATCCTCCCACCTTGGTCTCCCAAAGTGCTGGGATTACAGACATGAGCCACACTCAGCCCCGAGATGTGTCTATTTTCCAGGGAATTACTGAACAATATCCTGAGCCCTTCCGGGCTGCACTCATCTTCTCATTCATCTTAGCACCTTAACCTTGTGAAAGAGGCTCTGCATGATTCTGGACTTTACTCATTGCATTGCGTTAATTGCCCCTGATATGTTGTCCAGTTATGAGATGAATTTTTACCTCCTTGAGCTTGATTAGAGAGCAGAATACAAGAAGCTCTATCTGAGTGTTGCCAGAGTCTTCTGAAGCCTGGAATTCGTGAACCACAAAACTACTTCTCATTACAAAATGGGAAAGCTGAGTTGATTAAAGGTTGGCTGCTAGATCTGAGGTTGGTTTGTTCTGCAATTTTTACTGATATTTAGGTCCTCTGCCTGAGAGGCGTGGAGTACAGCGACTTGGAGTCTCAGTCCTGGAGTCAGAGAGCCTGGGTTCCTAATCTAGCCCTACATGGTATTAATTGAAATCGTCTTGGGCAAGTTACTGAACTTCTCTGGGCCAAGTGTTCTCATCTGTAAATGGGAAAAAATGGTTTGTAGAGTTGTCCTAAATATGAAATAAATTAATACTTAGATCATTTAGAAAATGGCTGATGTAAGACAGACTCGGTAACGATGAGCTGCTCTTATTGCTGTCACTACTGTCGTGGGTAATGGCCAGTGAATGTTCAAGAGAGAAGGTGTAGGGATCTTCAGAGTTGTGCTCAGGTTCCTGAGATTATTTGAAGGGGCTGGGTGTGTTTCAGGGTTTATTAGTTAGGGTACTTGGCGCTAACTGCAGAAGCAAACGGACAAAACCTCAAAGAGTGCAGTAAGGGCTTGTTTTCTCTCACGTCGGAGTCAGGATACTTGTTTAGCAAATGGCATTACATGATTCAGGGATTCTGGCCCCTTCTATCCTGTGTACCGGGATCTTCTAGGTTCTCCGCAGAGTCTTTCAATGAATTATCTCCCTCCAGACAGTCAAAGATCAGAGTAAGAAAGAGGGAGAAAGAGAGAGAAAAGAGTCAGTCACATGGGACATTTTCTCACCAAGTCTTGGAGGAGCTTATGTTGTGTTTACCTTGTTTCTATTATCCTGAGATATGCCCCATCGCCCTCATTTAATTGCAAGGGGGTTGGACCATGTCGCCTCTTTGTGTTCTCTGAAGAGGGAATGGTCTTGGTCAACTTTAAACCAGTCTCTGTCACACAGATGGGATGCTTGTGGGAGGGGACCACTTCAGTGGAAAAGGATCAGAATTCCCAACTCTTCTTGTTATTATTCTGCATGGGTTTTGCTCACTGAGTCTCTCTATCTCTCTTTCTGTCTCTCTCTCTCTCAGTAGTTTGGTGTAGTAGAAAAAAATAAAAAATAAATGAATGTTTGTGTTAGATAGACCTAAATTTGAATCCTAGACCACCCCCTTCTCCAAGGATGGCTGCACAAACAGGAATACATGACGTTCAGTTTTATCATGTGTACCAGGATGACAAAATTTGCCCTGAAGTATTGCTGTGTGTGTGTTAAGGCTATTATTTTTAAAGCTATTTTGGATATGTTTTTATATGTAGTAAGTCGTGTTGCCACAGGAGGTGATAACGCATTGCATTAATAGGTTTCAGAGTTTGAAGAAAGGGCAGCTACCAGCTAGAACAAGCTATTTCTCAGCCTTCACTGACACATAGAGTTTCATTAAAGTTTGAAGCAAGATGGTAGGTTTAAAAGCCAGAATTTTGGAAGAGAAAGAGAAATATTTTTTAAAATGTTTTTCTTTACTATATTGAAATCAAATGTGAAAAAGCCAAATCATAGAGGTTTATACATAGTATAGCAAATTCTCCTCTTTCTGCCTATGATATTTCTGTCTCTTGGCCATGAGCCTTGTTGTCTAAGTGGGAGAGGAGAATATGTCTTCAAGAAGTGACAGTCCCAAACACCTCTTGTTCCGGGGTGGTTTGATGGGTGGAGAAAGGACAGGGGAAGATGGAGAGTCTCTTCTTGTTTCTTCTGTAACTGTTCATGGTGGCAGAAGGCAGCTGGAGCAATATCTAGATTAGCATGAAGGAACTCCAGAATGCCAGGGCCCATGAAACTACTGTATAGGCATGCTGATGGCAGGTGTGCAGACTTTAGATAAAGCTCTTAATATGTCTGCTTGCCGCATGCATTCAACAGGGCACTGCGCTTGCAGAAGGCGTTTGGAGAGGTGAGGCAGAAGCAGCACTGCTTGCTTCTTGGATCTGTGTGTGGAGTGCAGGGACAGCTCTTTTTGCCTGCTCCTATCAGAGGACATGGAGGCTCTGAGAGTACCCAGAACTCAGCAGGCAAAGGGGTCAAGCTGAAGAGAAGGAACAACCAAAGGTGCTGAAACTGGGGCAAAAAGCCAGGTACATGTGCTCTAGTAGAAATGTCAGGCACCCAAAAGGCCAGCCGAGACCAGTTGCACCATAGCCATTAACAATGGAGATGACTAGCAAATCCGGCCATCTTGCAGCAGAAACCAGCAAAGAACCTTGCTAAGGCTACTGGATTGGACTAGTATTTGCTTTTTGTAGGTCTTTCTCATATTCAGGCTATGGTAAGATACAGAAGTTAGAGAGAAACACCATTCCCCCCACAAAATAATAATAAAATAGTTAGATGGTTGATACATTGATAAAACAAATAATAAATAAAAATATGCCTTACACATTATCTTTATATTAACAAAATTATGGCATCCTCCAACATGGAGATTAAACGAAACGATGCACATGCAATTTCCAAGAACTGTCTCCTGGTACATAGAAGATTAGGAATTATCATTGTGAGGTGGAGGAGGGAGAGGGAAGTTAAGAATGACCTGAAGGCAACAGGGCTCGGTGGCTCATGCCTGTAATCCCAGCACTTTGGGAGGCCGAGGTGGGCGGATCACGAGGTCAGGAGTTCAAGACCAGCCTGGCCAACATGGTGAAATCCTGTCTCTACTAAAAATACAAATATTAGTTGGGCATAGTGGCGCGTGCCTGTAATCCCAGCTACTCGGGAGCCTGAGGCAGGAGAATTGCTTGAACTAGGACCCAGGAGATGGAGGTTGTAGTGAACCGAGATTGCCCCACTGCACTCCAGCCTGGGCTACAGAGTGAGACTCCATCTCAAAGGAAAAGAAAAGAAAAAGAATGACCTGAAGGCATCCTGACTTGCATGGCCCAGTCAATGGTGATGCCTTCCTCTGAAAGAAAGAATAGCGGAAGACAGGCCTCAGAAGCGATACTCAAGAGGTTACTGTCCATCTGGCTTAGTTTGAGCTGCTAGGAAGTATTCAAGAATATATACTAAGTATTAGCGTGGTGCTAAAACCACAATTACTTTTGCACCAACCTTATAGATCCGTGGAAAGGCCTGAACAAGAGATGCAGGTCTGTGAGCTGGCTGTGTGTAAATAATATTGTAGCAATGAGCAGAAATCATATTGTCTGGGTGCAGAAAAAGCAGAGAATCCCGAAACTCTACTCACATAGAAAATCTGGGCAAAAATATTGAGGCTGCCAAGGGCCTAGAGAGGAAGAAAATGCGACAAGTTCAGTGTCCTGAAGACAAAGAATATTCGAGGCAAAATATTTGCAAGATATGTTTTCAGGATCCATCTTCTTTTTCCACTCCAAATAAAATCCATATGATCTAGAAAATATTTCTGCTTTTCCCTTAATAGAATATAGGATTTGTGTTTCTCATCAGAAAAACCCATTTGACTTCAGAGTCAAATCACAATTGTTAACAAGTTGATTAGCTCTGAATCTCACTTTCATAAAGCACAAAGGGGAACTTTAATAACCACAAGTTCTCTCACCTGAAACAAATTATATAATGAAAATTCAACTGTTTTTGATGTTGATCTATACGTAAGTATATATGTGTTTATCACCAACCTTTTGTTCCTCAAGCTCAATGACATTTTCTTACTAAGTTAGTATTTAATAAATGATTATCTAATTAGTGAAAGAATAAATGCACTGTATTTATTAAGTCGTCTTCAGAATGTGTCCGAGTTATGTATAGGGAGCACGTTTACATTTTACAGATAAGCCAACAAATTGCAGAAATAACTCTTTTGTTACAAATGGCATATTTATAAAGTAATATTCCAATAATTTATCATGTTTTCTATTTTTAGTAGTTCAGTCTTGTATTTTAGCAAAAACAGAATCCTTACAGCATTGCTCTATAACTGCGGTAACTGAACAGTTCACAAATGCATTATTACTTAGTTAAGAAGTTAATTTTCTAAAGAGAAATCGCACAATTTGAAACACTAACTCCATTCAGCCAAACTTGCAAAATCTATGCTTCTCATTTCATATTTAACTTTTCCTGATGTTATTTTTATATTCTACCTGCAATTTAGCTGTTTATATCTTTATCTCTCTCTCTCTTTCTCTATTGATTTACCTTGCCTATCTAAGACTACAAAGTCCATGGGAGGAAAATCAGAAATAGCTAATTCTATTCACATGATCTACCCTAATGCTAGAATCTTTCATACTGCTTTATACAGTATGCTTACTATGTAACGTTTGTTCAACAAACGAGTGAGCGAATGAGTAGAGGAATGTCCAAGGAAGACAGAACTTGTACTAGTTTTTTAATTTCCTGTTTATTAGAGTCACTGAAGGCAATACAACTGATATGATCCATGGCAATGTTTATCTACCAATAATGTGCTTTCAGATTCCAGATAGAATGAAGAGATACATTGAATAAAGTTATCCATGAATGCAAATAGCCACTACTCCGAGTATTTATTTTACCAACACTGAAGAATTCAAGCCTATGCTTTGCCCCTTAGGCTACAGCTAAAGCACATTGTTTTTCTCTAAAATAGTTTCATCACATTTTGACATGTGAGGATCAAGATTTAAGGCCTTTCTAATTTCTAAGATTTAGGATTAGGTCTAGTAAACATAACATCACCTGACAATGGAAATTCTTTCAAAGAGTCTTTGTTTTTGTCAGAGTAAGAAGCGTGTCATAGGTGAGCAATTTGCCTGTCAGGAATCTCTAAGCCCACTCTCTACCTGTTTGAACTGCCTTCAAGTAATTTAGCAAAGGTATTACGTGCCTTTTCACTTCTATCTGATTTAAAAAACACAAAACCTTCTAAGGTCTGTATTTAAAAAGAAAATGTGTTATTTTCTTTTCTTTTCTTAATTTTATATTTTTAGTAGGTTTTATTTTACTCCAGGTCATTGTGATGTAGAGCTTGATGTGAAAATCTAATGAAAGTCTTCAGATCAAAGGCAGTTATTATTGATCTGATTTGCATTTTTCAGCCTGGGGAGGGAGAAATCCATGATTGTAATAAACTAATCGTATGTTATATCCTATTTTAAACTTTGGAAAGTATTTTCATAGCATTAGATCATTTGGTCTGTGGTAGGATGAACAGAAATCAATTGTACTATAAATAGGGAAATAATATCAAGAAAGGATAGGTGACGTTCTGAGATCACCTAGCAATGGGGGTAATCCCTGCCGAAACATGGTCCTTCTTGCTGTCATTCTGAGACTTGCTCCACCGAAACGCATGAACAGCCGTCTCCTTGTGGCCACAGAGAGGAAGAGCCAAGATTTATTTGGTCTAGGTCTAACTCTCCCTGAGGCAGTCCTGCACCGCACTTTTTTCAGTTTCAGATACCATTCACTTCCTATGATACATTCCTTCTCTTTGAAGCAATTTCTAGAGGGTTTTCTGCTACTTGAAATTTATTATTTCCATCAGTAACACTGTAAAAAAGAAATAAATTAAAAAAAAACAACTTTCTCCTCAGTAATACCCATCCTTATGAAATCGTGCAGGGGAGCAAATTAGGTAATTATGCCCCTCCAACAAAAACAAATACATAAGGAAGGCAAACCATGTGCTGGTCACTGTTCCTGGAGCTGGAGATGGGTGTGGAATCAGACTAAAGTTGGCTGCCAGCATGTTTTCATGCAAACAGGCAAAATGTAGGGAATAATATGAATATTAGTGGTTATGATTATCATCTCATTTCAGGCAGACCTACAGTCCACTATTCTGCACGGTATACTTAGCACTGGACTATACATTTGTTAGGACATCTTGCTTCTAATTCTCCTCTATGATCGACTTTGATTGATATCAAGCAGATATTAAAATGCTTGGAATCTCAGCCTCCTCGTGTGTAAAATGAGTGTGTGATCTTTTTTTTTTTTTTTTTTTTTTTTTTTTTTGAGACAGAGTCTGGCTCCGTCCCCCAGGCTGGAGGGCAGTGGCGCGATCTCGGCTCACTGCAAGCTCCGCCTCCCGGGTTCACGCCATTCTCCTGCCTCAGCCTCCTGAGTAGCTGGGACTACAGGCGCCGGCCACCGCGCCCGGCTAATTTTTTTGTATTTTTAGTAAAGACAGGGTTTCACCATGTTGGCCAGGATGGCCTCAAACTCCTGACCTCGTGATCCGCCCACCTCGGCCTCCCAAAGTGCTAGGATTATAGGCTTGAGCCACCGAGCTCGGCCGTGTGTGATCATTTCTAAGGCCTCTGTGTTCTGCCATCCCCTGTTCTCTTGGTGCAGAAAGTAGAGGCTTGGAGAGAAGAGCGGCTGTCCTGTTTGGATGTGTTGGGCGCAGGGAGGACAAGCAAGAGCGATTTCCCTGCAAGAAACGGCCCGCGCTGCCCTCGCGGCTTCCTCTACCATCCAGTGCAGGGTCAGGGTGAGCCTTTCCCCAGAAACTCATTTTCATTTCTCTCAAACAGAACTCAAATAGGAGTCACAAAAGTGATGAAGGGGTGGGGAAATAGGACCCCAGGGAGACTTTAGGGGAAATGGATTATTTAGCCTGGAGAAAGAAAAGCTGAGAGGTGACTTCATAAAAGTCTTTCTTTGACTTTATAGCAGGTTAAAGGAAAAGTTTTCGAACTGTAAGAGAGATTGGTTATGAGATGGAGGCTTAGGCTGCGAGCTCTCTGAGGCTGGTGGGAGCTTGCTGGGAGGCAGGCACGGCCCGCTGGCAGGCACCGAGTCCTCTGTGCTTGGATGTGCACGTGAAGCCTCCAGCCAAGACCATGGCACAGGCACAGACCTCCCCTCAGCCAGGTCTCCTGCACAGGTGAGGTCTAGCCAGGCTCAGGGAAGAACCAGAGAGAAACACGCCCTCTTTCCTGCGGGCTGCTTCTCCTCGTCAAACATCTTTCAGGATTTGACACCCAAGCGTTCCAGCTCTGTGTTTTCTCTCACCCACACCATAGGTAATACAAATCAGCAAACATTTCTTGAATGCCTTTTACGGTTTGTGTCAATCTTTATTTTCCTTGATCTTCTTCAGATTTTCTGAAAATGTTGTATTCTAATCTACAAAACTAAAATGAAAATATCTTGACTTAAGACCTTGCAGAGTGATTGTCAGTCTAAAAGGAAAGGTTAGTCGGTGGGCTTCCCAAGCACCTCCCACAAGTTTGCTGCGGTGCTGAAGGAGCATGGTGGTGGTAACCTGCCACGGGCTCCTGCCCTCACAAGAGCCGCTTGTTAAATATTCAGGAATTTTGTGAGCCAGGCACTAAATCATTGGTAGTTTGAAACAGGCCATAGACGGAGTGTTTACAATGCAGAAATTGGCAAATGCTGCAAATCAAAGCTCCTCCTATTCCCCAGGAGAGACAGTTTCCTACAACATCCCTGGATATAAGCACTTTATGGAGGCTTATGCTTAGTTACGTTTGTTTTATTAAAGGGAAAGAATTCCAATGATAATATTTTTACAAATAGGTATATAGTTACAAATAGTTATTATGTCCATGTGTATGTTTTAAATATATATATGCATATATGTATTTAAAGATAAAATAAAATGTGCAGTGTTTTAAACAAAACATAAAATATATGCCAGAAAGCTTACATTTGTTCCTACTTTTAACAGAAAAATGTTAGCAGGACTGTATGCCTGTGACACAGATTTGTTTGTATGAGCGATTTTGTTAGCTTTTACTTTTCCTCATGTGACAGAAATGGAAACCAAGAAGCTCCTTATAGCACAGATTCTCTAATAGTCATGCATCACCTTCAGAGGGTCTCTGCTTTAGGAAACATCTATGAGGCTCTTTGTCAAGTTTCTTCTTCCCTGATTCTTTTTGGGGCCAAACTATGTCCAGGGAGGCTCTGACCTCCAGCCTGTGCACTGTGCTCCCTTCGTCGCCCCGGTAGTAGAGAGAATTTGTGCCACACATATCATTTTGAAAGTTACATTTGGGCCTTAGGAAACTATTTCATTAAAAAAATAGAAATTATTTTTTACATATTGGTACATATTAGTTATATTTCCAAAGGCTTGATAGTTGTTGATCTAGAAAACTTCTAGTAGTCAATACTGGAAGTTTTCATCAGAAAAAGGGACATGACTCACATACTTCCTCAGAACTGGCTGGATGAGATGGACTATCTTTGCAGGAGGCAGAGCTGAAAAAAAAATCTGAGCAGAACTAGAGGGTTGTCTTTTTTTCCCCCATGAAGCGTCCAGGAGACCAGCACACTTGTATTCTAGAGCAGTTGCAAAATTAAGCCTATTCAGTCTTCCGGGAAATCCATGGAAGATCAGCACTAGATAGGATCGGGAGACCCCTGAGTGACAGCACTCCTCAGAATCACAGTGAAACTCCAGCAGCAGCTGAGATAGAACAAGAAATACAAAAGTTAAAACCAGTCTGGTTGCAGGGGTTTGGGAAAAACTAAGAGAGCAGATTGGCTTACTCAATATGTGATTAAGCATTTCATTTCGGAGTAGCCTGGACTAGACCATGGAATGGAGCTGGGGGAGAACACCAGCAAAGCATTAGCAGGCAGAAAGGAAGTTATCCAGTCAGTCCTCTGTGGCAGTAGTTCAGTAGGAATTCTAAAATTAGATTCATTCTTTCCATTTGTTTTCTTTTTAATTGAATACTTCCAAAGCATCTGGGGATATAATAATAATGCATATAACATGTGTAATTCCAGGTTGGGTGTGGTGGCTCATGCCTGTAATCCTGGCAATTTGGAATGCCAAGGTGGGAGGATCTCTTGAGACTAGAAGTTCAAGATCAGCCTGGGAAACATAGAGAGATCCCATCTCTAAAAATAAATAAGAAATAAAAAATTGGCTATGTGTGGTGGTACACGCCTGTAGTCTCAACTACTCAGGAGGCTGAAGCAGAATGACCACTTGAACTCAAGAGGTTGGAGCTACAGGGAGCCAGGATCACCACTGCCCTTTCCAGCCTGGGCCACAGAGTGAGACTCTGTCTGAAAAAAATGTGTAATTCTGATGTGCACTGGATATAAGAGAACAGATTATTAATCCCACAACTCAAACATATGCTCTCTGAATGCAAAACCATTTTTACTATGGGATTCTCAGCACCTACAATAGTGCCTGGCACAGGTAGTGTTTGATGCATATTTGTTCAATGGGAAAAAAACAGCTTTAAGCAAGTCATCATTTCCCTCTGGGAACTAAATCCTCCCTATTATACAATTTAGGAGGTAACTGGTATGGTAAGAAAAACATGGATTTTGAAGTCAGTCAGAGTTTAGCTAAAATTTTTAACATATTAGCTTCAATAAGCCATTGTTGGTTTTTGATATTTGTTTTATGTAAAAGGGGGATGTTAACTATATTGTAAAATTCCTGTGGATGTAAATTAGAAACTATAGTACATATAAGTATATAGACATTATTTTAAATATAAACTACATTTAAAGTACTTATTATATTACCTCTAACATGGGATGCTTAAATAAATGTGGATTTCCCTCTCCGTCCCTTGGAATTTGGAATCCTATCTCAGGAAGACTGTATTAGTCTGTTTTCACGCAGCTAAAAAGAAATATCTGAGACTAGGTAATTATAAAGGAAAGAGGTTTAATTGACTCACAGTTCCACATGGCTGGGGAGGCCTCAGGAAACTTACAATCATGGCAAAAGGCAAAGGAGAAACAAGCACTGTCTTTACAAGTGGGGAGGAGAGAGAAGAATAAGAAGGAACTTCCAAACACTTGTAAAACCATAAGATCTTGTGAGAACTCACTCACTCTCATGAGAACAGTATGGGGGAAACCACCACCATGATCCAATCACTCTCTCCCTCAAGCTGTGGGGATTACAGGTCCCTCCCTTGACAATGTTGACATTACAATTTGAGATGAAATGTGAGTAGGGACACAGAGCCAAACCATGTAATTATTCCCCTGGCCCCTCACAAATCTCATGTTCTCACATTTCAAAATCTTCCCAATAGTCCTCCAAAGTCTTAACTCATTTCAGCATTAACTCAAAAGTCCACAGTCCAAAGTCTCACCTGAGACAAAGCAAGTTCCTTCCGCCTATGAGCCTGTAAAATCAAAAGCAAGTTAGTTACTTCCTAGATACAATAGGAATTCAGACTTTTGGGTAAATGCTCCCATTCTAGCTGGGAGAAATTGGCCAAAACAAAGGGGCTACAGACCCCACTGAAATTTGAAATCCAATGGGGCAGACATTAAATCTTAAAGATCTGAAATGATCTCCTTTGACTCCATGTCTCACATCTGGGGCATGCCAATCCAAGGAATGGTCTCCCACGGCCTTGGGCAGCTTCTTCACAGGCTGGCATTGAGTGCCTGTGGCTTTTCCAGGCTCACTGTACAAGCTGTCTGTGGATCTACCATTCTGGGGTCTAGAGGATGGTGACCCTCTTCTCACAGCTCCACTAGGCAGTGCCTCAGTGGGGACTCTGTGTGGGAGCTCCAGCCCCACATTTCCCTTCTGCACTACCCCATCAGAGGTTCTCCAAGCTGCAGACTTCTGCCAGGACATTGAGGCATTTCCGTACATCCTCTGAAATCTAGGCAGAGGTTTCCAAACCTCAATTCTTGACTTCTTTGTACCCACAAGCCCAACACCACATGCAAGGCACCAAGGCTTGGGGCTTGCACCCTCTGAAGCAATGACCCCTTTTAGTCATAGCTGGGATGAAGAGTACCAGGTCCAGAGGTTGCATAGAGCAATGAGGCCCTGGGCCTGGCCCAAGAAAATATTTTTTCCTCCTAGGCCTCCAGGCTGTGATGTGAGGGGCTGCCACCAACGTCTCTGACATACCCTGGAGACATTTTCTCCATTGTCTTGGCAATTAACATTCAGCTCCTCATTACTTATGCAAATTTCTACAGCCAGCCTGAATTTCTCCACAGCATTTTTTTTTTTCCTATAGCCCTGTCAGGCTGCAAATTTTCTAAACTTTATGCTCTCCTTCCCTTTTAAACATAAATTCCAATTTCAAATCATCTCTCTCAAGTTCAAAGTTCCACAGATCTTTAAGGCAGGGACAAAATATTGCCAGTGTCTTTGCTAAAGCACAGCAAGAGTGACCTTTGTTCCAGTTCCCAATAAATTCCTTGTCCCCACCTGAGACTACCTCAGCCTGGACTTCATTGTCCACATGATTATCAGCATTTTGGTCAAACCATTCAACAATTGTCTAAGAAGTTCCAAACTTTCCCACATCTTCCTGTCTTCTTCTGGGCCCTCCAAATTGTTCCAAACTCTGCCCATTACCCAGTTCCAAAGTCACTTTAACATTTTCTGTATCTTTATAGCAGTGTCCCACTCCCAGTACCAATTTTATGTATTAGTCTGTTTTCACACAGCTATAAAGAAATACCCATGACTGGGTAATTTATAAAGAAAAGAGGGTTAATTGACTCACAGTTCCATATGGCTGGAGAGGCCTCAGGAAACCTGCAATCATGATGGAAGGGCAAAGGGGAAACAAGCACCTTCTTCACAAGAGGGCAGGAGAAAGAAGGACAAAGGAAGAACTTCCAAACACTTATAAAACCATCAGATCTCATGATAACTCACCACTATCATGAGAATAGCATGGGGAAACTACCCTCATGACCCAAACACCTCCCTCCCTCTACTCCCAGGGATTACAATTCGAGATGAGATTTGGGTGGTGACACAGAGCTAAACCATATCAGAGACCTTACTTGCTAATGGGGAGGGGTATTGCTTTGGCAGGACCCAGGCACAGTGGAGTCACAGGTACCATGTCCTCATGAACATTTGGGAGGATGCAAGCAAAAACTTCGTCATGAAAACTGCTCCTATGTTTTATTCCAATAATTCATTTGCACTATGAGGAAATGTGTTGAACAAAATTCTGTTATTCATGAACACAATTTCAATATCTATGAATTAATGATACCTTCCTGAGTATATAGATATACATGAGCTAGGAAAGTGAAGCCTGGTGTGCAAGTAGAAAGTGTGCTCAATAAGCACCCAGCTCTGTCTTCATGGTCTTGATGAAACCACTCAGTACAATTAAGTGATTGGACTGAGTAGCTGCACTGTAATTTTGTTTTCTTAAAGAATCTTACCAATAACCATTCAGTTTCACCATTTAATGGTTGACCTGACTCTAGTTCAGTCACCTAATACCATTGTTAAGAATTTATTTCTCAGTGATTAATACTTATTTATTCAACAACCAAGTATTTACTAATCTTGTACCTTGTGCAGAGCTCCAAGAATGTAAACATAAAGATGGCATAGTCCCTGCCTTTCTGTCTGGTGAGGATAAAGTCATGCAGTTAGTTCATCTCAGCGCAGTGTGCAGACTGGCCCAATGCTGAGGCATGCAGGGGGCTCTAGGAGAACCGATGGACTGGGACAAAAGCCTTTTAGGGAATTGGGAACGGAAATAACACTGAATTGAGACTTAAAGTACTTCAGGCTGAGAGAGCAATGAGCCCCTTTGCAGGACCAAGCCCCTCAAGAACTAATGCTGCATGTACCGCGTGAGTCCTCTGAAACACTAGCACTGAGCGCTCTCAGGGGTTCACTGTGGCTGGCGCTCAGACATAAACACCTTTGGTGCTTTTCTTAGCTGTTCATGTCTCTTGTGAATTTGGCCAGGGCATTGCATCTCGCTAATTCATTTCCATACTCTGAATGCTTTTTAGAGAGCCTATGCCTTAAAAGATCTTTGCCCACAGGAGGAGAGGGAGCATGGTTTAGGAAGTGCATTAGAAATACGCTTTTAATGCTTGATGCATTGTATGTAAGTAAGAATGTCTCAGTCTGGACTCCTGACAATAATAAAATTACAGCTTTATTTACAGCACGGAGCTGTTGCCGCCGATGACGTATGACTGCAATACATTACTCAAGTGAGGAGTTCCCCTGATCCGTGTTTCAAAAGAGATGAGAAACGCTTCAGTACCAGGTTGCATTAATTAAGCAGGAAAGGCTAAAGAAGAGTGACAGAGACTTCAAAATAAAGATACAAGTATGAAAGTGCTCTGGGCTCTTAAATATATATATATATATTTTTTTTACCTGTACGTTCTTCCAAAAACATCCACAACTAAAAAAAGTGTAAATTAGTTCAGCCATTGTGGAAAGCAGTGTGGTGATTTCTCAAAGAAGCCAGAATTACCATTTAACCTGGCAATCTCATTATAGGGTATACACTCAAATGAATATAATTCATTCTATGATAAAGACACATGCACACATATGTTTATTACAGCACTATACACAATGGCAAAAAAATGGACTTAACCTAAATACCCATCAATGGTAGACTGGCTAAAGAAAATTTGGTACATACACACCATGGAATACTATGCAGCCATACAAAAGAATGAGATCGCATCCTTTGCAGCAACATGGATGGAGCTGCAGACCATTATCCTAAGCAAAATAATGCAGGTATGCAAAATCGAATACCCTTATGTTCTTATTTACGAATGGGAGCCAAACAACGAGAGCACATGGTCACAAAGAGGGGACTAACAGACACCAGGGCCTGCTTGAGGGTGGAGATTGGGAGGAGGCAGAGGATTAAAAAACATGCCTATGGGGTCCTATGCTTATTACCTGGGTGACTAAGTAATGTGTACACCAAACCCCGGCGACATGTAGTTTACCTAGATAACACTCTGCAAATGTACCTCTAACCATGAAATCAAAGTCGAAAAACAAAACAACAAAAAATAATGCCCTTGACTTCTTAAGGAATCAACTTACCTGCTATTTTCATTAAACACTTAGGAGTACCACTGTTGATTTCTCTCTGGCAATTGACCTGGGAAAGAAGCTTTTGAATAAATTAAAATTATGTCACCAGTGTTTAGAATGTTAATAAGGCAGGATAGCATATATGATAGGAACATGAATATGAATTTGGAAAAGAGGCAGATCTTAGTTCTTTTTTTGTTTTTTGGCTCTACCACTGTGTGACTCTGCCAGTATTATTGACTCTTTCTTTTTTGTTGTTGTTGTTTTTTGTTTTGTTTTGTTTTGTTTTTGAGACAAATCTCACTGTGCTGTGCAGGCTGGAGTGCAGAGGCACAATCATGGCTCATTACAACCTCAACATCTTGAGCCCAAGATATCCTCCCAGCTCAGCATATTGAGTAGCTGGGACTACAGGTGCACATCATGACACCTGGCTACGTTTTTTTTTTTTTAGTTAGGGGGGTTGGGTAGAGACAGGTTTCTCCATGTTGCCCAGGCTGGTCTTGAACTCCTGAGCTCAAGCAGTCCAGCCACCTCGCCCTCCCAAAGTGTTGGGATTACAGGTGTGAGTCACTGTGCTGGCCTATTTACCCTTCCTGACCAGCAATTTCCTCTTCTTGGAAAACAATAGAGAAACAATCTATAGCAGAGAGTTGTTATAAAGTTTAAGTAAAATAAAATAGGTAATATGCCAATTCAGGGCATGCATACAGTAAATACTCATTAAGTATCAGCTCTTAATTATATTATTTTAAAAGAAAGATGCATATTCCTAACAGAAATATAGACAACCTACGTAGACATGTGTTATAAAGTCAGCAGGTATCTGCTGTTATCAGCTGACTCTACGTTTATTTAAAAAAACAGAATAAAATAGAATTATCTTTAACCAGATGGCTGTTGGTTAACTTTCAGGCAAAAACCATATTAGTAAGGAATTCATAACATTTTAAAACCTAGGGGATTTCTTACACTTTTAGAAGTAGCTATCAGTGCAAATTTATAGTATTGTAGAAGCAGGGAAGGGTGCCTTAGTCTCTCAGCTATGTGACGTTGGACAAGTCATGTAATTGCTTGACAGCTCCAAAGCTTCTTTTCTACAGCCACGAAATACGAATGATTTCTTAAAAATGTCTTTTTCCCTCCCACCATGTGAGGACACCTCAAGAAGGTGTTGCTGTCTTTGATAATGTAGGCCCTCCTGGGCGTGGTGGCTCACACCTGTAATCCCAGCACTTTGGGAGGCCAAGGTGGGTGGATCACTTGAGGTCAGGAGTTGGAGACCAGTCTGGCTAACATGATGAAACACTGTCTCTACTAAAAATACAAAAATTAGTCAGGTGTGGTAGCAGGTGCCTATAGTCCCAGCTACACGGGAGGCTGAGGCAAGAGAGTTGCTTGAACTAGAGAGGCAGAGGTTGCAGTGACCTGAGATCACACCACTGCACTCCAGCCTGGTTAACAGAGTGAGACTCTGTCTCAAACAAAACAAAACAAAACAAAACAAAACAAAACAAACAAACAAACAAACAAAAAGAGAATGTGGGCCCTTACCAGACACTGAATCTGCTGGCACCTCGGCCTTGGTCTTCACCACTTCCAGAGCCATAAGAAATAAATATGTGTTGTTTATAAGCCACCTAGTTCATGGTATGTTGTTATAGCAGCTTGAGTGGACTAAACACATGGAAATTAATGTAATCCTCCCAATAAACCCTCTTTTATAGCTGAGGAAGCTGAGCCTCTAACAGATCAAGTTATAACACTTGCCAGAGTCCCACTTCCAGGAGGTGTCACAGCTGATTCTTCCTTCTGTGCACTTTGTATTATTATAGCTCTGCTTAATTTTATGTCTTTCGTACCCCACTGTCATATTATATAATTGTGCATGAAAATATTTAGCCTTGGGTGATGGTGTTTCTTGATTATACAAACTGATAAATGAATCAGTCACATGTGGGTTTTTGTTTTGTTTGAGTAGGGTCCCCTCTGTCACCCAGGCTGCAGTGCAGTGGCACAATTGTAGCTCACTGCAGTGTCGAGCTCCTGGGCTCAAGCCATCTTCCCACATCAGCCTCCCAAAATGCTGGGATTACAGGCCTGTGCCACTGAACCCAGCCATATGAGTTATTTTTTTAATGTTTTAATGCACACATGAAATAACAGAAGTATTTGTAGATACCTACATTTGGTAATTGTATACACAAAATGTTTTTGTAGCATTATTCTTTATAAATATTAATAAGTACACATTTGAAAAATAAATGAACATTTACCTTTAGTCTATAAGCATGCTTATATACACAGTTCTTTTGCTGTTAGTCTTATAGGCAAAAAAAAAAAAACTGTGTATATAAGAATGCTTAAGAATGATTTTCCTCTTTTCACATTTTCCTCTTTGCAGTATTGTAGTGGTTTGAGAAGGTACTGTTAACATTCTGATAAGTGAAGTTAAAAATTAACCTGTCTCCTGTTTAAGCAAAGTGAGATTAGGGATCACTGAGGAAAAGCTTCACATTAGATGCAGAAAAGTAGCATGAGTCAGATGCAGGACATGCCAGGTGAAAAGAAAAAAGAGAAAGAAAAAAAAAGGAGGAAAAAAATGATTTAAGCTTCGTAAAGAGAAGGAATCTGATGATCCTTAGAGAATTACTGGGATAGTGCTTCAGGATAGAGCATATGAGGAAACTAGAGTCCATGTGAGCCATAAGGTACACATCCAGCAGGCAAGTATAACCTGAGAATTGACCAGACTTCAGGGCTCAAGACCGTGCTGTGGGGCAGACACAAACCAGCCACGGAGAGAGTATCAGGTGTGGAGACCGCAGGTGAACGAACTTGAGACTGCAGATGCATGAACTTGCCTCACTTTCAAGGTGTTGTCCACAAGGATGGTACAGCCATTGGCTGCACTCATTTCCTACCTCATTTATCTTTTATAAAATCATATCCCGCAGACCTGGTATTCATAGGGATACAGGTGTCATCAGAATCTCACACAACATATATCAAGTTCAGCCTATTGATACCAAAGAGAGTGATTTCATGTATAAAGAAACAACGCAGGGCATTGTTGAGAAATTGGCTTCAACGTTTAAAAAAGTTGGTGTTGAGCCTCCCTGTGTGAGGGCTCAGACAAGAACTGAGACCACGCTCCCAAATTGTCTGTTGAGTGAACAGTATCCCAATATTGTCAGGAATCTTGGTGCAGCAACAATTGAGAAATCTTTCTCTTTTTCTCCATGCTACTCCTTCTGTGCTAGAGGCTAGGATTACTCAACTCCATTCCAGGTGCATGACTGAATTCACCTTTCTCCTCACCGTCCTGGGATAATTGTGAAACAGAGATTGTTTCTGCTCAAATACTTAAAGCCCGTGTTCTCTGGCACACTTGATGATAGGATTTCACTTGCCTTTATTAGGTTTACAATATTCAGATACTGTATAAAAGAACCATTGTTTTACTGGGTTGGAAAAATAAATTAAGTCTTTGAGTGGTGGATGACTTTGATAAGAAACCCTGCTTGTGGATACATAGGGAGTTGATATTTTTGAAGTCTATTTAACAGAAGCCGGGACTCTCCAGTTTGCCTGAAAGTTCAGGCGAATGCACAGGCGGCCACCGACTCTGTGGCTCAGAGTAGCTTTTCTGCTCCGTTTGTTAAATGGGGTGTTAGTTTGCAGTACAGTGATTTAAAACCTGAGTTCTCCGTAGGCAACATCACTCCTGTGTGCAGTGAGGATTTCAGCTTGCATTCCTGTGCCAGTTAAAATCAAACCTTTCTTTTGTGGCAAATCAATTGCTAGCACTTTGGAAGGATTCTAATGAAAGAACTCAATCCAAGGTTATTCAAGAGTGAGATTTCTCTGTAGGCCAAAATTCATTGGCTGGGCTGTTTGTCCTGGCAATGAGTTAACCTCAGTTAAGAAACTAGAGACAATAAAAGAAATAATTAAAAACAGAGAAAAAAACTGAAATTAGCATTTGTTGAATGTCTACTTTCTATGCTGAGTCTTACACGGTGCCATGATCTGAGTGTTTGTGCTCTGCCCCTGTTCATATGTTGAAACCTAATCCCCAGTGTATTAAGAGGTGGGGCTTTCAGGAAGTGTCTATGCCATTAGGGTGGAGCCCTTGAAAGTGGCATCAGTGCCCTTAGAAAAGAGGTCCCAGGGAGTTGGCTTGCTCCTCCCATCATGTGAGGACACAGCAAGAAGCCAGTGCTGTCTAACAGAATGTGGGCCCTCACCAGACGCCAAATCTGCTGGCATCTTGGAGTTGGACTTCCCAGAAATAAATATTTGCTGTTTATACGCCACTCGGTCAATAGATATTTTGTTAGAACAGCCTGAATGGACTAAGACACATGGAAATTCACTTGGTCCTCTTAATAACCCCCTTTTGTAGTTGAGGAAGCTGAGTCTCTGACTGATCAAGTTACATGTCAAAGTCCCATTCCTAGGAGGCAAGAACTGATTTTGAAGTCTAAGCACTTTCTATCAGCTCTGCTTAACCTTATGTCTTTCATGCACCACTATCATATTATAGAGTAGTACATGATGGTACATAACCTTGGGTGATGGTGTTTCTTGACCATTCAAATTGATAAACGAATTACTCATATGTGGGTTTTTTAAAATCTTAACACACATGTTAAAAAACAAAACGAAGATATTTGTAGATGCCTACATTTGATAGTTGTATACACAAAATATTTTGTGACATTATAATTCTTTACAAAAATTACTAATTATAAATTTGGAAATTAGTGGACTTTTCCCTTTAACCTTACAAACTATGCACTTTCAGTCTTACAGACTAAAGGCAAAAGAAACTGTATATAAATACTGTGCTACAACTGATAAAGTTGTTCTTCATGGGAGCATAGGTTAACAGCTCTGATATGAAGATGAAAACTTAAGTAAATGGATGCAGAATAATGAGTCTAGTTTCTCATTGTTGGAGTGGGAATTTTCATATTAGCAAGGACAGAAGGCTAGAATAATTCATGTGGTAATAGATTATAGTTGAAGACATCAAATAAACTCATGATTAGCTTAGTATACATACAGAGGGTTACAAATATTGATAGATACACATATACACATAGACTAATATACACACATATATTCCTTTGCTCTGCCAGCTGAAAAGACATAGAAATAATAATATCCCATAGTAATGAGCATACCTAATGCCCAGATCTTGATTTCTATTACCACTTTCAACAAGAATCAGGGATCCTTGCATAGATGGCTTGATTTAAACCCAGGGCAGAAATTTTACATGACCCCTTTGCATCTTGTAGCACCAGAAATAATGTAGTATATGTGCGTGTGAGTATACACATTTAATGTGTACATGTACATATTATCTTCATGTATGTTATATATATAGATCTAAGTGTGCATAGATAGATATGAATAAACAATACAAAAACAAAAACAAAACAAAACACAGTGATGGGACACAGGATTCAACAGAAAGAGCTTCCAGTGGCCAAAGCTGGAACAAATTAAGCAACAAAGTAAAAAAAGTAGTAGTGTGTTACAACTTAATTAGAAAATAAATATCCATGAGTTAATACTGGTATAAGTAAATGGCTGAATAAATAAATGGGAAAGAATACACAAATATCCCTTGCAGAAAAATTCCAAATAATGTATGGAGACACTCAGGGAGATGGATCATGGCTCCCCACTCTTTAAGGATGGCATGGGTTACACATGGTGACTTGCTTCCCAATGTTATAGTATGGAAAGGGGGAAAAAGAGGAACTCTACAGTGAAGAAAGCTGACAAATAGTACTTCAGTGAGGTAATCAAAGTCAACATAACAGTGATTAGTGATGTTGCTAGTATGTGTTCTTTATGTGATGTGATAATAACCCACTTAACCTCTGTGGCCTTCTTCCCTCAAACTGAATAAAACATCAGAAAATCTAAATCGAGGCACAGTAGCTCTCACCTGTAATCCCAGCACTTTGGGAGGCCGAGGTGGGTGGATCACCTGAGGTTGGGAGTTTGAGACCAGCCTGACTAACATGGAGAAACCCCATCTCTACTAAAAATACAAAATTAGCTGGGCATAGCAGCGCATGCCTGTAATCCCCACTACTTGGGAGGCTGAGGCAGGAGAATGGCTTGAACTTGGAAGCTGGAGGTTGCGGTGAGCCAAGATCGTGCCATTGCACTCCAGCCTGGGCAACAAGAGCAAAACTCTGTCTTAAAAAAAAAAAAAAATTAACTGGGTGTGGTGGCATCAGATGTAATCCCAGCTAATCGGGAGGCAGGAGAATCGCTTGAACCCGGGAGGCAGATGTTACAGTGAGCCGAGATTGCACCACTGTACTCCAGCCTGGGCAACAGAATGAGACTCCATCTCAGAAAAAAAAAAAAAAAAGAAGAAGAAAATCTAAATTGAGGGACATTCTATAAAATACCTTTATTAGTATATCTCAAAATTGTCAGGGTCTTCAAAAACTAGAGAAGTCTGAAAAGAGTGATAGTAAAGAGAAATCTGAGGAAACATGACAACCAAATGTCATGTGTTGTCCTGGAACAGAAATAGGACATTAGGTAAAAAGCTAAAGACATCTTAGTAAAGTAGAGACTTCCTTTAGTTAAAGTCTATCAGTACAGATTCATCAAGGATAACGAATGGTCCGTACGAACATAAGGCTTTAAAAACACAGAAAACTGGGTGTGGGGTATATGAAAACTGTATTATCTTTGCATTTTTGTCAACAGCCTAAAACTGTTCTGAAGTAAAAAGTAAAATGTTTATTTTTTAAATAAATAGACTTTTAAACTTCCAATAGATTAAATGATTGAATACATTTTTAACCTAGGATCGCTGTCCTTTTCAAATGGTACAATCAGACTTACAGGTAGGGTCCAGGCCGAGATGATGTTGGAGCACAGAGGAGACCCAAGGCCTTCCGCAAGGCTGCGGGGACATAACACTGCCCCTGTCCTGGTCAAAGGCCAAGGTGCTGCCTGCACTGACCAGCTGGCCCCAGAATGTGGGCTTCCTCTTGCACTTCTCTGCCCAGGATCTAAAAAGCAGAGAGTTTGTCTTGAAGCCCACTTAATAATCTGGCCCCTGGGCACAAGAATAGAAAAGACAGTATGGTTGTGGGTGTGTGGCATCCTTCATGGGAAATAGCTTCAAGACTTATTGGGGAACCAGCCCCCAATATTTCAACATAGGTTCTTTTCTATTTTCCTTAAGTGTCGGCTGATCTGAGAAATAAAGAGAAAGAGTACAAAGAGAGAAATTTTACAGCTGGGTGTCCAGGGGTGACATCACATATTGGTAGGACTGTGATGACCACCTCAAGCTGCAAAACCAGCAAGTTTTTCTTAGGGATTTTAAAAGCGGAGGGGGTGTATCAACAGGGAGTAGGTCACAAGGATCACATGCTTCAAAGGGCAATAAAGATCACAAGGCGAAGGCAAACTTAGAATTACTGATGAGAGTCTATGTCCCACTGTGCACAAATTGTCTTGATAAACATCTTAACAGGAAACAGGGTTTGAGAGCAGAGAATGGGTCCGACTAGAATTTACCAGGCTGGAATTTCCCAATCCTAGTAAGCCTGAGGGTACTACAGGAGACCAGGGCGTATTTCAGTCCTTATCTCAACTGCATAAGACAGACACTCCCAGAGTGGCTGTCTATAGACCTACCCACAGGAATGCATTCCTTCCCCAGGGTTATTCCTTGCTGGGAAAATAATTCAGTGATATTTCTCCTACTCGCACATCCATCAATAGGCTTTCTGCAAGAAGAAAAATATGGCTATATTCTGCCCGATCCAGCAGGCAGTCAGACCTTATGGTTTTCTTCCCTTGTTCCCTGAAAATTGCTGTTATTCTGTTCTTTTCAGGGTGCACTGATTTCATATTGTTCAAACACACGTTTTACAATCAGATTTCATATTGTTCAAACACACATGTTCTACAATCAATTTGTACAATAGTGGTCCTAAGGTGACGTACATTCCCAGCTTATGAAGATAACAGGATTAAGAGATTAAAGTAAAGACAGGCATAAGAAATCATAAGAGTATTATTAGGGAAGTGATAAATGTCCATGAAATCTTCACAATTTATGTTCAGAGATTGCAGTAAAGACAGGTGTAAGAAATTATAAAAGTATTAATTTGGGGAACTGATAAATGTCCATGAAATCTTCACAATTTATGTTCTTCTGCCTCGGCTCCAGCCAGTCCCTCCATTCGGGGTCCCTGACTTCTCCAACAAAGACCCATGACTTCTGACCCATAGGGACTGATTTTTTAGGCAGGCGTTCTGGGCTGTGTGTTTTAATCATGCATTAGTATCTGTAGAAAGAATCGTTTTTGTTTTCTTGCTGCACAATAAAGTGAAGATTCTAGTTTATGTACTAAACTCTGTATTGATTGGACTAAACCCTACTAAGTGACTGATAAAATATTTACAGAGGGGCAGTTTTTTCTTCCATGTATTACTTTGACATTACTTTCTTCCCAGAATGTTGTACCTTGCTTACAAAGATATATTCAATGATATTAAGAAAAATAGGAAAAATCAAAAGCCATGAATGAAGTGAAGGCAAAGGGTATAAAGAAAGATAAAACTTGAGGTTGGGCACGGTGCTCATGTCTATAATCCCAGCACTTTGGGAGGCTGAAGTGGGCAGATCACTTCGGTCAAATGTTCAAGACCAGCCTGGTCAACATGGCCAAACCTTGTCTCTACTAAAAGTACAAAAACTAGCTGGGGGTGGTGGCACATGCCTGTAATCCTAGCTGCTTGGGAGGCTGAGGCAGGAGAATCACTGGAACTTGGGAGGCGGGAGTTGTAGTGAGCTGAGATCATGCTACTGCATTTCAGCCTGGGCAACAGAGCCAGACTCAGTCTCAAAAAAAAAAAAAAAGAAAGATAAAAGTGAAACCAAGGATGAGAGATTAGTCCATAAAAGCCTGCTGTGAGGTTCTGGTAGTTTTGAATGAGAGACACAAAATATGGTTATAAATTTTCTAGCAATCAACATATGGAAGAAAACATAATGAGATGTGTAGTTCATACTGAGATAAAATGGGTCAGTTGGAACATAATACCATGAAGGTTTTTAGGATTCTGTTTCTTGCTCTGCCTACTGGTTGCAAAGGTATGCAGTTGGTGAAAATTTGTTAGGCTCTATACCTCTGCCACATGAAATTTTTTTGCTGTACATTTTACCTCAGTAAGTTTTAAAGTTAATGTAAAAGATTCAAGTTGAGTAGATGTTGGAAAATAAGCAAAGGGGATATTCGATAAAGTACATTTCTTCAGACGTTAGGAAGAGACAAAAATCAGTAGCTTCAGTTTCTTTTTTCCAACAAATTCTTTTGAGGAAAGTGCTATGCAACAGGGTGAATTATCCACATCCTATTCACCTTTCATCCCTGCCTGCTTAAAATAAATACAATGCATTTCATGGGGATGTTTGTTTACATTTCTCAGTGAAAGCCTATGGCATCATGACAAAGCCATATTTACTAAAATTCCATGAGCATGGCCCCTGTTGTGGCTCTGAGTTCTTTCACAAGACAGGCTGCCTCATTCCTGGGCTGCAGTAGAGCCTCCTACTCCCTTCTGACTTGTATTCTTATTTCACCACTGTCTATTTGTCCTACAGTGGACGGAACTGTGACTCCCAGTGTGAATCCCATGGCCTGTCCCAGCCACTTGCTGACATCTTTTCCTAGCACTGACCCCTATGTGACCATGCTCTGGTCACAGTAACTGAGCAAGGGGCTCATCGTCACCTTTTCTTCCCCTCTTGTGCACCCGCTGTTTCCTCCGCCTGTGTTGTCTCTCCTCGGGTCTCCACTGCTCTGCCTCCTTCTCAGCATGCAGGTCCCAGTGCCAAGATCCTCTCTCCAAAACCTTTCCAGATGATACCCCTCCTCCTCACTTCTCCAATCTACAGTAATTCAAGTTAATTTTTCTCATAACATTTGTTAATATTTGAAATTATATATATAGAAAATTCCAAATATTTCCAATATATAAAATTTTAAATATTAACAAATGTTATGATAAAATTAACTTGAATTAATGTAGATTGAATATATAACATATATTACCTATTTAATGTTTATCTTTCCCAAAGAGAATATATGTTTTTTAAACAGAAATATAGCCTATCAGAATTCTAGAACAGTACCTTGCATATGGTAGAGACAAATATTTGTTGAATAAAGAGGAATTGAAGGCAGACTGAAGTGGCTCACACCTGTAATCCCAACACTTTTTGAAGCTGAGGCAGGAAGATCACTTAAGTTCAGGAGTTTGAGACCAGCCTGGGATACATGGCAAAGCCCTGTCCTACAAGAAATACAAAAATTAGATGGGAAGGGTGGGGTGTGCCTGTAGTCCCAGCTACTTGGGAGGCTGAGGTGAGAGGATCACTTGAACCTGGGAAGTGGAGGTTGCAGTGAGTCATGATGGCACCACTACACTCTAGCCTGGGCAGCAGAGCAAGACTCTGCCTAAAAAAAAGAAAAAAGAGAGAATGAATGAATGAAGAATAAATGCAGTGCATAGATTAATAGATTAAATGTATATCTTTCTCCTAATTTTCCCTAAATATTGTTATTCTCAAATAAGCTTTTGACAAATATGAAATGGGGCATTGATTCTGTAAAAAGTAAAGTGGAGGTACCTCTTCAAAGACTTTCCTCCCTGTCTAATTAGGAATAAATAGTAACTTCTCTTAGAAGCAAAATTTATTCAAAGACCTGTGCTAACATTCTTAAATATCTGCTAGCCGTAATGAAGAAATCAATGTACTTTATGTTCTTAGCTCCCACAGTTTAGCCTAAATATTTGCCTTGGCGTGCTTATACTGGTCCAAGGAAGCATTAGGTCATAGCCTGTTCCTCTTCCTTATTTGAAGGTGTTTTTACCTTTCTCAGCATTCCACAAGTTAATTCCTCCTTCCTTTGTTCTCCTCTGCCTTTGCCTTTTTAAAAAAATTCTAAGTTGCCAGCCAATCAGGAAAAATATAGAATGTGAGGTCACGTTCCAGCCAATACAAACCAGACACAGCAGTAAGGTGGACGCATCAAGTTATAAACGATCCTGTCTCCTTTATCTGGTGTACTCTCATGGCAAAACTGCTAGCGAGTGTACCCTTTCTGCAGAAAGTATAGAAATGGCCTTGCTGAAGAAATTAAACTTAGGTTCAAGTGCTATTTCTTTATGGCACCAGAGAATAGGCATTTCAAACGATTCCAAGGTTATTCTCTTTAATAAATGCCTGGTATGTACCTATTCTTGGCTGCTGGATATGTAAAACACCCTAAATTTCTTCAGTGCACAAGCTAGTAATTATTTGGTATTATCTGAAAACTATTATTCAATAAATAAAAGTTCACTGCAACCAACCATAGAGCGTTTCTAGAATTTGCTGGTTAAAATGAGCTTTGACTGAAAGTCCCCTGTGTATTAGTCTGTTTTCACACTGATAGAAAGAACTACCTGATACTGGGTAATTTATAAAGAAAAAAGTTTGATTGACTCACAGTTCCTCATGGCTGGGGAGGTCTCAGGAAACTTACAATCATGGCAGAATGCAAAGGGGAAGCAAGGACCTTCACATAATGGCGGTAGAGGGGTGGGGGGGAACTTTTAACCAACACTTATAAACCAACAGCTTTCATGAGAACTCACTCACTGTCACAAAAACAGCATAGGGGAAACCGCCCACATGATCGAATCACTTCCCACCAGGTCCCTACCCACACATGTGGGGATTACAATTCTACATGAGATTTGGCTGGGGACACAGGGCCAAACCAAACCCTGTATACTTCTGTATCAGCCCCCTAGATATCTGCTTCAGAGCTTATGATTGAACTCATGCTTGTGCCTTTCTGCCTTGAACAGCTTAAAAAATGTCTGCTCATCTCTGTTGTGTCTTTCCTTCCCCACTGAGGGTTTTCTGCAAATGAATTTAGTAAATGTGTAGAGTTTATATTTTATTTAGATTAGTGTATTCTCCTAATTTGAAGACAATCCCTCCAGCTGTTTTTCTAAGATGCAGTAACAGAACAAAGGTATAAATGGAATTGTTCTTAAGCATACTAGAGCCGTAGTAGCAGGAAACAAACACATACCTGGAATTCAGAACTCCTAGAATGCCTGGTCCTCTTTTGTGAAGTGGTGACCGTTGCATTATCTCCTTGAAAGTGCTACAAGCAGCTTGAAGGAACCAGTTAGGGCTTGATGAATTGTACTGAGGACACTGGGTGTGGTATGGTAGCTGGGTGTGGGAGAAGCTGTCCAGGGCCAATGCAGTGAGCAGAATCCTCTCACAACAGCAACTTAAGCTGGGCACAGTGGCTCAACCCTGTAATCCCAGCACTTTGGGAGGCCAGGGCAGGTGGATCACCTGAGGTCAAGAGTTCGAGACCAGCCTGATCAACATGGTGAACCCTGTCTCTACTAAAAATACAAAAATTTCAAAAACAAGCCAGGTGTGGTGGCTTATGCCTGTAGTGTTAGCTACTTGGGAGGCTGAGGCAGGAGAATCGCTTGAACCCAAGAGGCAGAGGTTGCAGTGAGCCAAGATCACACCACTATACTCCAGCCTGGGCAACAGAGTGAGACTCTGTCTTAAAAAAAAATCAACCTAAAAGGAGCTATTTGTAAGCACACATGATGTAACTCTAATAAATTTGAACAAGGACAGAAGAGTTTGAGATGTGGTGTCAGACATATACGCTAAAGGCTGAGCAATCAATTTAATTTTTGCAACTGCTACTAATATAGAGACCATCTTTTCCTCCCACCTGGTATAGTTCTGGAAAATGTGGGTGGAAAGGATATATGTAAATTGTTGTTCTTTGCAAGCAATCCCAAGCCTCTTGAAGGAATGTCTTCTCTGTCTGTATCTCCTTGACACCTATCCCTTCCTTTTCTCTATCCCAGCACACATCACCTCACTGGAGTCTTGGTTGACTTTTTCATATCACCCACTACGCTATGACTCTTTGAAAGTGTGGTGAATAACATTTTATCTCCACAATCTTCCACATGGCCAGAATCAGAGTAGACAGTCATTAAATCCTCATTGAATGAAGACCTGTGTTATTTCCTAGAATGCTTTGAGAGAATGCGTCTAGGAGTTGAATGCTACATTTATAATTTAGGGACTAAATGGGTATGGTTGAAGGGAAAGGTAGTTATAAAAAATTTGAGGAGTAAGCAGAGCCAAATTCTTATGAATATATATGATGGTATTTTTATTTTTTTATGGCAGGAAAAAGCTCTAATAACTTACCTTACAGCTTACAAAAACCCACTTTGACTTAAATTCTAAACTTTAGCATTACCGTATATTAAATCAACACACAACATACCTAGTTGTTAATATCCAACTTTGCTTTGGGAATCCATAGAATTACCTTTGTGTTACTCTACTACATGAATGCATTGAAAATAATACAATAACCATTTAAGGAAGATTAAGCAGAAGGGTTATTGTAATCTGAATACATGAGTGAGTAGCTCTTTAAAATAAATATCCATTAAATAACAGGAGTATGTATTTGAATCTTATCAAAGTGCTTTAAGGCAACCACAGTTAATGAGTTGATCATTATTACTCTTAAAAAATCGTAGCTATCCAGGGAAATGGCTATTTCTTTGAGTGGAACTATTACAATCTATTCACTCAGGAAACAGATAACTATTTTGTAAGGTTTCCTTTTAAGTTATGACTTTTTAAACTAAGAACTCAAGATCACTAAGATAAAAATTAGTAGCCGTGTTTTTAGATGTTCTATAGCTGTGTGGCCTCTCTAGGCCTCTGAGTCCATCTCTACATTGAAGTTAATAATGCCCATATATCCTTTGTCAAATTAATGTGATGTTTTTTAAAGTATTTTATATGTTATGAAATACTGCAAGAGCTTTGATATCATCTTTCTTAGTATTACCATAATGAAAACATTAGCACAACTTTAGATAATGCCCTCAGCCTAGAGCTCAACTGAGGGTATTGCAGCTACCTTGGAGACAATCCTGAGAAGGAGGAACACCATTCTTGCCAATTCTACCAGAGGATCTAGGAGTCCGGGGAGAAAGTGAGGACATTATTGTTATTCCTATGTGGGTGCATATCTGTCTGACTTTACCTACAGAAGAAATAGACATGGCTCCTTGTTTTGTGATGCAGGTAGGATACCTTACTGTGTATTTCCTCAGGATCCCTATGCAGCCCTTGATGGGACTAGTTGTAAGGTTGCTTCTTCAGTTTTAGTTGATCGCCACTTCTTCTGCACAACAGCAGAGTTCTATGGGACTGAATAATGCAACTAAACACAATTTGATTGGACACACATTTTTCCCAGAGCCATAGTTCAGCCTGTCACTGCTATGTCATGAAACTTCTCTGTCTCCATCCTAACCCTTCCCATGCCCCACTCACAGGCACGCTGGGCTTCAGTCACACCGACTGTCTGCCATTCCCACATCACAACAGGCTTGCTCAGATCACTTGCCCATTCATTTATGTTAGTCTCTCTGCCTGGAACTTCCTTCCTTCTCTTTTCCACCTAGAAAATGTGTATGTCTCCCTTAAGCTAAGCATAAAAGACATCTAGTTCTGGCCAAGATTCCCAAGTACAGTTAGTGACTCTCCTTTTTATGCTCCTGTAGTACTGATCAGTGATGGCATTTATCCAGCCTGTATGAATTCTTCTAGAATGTAAGGTGGACTTAGGTCTTTTTTTTTCCCCACAATGTTGTAGACATAGTACCTAATAGTGGTTGAAGTAATACATCTATGGCTGCATCTGACATTCCATGCTCTTAAAAGAGTATAGTGCCAGGAGGTTTCAGAGGCTCTGGCTATTGGAGGTGGCCTTCTCACTTTGGCCCACTTGGAGAAGGGCTCAGCCCTCAGAGAGACCGAGAGACCAGGCAGCCTTTATCAACCTCTCTCTCTCTTTTTTTTTTTTTTTTTGAGACAGAGTCTCGCTCTGTCGCCCAGGCTGGAGTGCAGTGGCACGATCTTGGCTCACTGCAAGCTCCGCCTCCCAGGTTCACACCATTCTCCTGCCTCAGCCTCCCGAGTGGCTGGGACTACAGGCGCCCGCCACCACACCTGGCTAATTTTTTGTATTTTTAGTAGAGACGGGGTTTCACCATGCTAGCCAAGATGGTCTTGATCTCCTGACGTTGTGATCCGCCCGCCTCGGACTCCCAAAGTGCTGTGATTACAGGTGTGAGCCACTGCCCCCGGCCTATCAACCACTCTTTAAGACACAAGAGGAGCTGGGGAGGGACAATGCTCTCTTTACAGACAAGCAAAGGCTGTCGGATCCTGCACTAGAAAACCTTATGCTATAATATAAAAAATTATAAAAAATGTCTCTGTTTTCCTGTTGTTAAAAAGAAGTCTTTTTTGACACAAGTCATTAATCTTCACCCCTTCTTGTTGCTCTCATCTACCAAACTCCCCCGCATTCCTGGTCATCCCCTGTCCAGGGCTTCTGCTTCCCTCTCCACCATGTCTACAAGCATCTTTCCAGGTGACTTGAGTATGAAATAAATTATCTATTTGATTCTCACTCTTTCACAACCTCCTCCTCTGTGATCTTTCTTCCACACCCAACTCAGCCACCCACTGTCATGGGTATGCCTGAACTTTGTCAAAAGATTTCCAAGATGATGGCTGTCCATTTTCATTTCTTTCTTTATCTTTTTTTTTTTTTTTTTTTTTTTTTTAAGACAGGGCCTTACTATGTTGTTCCGGCTGACCTCAAACACCTGGACTTGAGTGATCCTCTCGCCTCTGGAGTAGCTGGACTACTGGGCCACTAGCATGCCTGGCTTCAACCTTTTATTTTTATGCTCTCAATTCTCCTTGCTCCTGTTCTCACACGCTCTGATTTAGACCCCACCGTTATGTTATCTATGACTCTCATAAAACACCCTCGCCCCTGTGTCCCTCTCTCCACTCTCCTTCTCAATGAGAAAATGCTTAGCCTGCCAACTCTCAGCCAACCCCACGCAGCTTCTTTGTAACTACATGTTGCTGGATACACTTATACAGCTGAGATGTCTAAATATCTCTTCCAGTGTATGTCCAAAAGCATTGACAGACACTTAGATGAACCCAATATCCCATTCTCAGAGTAGGCTATTTCATGTCATCTCTCTCTTTCAACTTCTGGCACTCTCCTGGCCTCAACTCTCGGCTAATGACCTCACCTCATAGCTGAAAAAGGATGAACTAATGTCTTGAGATATATGCGCACTTACTATGAGTTTCTATTCAAAGACAGAAATATTCTGGCTTTACCTAAAGCCTGTTTTTCCTTGTGTGATGTATCTCATCCTCTCACAGGTACTCAGGAATTTCTTCTAGCAATATCTTTCACCTCCGCTTCATCTCAGTGTCTCACTCTTTGTTAGACTTTGTCCACTAGCTTTCCTGGCCTTATACATGTGTTAATATTATCCTTACAAAACATCAAACCTCATTGGACCCCACATCTCTCTCAAACAGTGCCTCCATTTCCTTTCTCCTTTTTACAACATGATCCCTGCTATTTCCATTTTTTTACATTGTATATTTTTCTTAACCTACTTCATTTCTATCTTTGTTGCCACCAATATAATGATTTTTTTATCGCTTACCAATGACTTTCATATTCTCAAATTTACTAGTTAATTATCTGTTCCTTATCTTACCCAACTATTCAGTAGCATTAGCAGCATTAGCCAGTGACTCTCTCTCAGACACTGCAGTCTCTGGGTGTCACAAAACCTTCCTGCTTTGGTCCTGTTCTTCTCGGCCTCCTTCGCTAATTCCTCATGTCTACCAGAACTCCACATATGTAAGTGTCCTGTATTTATCTCCCTTTGTTCCTTAGGTAATCTCATCTATTCCCCATCATCCTGTGCACAATGCATATTCTGAGGTCTCCCGAATTTATAGGTCCAGCTTTGACCACTTCTATTGGCCCTGCCCTCAGATATCTGCTCCGGGGTCATTAGTTCCATGTTTTTGTTTATCAGATGACTCTTGGACCCACACTCTATCAGATGACTCTTGGACCCACGCTCTATAGTTTTAAATGACAGCAGTCATTTAAAAGTCAAAAATGTCACAACGTTCTCCTGCTGTAAGCCTTCCAGTGGTTTAGGATTATAATTATATCTTCCTCACAACTTTCTAACCTTTCATGAATTTGCCACTGCCAACATCTCTCACTCTTATTTGCCATAGTTTAGCTATATTGGACTTCTTCATTTCAGTTTCAAAAATATAGTCTTCCTCCCACCTCTGTTTTTTGTTTGTTGGTTTCACTTTGGATAAACTACATTCAGAATACACTTTTCCTAAATTCCCACAGGACTAAGTCTTCCTTGTTTTTGTAGATTTCATTTCAATCATTACCTTCTCAAAGAGGTCAACCTTGACATTAGCCACCATCTACCTATCAATTTACTTTCAAACCTATTATGTATTATATTTTCTCTATAGCATTCAGTGTGATAATAAATTATTTCTTTATTCATATAGGTACATATTGCCATTTTTCCTTTGACTGGAACACAAACTCCGTGAAAGCAGGTGCATTTTCATCTTCAGCCTTTGAGCCCTAGGATAGTTCCAGGCACGGGAATGACATTCAACAAATATTTACTGAATAAGCAAATGAGAACATGGCTTGGCATATCAAATCAATTTTTGTCTATAAGTATTTATTGAATAAGTTAGGGGCCCAGGCCTGTACTTGGAGCTGGAAGCCCAGATGAAAATTCATGGTCCTTTCCTTCAAAGAGTCTAATCTGGAGAAGAGTTCTGAAAAAACAATGGTGAAGCTGCTCTGGGAAAAATGGACTTAACTCTGCCTTAGAAGAGCAGGGACAAGGTTCAGCTAGGACTTGAAGGAGGAGTGACATCTAACTGCCCAAAGGGATGGAGTAGGAGGCACGTGTCCTGGGCACAGACAAGGAAGCAAGCTGAATGTGCGGGTTCCCCACATGCTCTGGTGTCCCTGGCATGCAGCTTTCATCTACAGCTCTAGAAGGAGACTGCCAACAAGCCAGGCTACTGGGGGATTTCTCAATCTATGAAACAGTTTTACTACTGTGTCCTCCTCTAATTAATCATTTTGATTAAAATAAACACATTTATCATATATATTACAGGTACATAAATTTATGGTCAGGTGCCATGGCTCATGCCTGTAATCCCAGCACTGTGGGAGGCCAAGACAGGTCGATCAGGAGGTCAGGAGTTCGAGACCAGCCTGGCCAACATGACGAAACCCCGTCTCTACTAAAAATACTAAAATTAGCCAGGCGTGGTGGCCCAATGCCTGTAATCCCAGCTACTTGGGAGGCTGAGGCAGGAGAATTGCTTGAACCTGGGAGGCAGAGGCTGCAGTGAGCTGAGATTGTGCCACTGCACTCCAGCCTGGGCGACAGAACAAGACTCTGTCTCGAACAAAATAAAAATAAAAAAAAAATAAATGTATGTATATAAACTTTTATATAAAAATATATTTTTACATATATTAAATATATAATAGGAAATTTTCAGATAGAGTGCTTCTGTAATGAATTAGATATTCATTTATTTTTAAAACTTTATTTAAACTTGGCTTTCTAGAAATCCATTGAAAATAAAAATCAGGCACGAAGTCATTTTCAAGGCCTTTGCAGTTCACAGAAGCCCTGCAGTGTGGGGAGCAGCCTGGCTGCTGGATCCCCTCCCACTGCATGCTCGTGGCCCTGCTCTGCAACCAGAGGTTGCCCAAGACCCAAAAGGGCCCGTCTGGGGTTCAGAATTTTTTTGAAGAGAAAGTTTAAAAAGTTCAATGAGAAGGACAAGATGAATGATAAGGCACTCACCTTTTTATAGAAAAGCCATCCGGAGAAACTCATGTCAGCACTAGGCATTGAAGCCGAAAATGATATTCAGTCACAAACCTGGGAACTGAACCCAGCCCCCACCACGCAAAGCATGCATGCACAAAGAAACCCTATTCTTTGATGGATTCTTCTGCAGGGTCACCTTCATTCTGACCATTGACTTTCCCAAGCCTCTGTCTCTGTAACCAGAGCTGGCTCAATTATGTCCCATCAAAAAGAACAGATAGCAGGAAGGCCAGGTTCAGGGAGGGAGCTATAATTTTAGCAGCATTTCCTGTTATGAGTCTGACTTCTGATCCCTTGTGCTTGCACAGGTCAGGGAATTGCAGCAAATGGCATGCATGAGTCACTCTGTCTCCTGGGTCAAGCACAGGCTGTAGGCAGACGTCTGAAGGACTTTTCCCTTTTTAGCTCCAGGAATTACGCATCCAGTCCACTTTGCTCTCAAACATGTAGCTTGGGCAGGATTTCTCAGCAATTCATATGTATTTGAACTGACGTTTGTAAAACGACACAATAATGTCCTGTCGCATTTTTGTGTCTAATCAGAGCAGAATCGTTCTCAGGTGCTACTGACCTAAGAAAACATTTTGTTCAAACTTCTCATCTGGAACAAGAGGAAGGCCTGGGAAGAGTAAGAAAGTTTCCTAAATCAAATTACTAATTAATGACAGAGCCGAGGCCAGAACCCAGTGTGTAGACTTTCAAAACAGGCATGTTGTCTGTGTGTCTCCTAGGTCTCCTAGACTTCTACACACTGCCTCATCCATCAGACCACACTCAGACTTGGTTGTGACATGAGTCACCAGAAAATGGGGGCAGGGAAACACTTTTGTAAGGAATTCTGGAATAGAATTGCAGTATGTTAGATACTGGAGGCCCATGATTTAGCATTATAGTTAGAATTTATTTTCAGTGTTTGTAAAATACAAGGTAGTAGCTTCAGTGGTGGTTCCCAAACAATGCCACATCTTTCTGAATTGCCAGAGACTGTTTGAAAACTTCAGATTTCTGTGTCCCATCTGAGAACTAAACAGCAACCGCAGAGTGAAGAACATAAATTTCTCTTTTAGGATCCTTCACAATTCTAATGAATACCCAGGTTAGAAAACAATTTTATTAGATTACTGTAGATTCCTTATTCAATTTTAATATTCTGTGATGTTAATCAGTATTTTCCAAAATTTGCTCCTACTGGGAATCATTTTATTGTCAAGATTGAGGAGCAAAATGAAAATGAAAGATTGAGAACCTTTCAAGAAGTCTTTAATTGAAATTTTTTGTCAATATTTTCTCAATGTATTGAGATAAAGAACAATTTTTTTTTTTTTTTTGAGACAGAGTCTCACTCTGTTGCCCAGGCTGTAGTGCATTGGTGTGATCTCAGCTCACTGCAACATCTGTCGCCCAGGTTCAAGCGATTCTCCTGCCTCAGCCTCCCCAGTAGCTGGGACTACAGGTGTGTGCCACCACGCCTAGCTACTTTTTGTATTTTTAGTAGAGATGGGGTTTCATCATGTTGACCAGGCTGGTCTTGAACTCCTGACCTCAGGTGATCTGCTTCCTCGGCCTCCCAAAGTGCTGGGATTACAGGCGTGAGCCACAGAGCCTGGCCAAGAATAATTTTTTTTAAAGCAACAACTACTGGCACCTTAGAAACTAATGCTCCCCAGAAGACATTTTTAAAATAATCTAAATTATTAAAACAAGAAGTCTATATACAAATATAGAAACTTTATAGTTTTTAAAAATAAACATGCTCACTCTCTTAAAAACAGATAACTAAAACGGACTTACAAAACTATTCACTTAATCACAGAAAGATACATTTTCTCTTAAGTGCTGAGTGCTCAGAATTAACACTAGATTTCTGTGGTGTTGGGCTCTTTAAGGTAAATTTGTGCTATCTCCACCCGGAGAGGGGCTTCTCTTAGACCTCGCTTTTCTGGTAAAGGTGAAGAATAATGAGATCTCTCCTTTCTTTGAATAGTCAGGTGTTTACAAATGAGCAATCTCCAGCTATACCTTCCTCCTGGAGTTTGCTTTCTTTCTGCAGTTCACCTCGTTGGGTTTTAAATGTTTCCTCTGACTCCAGATGAAAGACTAGCTTGAAATAAATACCACACGCGGCCACAAAGCCCTTCTGTACAGAACTCTGTGCGCTGCTGACGGGTTTGGAATGAGAGTCAGGCTTGTGCAGAGGCATCCGGGGTCAGGCGCAGAATGACCCACTCCTCTGGTTTCACTTAAACTCACATTTTCTCCATGGAGATAACACACACCTCCAGATCTGGTTACTTGCTTCATGAGGGGATCTCATTTGTCCTCATGTAATATTTACCCTTGGAAAATGTCTTAAACTTAACTTTGTCCCCTTTATTTTAATAACACACATTTTAAAAAAGAGTCCTCTAACAAAAGAAGATGAGTGTACAGAAACCAGGTAAAAACCGGAAGTGCCAAATAATCATGTTCCTGATGATTTAATCAAAAGGACTGCTCTTTGTAAAAACAGGTCGAGGACTGCCGTTCTGTCCTTAGCATTCACAGCTGCAGGTGCTCACCAGGCCAGGGACGGCTCACAGCCTCTCCCGTAGTGCCCTGTCGCTGCCTCTTCATCTGACATGGACTTCCTGACTCCTCTACTGTTGTCTGCATTTGTTGTTGCTAAAGGGTTCACAGCAAAACACAAAAATAATTGAGCCTTTTTCTTTCTTCCTTCCTCCCTCCCTCCTGCCCTCCATCACTCCTTCTTTCCTTCCTTCCTTCCTCTCTCCTTTTCTTTCTCTTCCTTCCTCCTTTTCTTCCCCTTCCTTCCTCTCTCCCTCCCTCTTTCCTTCCTTCCTTCCTTCTTCTCTCCTTTTCTTTCTTTCTCTTCCTTCCTTTTCTTCCCCTTCCTTCCTCTCTCCCTCCCTCTTTCCTTCCTTCCTTCCTTCCTGCCTTCCTCTTTCTTTCCTTCCCTCCATTCTTCTTTCTCTCCCCTCCCTTCTTCCCTCCTTCCTGTCCATCTGTCCTCCCCTTTATCTATGCTTCCTTTCATCTTTCATCACTCTCCTCACTCCCCTTCTTTCCTGTATCTTTTCTTTCTTCTCTCCTACTTTCCTTTTTTCTTGCATTCCTCTCCCTCCCACCCTTCTCTTCTCCTTTCTTTCCTTTTCTTTCTCCCCCTCTCTCTTCATCTCTCTCCCCCCTTCCATCCTCCTCCCTCCTTCTCTTCCTTTCTTTCTTCTTCTTTCTTTCACGTGTACCTTTCTTCTTTCTTTCATCTATCCTTTCTACCTTCCTCCCTCTCTTCATTTCTTCCTTTCTTTTTTCCTTACTGCGTCTTTTCCTCCTTCCCCCCTCCCTCGCTTCTTCCCTCTTCCTTCCCTCTTTTCCTTTCTTTCTGCCTTCTTTTTCTCCTTTTTTTCCTTTCTTTTTAAATGATCTATCTCAAAATTCTTATTACATGTCAGATAAAGTTCTGGTTCTGGAGACAGAAGTAAAACGCATATATTGTTGCCCTGAAAAAGCTGACTACTTAGAGTAACTGAATCAGGAAGACCACCAACTGCAAAACATGGTTCTCAATGCTGAGAGGGACATGTAGGAAAGACTGTAAAAACGAGGGCATGAGGGGACACTGCAGAGGCTGGGATGCATATGGAAAGGTCCCCAGAGGGCTTAGCAAAGAAGAAAGTGCCTTCCTGAAGTCCTGAAGGATAAAGGGGAACCCACAGGATGTAAAAATGGAGAAAACATTTTCCAAGCAGCAGAAATCATATGTGAATGGCACAGAAATACAAAACTTCTCTAGCAAACCTCAGTGAGTGTTCCTGAAGGGCGGGGTGTCTGTGGGACCAAGACTGTGTTGGACATGAGCCATCTCACCATGACCTGGGGTGTGTGGTTGAGGAGTGTGGACCTCATCTGATAGGCAACAGGAAGTCATGCATGTTTAACATTTACACAGTACTCCCTCCATTAGGGGATCTCATTTGAGCTAATGTGATTTTAGCTTTTGAAATGTCTTAAACCTAACTTTGTCCCTTTTATTATAATAATGTACATTCTTAAAAGAAGTCTTCAACAAGAGGAATTAGTGTACAGAAACCTGGTAACAAGTATAGTGCTAACTAATTATATTCCTGAAGATTCGATCAAAAGAATTGGTCTTTTTGAAAAACAGGTTCGGCTGGGCATGGTGGCTCACGCCTGTAATCCCATCACTTTGGGAGGCCAAGGTGGGCTGATCACCTCAGTTTGGGAGTTTAAGACCAGCCTGACCAAGATGGAGAAACCCCGTCTTTACCAAAAATACAAAATTAGCCAGGCGTGGTGGCACGTGCCTGTAATTCTAGCTACTCAGGAGGCTGAGGCAGGAGAATCGCTTGAACCCAGGAGGCAGAGGTTGCAGTGAGCCGAGATCGCACCACTGCACTCCAGCCTGGGCAACAAGAGCGAAACCCCATCTGAAAACAAACAAACAAACAAAAAAAACAAAAAAAGAAAAACAGGTTCTGGACTGTCACTGGCCAGCCCATCGTATCATAAAAAGTGCATATTCTAATGACCTTAATAAAATGTGTGCAGTTACATGTAACATTTATAAATAGGTAGATACATGTTTACTAATAGACAATGTATCTTAAGAATGTGTTCATATGTGTTCAAAATAAACTTAACCACTTTACTTACACTGATTTAATACAGGGACATCAGGAAAATAGGAACAAAATCAGTTTAAACAACATGGCTTTAATTTTCTTTGGCTCTTCCATTATTTATATTGTGTTGTCTCTTCGATCTGATTAAGGCTCTTTTTTGATGACTGATAACTTTCCTAGAATCCGTTTTATTCCTTAAGAGAAAGACAGTATTTTCTTGACAACACTGAAGTTCTTTAGACATTTTTTGTTTCATGTTCTTAGCTTTCACTGTAGCATTTAGACTTATTTCTCGAGGTCCTGCTTGTTTGTTTTTGTTTCTAATAAGTGGATTTTCTGGTTCAGGGCTTTAGACAATGCCAAAAGATGTAATTAAAATCACACTGGTCACAAGAGGAGACTTTTGGCAAAAGCATATATTATTCCTTTGCTGAAAAAAGGGACGTTGGCAAACCTGATTTTTATCTAATTGTTTAGAAGGCCCAGGAGCTGCAAACTCTCCACACAACTTGTCTCGCTGCCAGCCCTCCGGGTTTCAGAGGCCTCTTCTCGAAAGTTCAAAGACCAACTTCACATCTTCTGTGAAGCTTATTTTGAATCTGCCCAAGGGAAGCACTTTGAGGTTAATCCCATGGCCTAACTCCAGATGAGGGGCAAATGCATGTCTTTTCTGAAAGACTCACTCAAATCAGAATCTCAGGGAGCTCCCAAGAGTAGCCTTTGACACAGAGTGGTGGCCGGCTCAAGCAGGTTAAAAGGAGCCAGAGGATGATAGACATTTACATTTGCTCGCTGAGATGGACCGTTTAGACCAGAAAATAGAAGGAGATGGCTTAGTCTGTTTTACTTTCAAAGATCCAATGATAGAGGTTGCTGCAGAGTCATAGTAAGTTTATTTTGCTTAAGGATATGATGACTAAAGCACGACCCTTGGCAAATTTCCATCTTAATGCACTCACAAAGCAGCTGGAAACTTCACTGAAATAATCAGAAAAAGCTCATTGGGAAATGTTTGGTTGCCCTTTTAAAGAATTTCTACAAACATAAACAAAGGCAGATAGATAAATTCATACAAATATATGTGAGGATGGAAGAAAGACTTCTCTTAAAGTAACCATAGTTTGTGTAAAAAAAAGTTTATACTAAATTAACTCTTGGGAAGAGAGGAAGAAGGAAGGAAGGAAGGACGGAGGGAGGGAGGGAGGGAGGAAGGAAGGAAGGAAGGAAAGAAGGCAGGAAATAAGGAAGGAAATAAAGGAGGGAGAGGTAGGGAAGGTGGAAAGAAAGAGAAAAAGAAATGGGGAGGAGGGAGGAAGACGGTAGGGAGGAAATGTAAAATCTATGAAGATGCTGGTGTGCCTTCCTCCCTGCTTGGATTGTGCCTCACTTCCTGGTGAACCTGAAATAGTTACTTTTCCTCTCTGAATCTCAATTTCTTTATCAGCACAAATTGCAGAATTGGAGTAAATAATTTGTAATGTTTCTTCCTCTCTAAAATGTGGGTGAGTATATGTGCATGTGTTGCAAATTACCCTTAAAACCTGATAGATAGCAGGAAAAACCTTTCTGAAATTAGTGTGATTGTCAGGTTTTTGTCCCACAAAACAAAGAAAATAAATAAACAAACAAATAGTGACAACTTATTACATTTTTATTTTTGCATTTGCAATTTTGCATTTGGAACTTAATCTATAAATGCACATTATTTCTTGGAGTTTCCTTCTCCCTTGGATGGCCCTTGAAAAAAACAAACTATTGATATAGAAGTAGAGCTAATATCCTTTATTCAAGTTTAATTTCTTGAAATAATTCCTAGTTTCTTGGAATATGCTTGAAATTTCGACATAAATGACATTATTTATCTGACAGACTTAAAAACCGCCTAAGTAAATATCTTAATACCTTCTAGAAATTTTAGTAAGTGTTTTTAAATATTCATGTTATAGCATCAATTTTCTTTTTTCTTTTCTTTCTTTCTTTCTTTTTTTTTTTTTTTTTTTGAGATGGAGTTTCACTCTTGTTGCCCAGTCTGGAGTGCAATGGTGCAATCTCGGCTCACTGCATCCTCCGCTTCCTGGGTTCAAGTGATTCTCCTGCCTCAGCCTCCAGAGTAGCTGAGCTTACAGGCATACGCCACCACGCCCGGCTAATTTTTGTATTTTTAGTAGACACAAGGTTTCATCATGTTGGTCAGGCTGCTCTCGAACTCCTGACCTCAGGTGATCCACCCGCCTTGACCTCCCAAAGTGCTAGGATTACAGGCGTGAGCCACCACGCCCAGCTATGGCGTCAATTTTCTTCCTTCTGTACCTATGTTGAGTTAATGCAGATAAATAGTCACAAAGAAAAGAGAAATTAGCAAATTTATTGATTAGGGGCCTGATGTATTTGTTGGCTTCAGATAGTCTTTATGCCTATGAGACAATGCAATTTTGTACAAATATAGGGCAAGCCTTGGTCCTTGGTTGTTTACACTCACTGTGAGGTGGGATAAAGGCAGTGTTGTCAGATCAAGCTCCTCTTATGTTCATGATCCCCCAGCACCTCCTCACTTTGGCACACAGGCTGCTCGCAATCTAGCCTCTGCCCTCCTGTCTAGCTTCCTTTGCCAGCACCCCCTTCTCTCTCTCTTCTACAACCCATGCATGTGTGTGCATGCATACGCACACATACCCTCCCTTTTCCCCAAGTAAATTGTATCCTATGGTTTCTTTGACCGTGGTGTTCGCTTTGACTGGGATGCTCTATGCCATCCTCTTTAAGTGGCTGAACTTTATACTTTAAGACTCAGCTTGAACGTCATCTTTCAGGAAGTCTCCCCTACTGTCTTGTCCCTCTTCTGTGTTTCTTCAGCACTTCATTGCATCATTTACGCATTAAGTTGCATTATAGGTTTACCAGTCTAAATAGGGTAGGGAGCTCCTAAAAGACAAGAACTGTTACTTCTTTTAGTATCCCTAGCCCTGAGCCCCGAGCAGGTATCCAACAAACATTTGTAATTTGGGTACTAAGGAGGGCATTTAGATTAAAAAGCAACAAAAGGCATGCCTAATTTAAATTGATAAAGAAGTGATAAATGGCATTCTAACTAGAGCAATGGTGCTCATTCTGGTTACTCAGTAGTTGAATGGAGGGCTCAGTGATGGTCTTCTGAAATTTGATATCTGCATCAGTAACTCTGGGTTACCTAAGAATGGAAAACTGCACTTCAGCCCTTCACTTCATTGGGTTTTGTAGGAGAAAGTTACTTTAAACCCTCAGCAGCCAGAAGGGTTAACAATGGCTGCCTTCTTCATGTATTGGCTTATGCATGGGGAGTAACTTATAAGCAGGCTGTAAAGACAGACTCAAATCTTGGGTCACAAGTGTAAGGCTATGTTCAGTAAGGGAGAATTAAAATTGACCATAAATTAACGAGGTTATAACCTAGTAAAAGCTTTCCCACAGTGGAAGCTTTTTGAAATTGAATTTTGCCTTACTATGTATTTTTGAAAATCAATAAAAATTAATACTAATGCTTAAGGAATGAGTAAGGGGAGAGAAAGCCATGCTTTAATTTCTAGACATCATGCAGAGCGTGCAGCTCCTACAGTGAGGAGAATGGTCCTGGCCCTAGTAGATGTTGGAAAGGGGACTGCAAAGTCCTGGTTCACACACAGCCCAAACCTGCCATTGTTCTAGGCCTTCCTCTAATAATATCATAAACAAGATCAGTGTCTCTAAAAATGATTCTATTTGGGCCAGGATGATGCTAAAATAAAAAAAAAAGCTCATTTTAGCAGATTTCTCTTTAATGACTTTGAAAGAGGTTGTTTAAAGTAAATTTTTCAAAAAGAAAGTTAAATGACTTTTTAAAGTGCCATTCAGTGAGAAAACAAATCCACCAGGTACTCTCAGATCTGGTGAGAGTGTTTCTCTCTTCACTCTCTGCTGTACGCAGCACAAAGCCAGCTCACCTGAGCATCAGGAGGAAATGAGAAGGAAGAGGGCACCTGTCCTCGCAGGACATGCCACCTTTCCTTCCTGGAGAAAATTGAAAGAGGAGAAGTGTGTCACTGCTTTTGTTACTGTATCAAATCTGGTAACTCCTCTGTTTTTATTAATGATATTTCCTTTGTCTCACACTCCCTCACCTTTCCCACTGGGTCTCCAAGTTCCATCTCCAACGTCCCCACTGAGGCCCCCATGTAGAATCAAGCATGTCACTCTCCCTGCCACAGAGTCCCGTGGACTTTGTTTATACCTGTTTATTCTACGCTGTTCATAACCTTGCCACAGCTGACACGTCAAACAACCTTAGCTTCTTCAGGGTCAATCAATGTCTTTCGCATCTCGGGAATAACAAAGCCTAGCTGGACCTAAACAGTAAAGACATTATAGATGTACGTCATGCATTTTTAATGTGTTTATTTGCTTGTTTTGCATTCTGAATATGTGTGGAAATTTAAGTTCAAACAAGCCAGCAAAATGTTAAGATGGAGTGCAGTTGAAGCTGATCAGATATGCAGATATCCATAAGAAAGGATAATAATAAATGAAGATGTTTTCATTGGATGTGTAGTTTCTGTACAGGACTCAACTCTTTGGCTGCTGGATAAATTCTAGTCTCTCTGGGACGATTGCCAACAAATACTTGCACACTTTAAGCCCAAATGCAAAGTTGAAAATATAAAGAGCTGCAGGTGCCAGCTTTGCTTTGTCTCTACTAAAAATAAATCTCGGCCTTGTGGGTAAAGTCAGAATTGACCTGTAAATAGAAGCAATTGGTGTATCCATTAATAATTTTAATTTTACTATGACTGTATCATACATAAAAAAGTAAATACACAGTTGATCCTTAAACAACACATTGGTTGGGGCATTGACCTACTCCACCATCCTGGCACAGTAGAAAATTTGTTGCATAGCTTTTGACTCCCCAAAATCTTAACTACTAATAGCCTACTATTGACCTGAAGTCTTACCAATAACATAAATAGTGGATTAACTCATATTTTGTATGTTATATGTATTATACACCATATCTTTACAATAAAGCAAGCTAGAGAAAATGTTATTAAGAAAATCACAAGGAAGAGAAAATAGATTTACTATTCATCAAGTGAAAGTGAGTCATCATAAAGGTCTTTATCCTCAGTCTTTTCCTGTTGAATAAGCTGAGGAGGAGGAGGAAGAGAAGGCGTTGGTCTTGCTGTCTCAGGGGTGGCAGAGGGGAAACCAAATCCACATATAAGGGGACCGATACAGTTCAAATCCACGTTACTCAAGGGTTAACTATACATATAAATATATATACACATAGAAATATGCTATTTATATATACAGTCATGCACCACATAATGATATCTTGGTCAATAACAGACTCTATATACAGTGGTGGTCCCCAAGATTAAAATACAGAGTATTTTTATTGTACCTTTTCTATATTTAAATATATCTAGTTACACAAATACTTACTTGTAGTACTCAGTGTAATGACCTGCTGTACAGGTTTGTAATCTGGGAGCAATAGGCTATTTCGTATAGCCTAGGTGTGTAAGTAGGCTCTATCATCTAGGTTTGTGAAAGCATGCTGTATGATATTGGCACAAGGATAAAGTCACCTAAGGACACATTTGTCAGATAGCATCCCTGTCATAAAGCAACACATGATTGTATTTATGTATAATAATGACTTCAAAATTAAAAATAAAATCAAGTGTACCTGAAACTCAAATTTAGAGTATTCACCTTTACCTCTGAATATACGTTACCTCTGAATATACCTCTAATATACTTTTCCTGATTGTGTCTTGTTTCTTCCCAGAAGTAACTAGTGACCTGTATTTTTATGAACTCTTCAGTATTTCCATATTGTATGTCTGAAAACATATAAAAGCAGCGGTCTCTATTTTAAACCTATGTAAAATCTGACTGTTGGTGATCTTCATGACATCAATTTTTCTCTCAAAGTTAACGTTTTGAAAATCATCTGTTTATGTGTATAACTGTAATTGATTCATTTATTTTACCATTTTACAGTGAAATTGTACAAATATAACATAATTCATTACTCCAGTTAGTTCTAATAACATTGGACAGTTCCTAATTTTTTGCAAACTGTGGGAATTTTTGCTCAGATCCACATGAACAAGAGCTTCTTCAGGGTCTCAATTTAGGAGTATATTTTCCCATGTATTTGATAATACTTGATTTCATCAAACTTTAACATTTTTGCCAATGTGATAGGTATAAAATGTCATCTTTTGGTGTTGCTTTCAAATAAATTTTCTTATTATATGTGTATTAGAAATTAGAAAATATAGAAAAACATCAATATATTAAGAATAGCATGTTCGCAACACCCAAAAAGTAACATTTTTAATATTTCAGTTCAAATCCACCTATACTTCCAGATCTTTTTAACCAAAGTGAGATCGTACCCTATGTGCTGTTGGTAATCTGTTTTTAAAATTAACAATTTTGAACTTTTGATTGCAGGATATTTACATCTCTTCTAATTTCTATATCATTTTCATAGTTTTGAATAGACCTACATATTCTTTAAAGCTTGAACTGTAAAGGTTTGCTTGAACTGGTTTCTGATCCAGGACTATGCAGTGTAATCCATTTTTACATTCCTAACTCTCTTGTATTCTTGTGCAGTCACTTTTTATTATATTGGCTTGCATAGGACGTTTATAAGATATCCCATTTTTTTGGATTTCTCTAGTTGCTTCTCCATAGTGTCATTGTGCCTCTACATCTAATCCCTGTGAATTAAAGTTATGTGAAAGCTTAAAGAATTCAAGTTCTGCATTTTTTTTTTTTTTTTGGCTAGCACACACTACAAGTATACTTCATATCGCATGCAGCCAGAGGGAAAGATATTTGGTTGTATCATAGTTAATGATGTTAAAACTGATCATTTTATTGAGATGAAAACAATCAGATCATTTAAGTATATTGGGCATATCTCAGAGATATTTGGGATTGGGTTTCACTGCCATAATAAAGTGAATACTGCAGTAAAGTGAGTCACACAAAATTTTTTGCTGCCCAGTCCATAAAAAAGTTATGTTTACACTATACAACAGTCTATTAAGTGTGTAAGAGCATTGCATCTCAGGAAAATGTACATACCTTAATTAAAAATTCTTTGATGCTAAAAAAAATTACCTGAGGCTTCAGTGAGCAGTAATCATTTTGCTGGTGGAGGGTCTTGCTTTGATGTTGATGGCTATTTATTGATCAGCACGGTGATTGCTGTAGGTTGGGGTGACTGTGGAAATTTCCCTTTTTTTTTGAGACAGTCTCACTCTGTTGCCCAAGCTGGAGTGCAGCGGCAATCTCGGCTCACTTCTGTGGAAATTTCTAAAAGTAAAACAACAATGAAGTTTGCCACATCAATACACTGAGCTTTTATATGTTTTCAGACATGCAATATGGAAATACTGAAGTGTTCATAAAAATACAGGTCAGTAGTTACTAGTTCACTTTCGTGAAATATTTCTCTGTAGCCTTAATGCTGTTTATAGCATTTTACCCACACTAGACCTACTTTCAAAATTGGAGTCAATCCTTTCAAAGCCTGCCACTAATTTATCGAATAAGTGTATGTAATAGTCTAAATACATTTCAACAAATGTTCATAGTATCTTCAACAGGAGTAGATCCCATCTCAAAAAAACACGTTTTGTCTTGATCCATAAGAAGCAACTCCTTATCCTCATCTATTCAAGTTTTATAATGAGATTGCAGCAATATAGTCACATCTTCAGGCTCCACTTCCAACTCTGTTTATTTTTTTCCTATTCCCACAGCATCTGAGGTAATTTCCTCCACTAAAATCTTGAATACCTCAAAGTTATTCATAAGAGTTGAAATCAACTTCTTCCAAATTCTTGTTAATCTTGATATTTGGACCTCCTCCCATAAATCACAAGTGTTTTTATTGGTATCTAGAACAGCAAATTATTTCCAGAAAGTTTTTCATCTTTTTCCCAGATTTATCAGAAGAATCACTGTCTGTGGCAGCTATGACCATACAAAATGTATTTCTTAAATAATAAAACTTGAAAGTTGAAATGATCCATTGATCCATTGGCTACAGAATGTATGTTGTTTTAGAAGGCATCAAAAACATTAATCTCCTTTTACATTTTTGTCAGAGATCTTGGGTGACCAGGAGCATTGTCAGACAGTGGTAATATTTTGAAATAATTTTTTATTTTGTCTGAGCAGTAGGTCTCAACAGGGGACTTAAAATATTCAGCAAATTATGCTGTAAGCAGATGTACTGACATCCATGCTTTGTTGTTCCATTTATAGGGCTCAAGCAAAGCAGATTTACCATATTTTGGAAGGGTTATAGGATTTTCAGAATGGTAAGTGAGCATTGGCTTTAAGTTAAAATCACTAACAGCATTATCCCCTTAAAAGTGAGTCAGCCTGGCTTTTGAAGCTTGGAAGCCAGACATTGACTTCTCTCTAGCTATGAGAGTCCTAGATGGCATCTTCCTCTAGCAGAAGGCTGTTTCATCTACATTGAAGATCTGTCATTCAGTGTAGCCGCCTTCTTCAATGATGTTACCTAGATCTTCCAGGTAACTTACTGCAGCTTCTATTCATGTATCAGCATTTGTTGCTTCATCTTGAGACTTCTTTGTTATGGAGATGGCTTCTTTCCTTATACCTCATGAACCAACCTCTGCTAGCATCAAACATTTTTCCTGCAGTCTCCTCACTTCTCTCAGGCTTCATTGAATTAAAGAGTGTTAGAGTTAGGCTTTGGCTTAAGGAAATGTAGATGGTTTGACCACCTACCCAGACCGCTAAAACTTTCTCCATTATTAGCAATAACAATGTTTTTATTTCTTACCATTCATGTGTTTACTGGCGTAATAGTTTTAATTTCCTTCATGAACTTTTCCTTCACATTTACAACTTGGCTGTTTGGTGCAAGAGGTTGAGCTTTGGGCCTATCTAGTCTTTTGGCATGCTTTCCTCACTGAGTTTAATTATTTTCAGCTTTGGATTTAAGGTGAGAGACTTGGGACTCTTTCACTTGGACACTCAGAGGCCATTAAAGGGTTATTAATTGGTTCAATTTCAATATTGTTGTGTTTCAGTGAATAGGAAGGCCCTGAGTAGAAGGAGAGAGTGGGGATGGCTGGTTACTGGGGAAGTCAGAACACATGCATTTATCAACTAAGTTCTCTCTTTTATAGGTGCAGTGCACGATGCCCCAGGCAATTACAATAGCAACCTCAAAAATCACTGATCACAGATCACCATACCAGATATAATGATAATGAAAAAGTTTGAAATACTGTGAGACTTATAAAATGTGACATAGAGACAGGAAGTGAGCAGATGTTGTTAGAAAAATGGCACTGGTAGGTTTGCTTGATGCAGGATTGTCACAAACTTTTAATTTGTAAAAAAACGCAGTATTTGCAAAGCACAAGTAAACAAAGAACAATAAAATGAGGTATGCCTGTAGAGTTATGAATTTTTCTTTGCACTGAAAAATAATTGGTGTGGTGTTACTTTGGCATCAACAATTCAACTAGGGATTTTAATCTCTATATTCCCTGTCTGAATTAATCTTACCATGCTTTTAATCTCAATGTGCCTATTCCCACTTACAAAAGATGTTAAACTATTTATGTATTTATTGGCTACTTAATCTTCCTTTCCTGTAACATACCTATTAACTGAATTTTGCTCATTTTTCTATTGAGCTATTTGTGTTTTTTAACTGATTTGTAAAATGTCTCTATATATTTTTGAAACTAGTCATTTGCCATTTATATGTGTTACAGATACTTTATCTGAGATTGAAGATGTATTTTCCAAACTTTAAGTTGCTTTGGGATTAAAATAATTCCTTTGAATTTAAATATAATCAATTGAAAACATTTTTATTTACAGTTGTTATTTGGTGTGTGGTTTATATGTAGTCCTCTCTTCAGGAATACCAAGATATTTTTCTGTTTTATTCTATATTTTTAGTTGCCGTTCATGTTTAAGCCTTTAAGCCATGTGGAATTCACTTCTGTGTATCTTATGGGAGTGGGATCCTATTTAATTTTTATGCTGATTATCGATTTTCTCAGCATCATTTATTGAGTAATCTATACATCCTCTAATATCTACAATATTAGAGAATTTTTTGTTATTTATTTTTTTACTGTATGTTACTTTTTTTCTCCATAATGTTTATATTATTATTATAACTTTTTGATAAGTTGTTCTCTGGTAAGGCAATTTTTCTCATTTAGTTTTATTGTTTTTTTAAGATGGAGTCTCACTCTGTTGTCCAGGCTGGAGCACAGTGGCACAATATCGGCTCACTGCAACCTCTGTCTCCCAAGTTCAAGTGATTCTCCTGCTTCAGCCTCCTGAGTAGCTAGAATTACAGGTGCCCACCACCATGCCCAGCTAATTTTTGCATTTTTAGTTGAGACAGGATTTCACCATGTTGCCCAGGCTGGTCTTGAACTCCTGACCTCAAGTGATCTGCCCACCTTGGCCTCCCAAAATGTTGGGATTACAGTCATGAGCCACTGCACCTGGCCCCATTTAGGTTTTCATCCAGATAGTGTTGGCTATTCTTAGGCTTTTTTTCTTTAGAAATTTTAGATCAAGTTTTTAGGTTCTAGGAAAAATCTTGTTCAATGTGTCTTGTCTAGAGTTTTGAAATTTTCTATTTATCCACTATCCCATCAGATAATTCAAAAGTTGACTCAATAAATTATGGGATGAAATTTTGCTGATTGACACTTGAATTGAAAATTATATCCTTGCAGAAAAAACAAAAATGAAAACCTCATCCTGAAGGAGGTTCAACAATAGTGGTGAGGATCTGGATATTTCCTGGAAGCTGATGATCCCTTCTGCAGCTTCACTGAGGATGAGCAAAAGGGAACACAATGGAGAATTAAATAAAACAAAGACCCACCCCCCATTTCCTAGAATTGTTCTATACTCACGGTAACCAAGAGCTAGTAGAACTCGTTTTAAACTGGTCTTATTAACCAATAACAGCTCTATAGTCTTCATAAGAAGCAAATGTCAGGATTGTTTTTAAGCCTGCATAATCCCTTCAGTGGCAGGTTGCCCTAGTGAAGGCATCTCTGAAAGCCAACCAATCAGTGGCAGCCTCATAGTATGAAAGTCAGTAAATGGGTAGGTGACTCAGCCCAGTGACATCAACCCTATCCTGGCCTCTATACCCAAGACAAAACGTGCCACTAAAGCTGTAGTCAATCACTCCCACTTCTTTAAACAAAAATCATCTTTCCCAAACTGATGTCTACAACCTCCTGCCTCAGTAACCAACACAACTCAAGACAAAATTTTTCCTAAGATCTGCAGTTTGCTTTACATTGGAAAGACATGACTGTCCAGCATAGCTCTACTTCACTTAAGTAAGCAATGAATTATATTCATTGCTTCATATTTTCAAGGGAAAATCTTATTCTTGACAATAGTAACTTCTTAGACAACAGCTCGTATGATAGATCAAAGGACAGGAAGACAAGGGATTTGAAAGAAGAGGCACATGGATGTATCTACATAAATGGTTACAAAGCATGCAGAATTATTGTGTTTTACATTATTAATGTTCACAAGTCTATCCACAGACCAGTCACTTAACAGCCAGTATTTATGACTCATCCTTTATAATTCTTGGCTGGTCCAATACTTCTCCAATGGGTCTATGAATGGAGCAGCTTTGGTGGCTAAGATTGAGATTTTGCATGAATCAAATAGCACAGATTCCCACTCACCAAGGCTAATCAAGCTATTGCCATTGTTGAAAGCCCAATATTTCTTCTGAATTCTCAATGTGACAGCTCATAAAGATCAGAAAACTAATTGGTGGACGTTGATTTTATCGAACCGCATTTATCCAGTGGAGCAGGTGATTCATCCTTCTCAGATGTAAAATATGTCAGTCACATTCAAAAGAACAGGAACCATGGCTTGTTATATTAACCCTCTCATGCTGTATCTATTGTAAACCAACATGGAACCACTTTGAACACTCTCTGTCAGATTGAATGATGCAGGGCAGGAGCAAAGAAGTAGAAAATATGGGATATCATTGGTGACCCACCAAGTCTTTCGGCTCGAACTTTTGTCTAGCTATTGCTACAATAACCAGCTCTGCACAGGTGTGGCATGGCAGCACTTTGCCTCAGCTGCTATCTGTTGCTTTCTGAGATGTCTAGGGAGATGCCTGTACTCATGAATGAACAGCCTGGAAGTGTACGGGCGTTAATGACACAGAGCCATGTGCATCATTGAAGGAGGGAAGCATTGGGAAATGGTTGCTTTCACTCTCCCGCTGCCTCATTCCTTTTCCCTGAAATGACTCCACAAAATTTACCAGCTGGAAGCAAGCCTTGTCTCAGTTCTGCTTTCCAGTGAAGTTCAGGCAAGACATTATCTACTATTACTCCAGTAGACAAATGAGAAATGTGGGCGTTTGAAAGATTAAATAATTTGTTTAAAGCCTCAAAGGCAGTAAATAGTGTTGACAGGATTTAAGTGCATGCCTGTTTGACTGCTGTTTTCAGCACCATCTTTAAGATGTCATGATTATTATAAAACATTGCCTTGGAACAAATGACTTACCATTTTTTGAATGCTCCAGTTTGAAAATTTTCTGTTATTCTATCTATGAAAAGGAAATAATTTAAATAAATCCTAAAGTTGAAATCTAATTACACCATCATAAAAGGTTCTGGATATAATATTGACCTAATAAGAATACAAGAAGTGATGACGCAGATGCAATTGTTGTAACCAAAAAGATTAAGTTTGAATCTCAGAGTTTCTACTCACTAAATCCTGGGTAAGTTATTTAATCTTCTCAAAACTCTTTAGTAGAAAAATGTGCATAATAATTTTACATGAAGAATTTATAAAAGGTGTAGTCATTTAAAAATACATACAGCATTTATCTCATTGACTGGAATAAAATAAGCAGGCAACAGGCCTATAAATGTTGGTATTTTACAGGACATTAAGCACAAACCTACAACAACCTAAAGTGCTAAACAGAATTGAAGAAAAAAGAGAAAATTCAATGGCATAAAGTAGTAATTTGTTTGTTGTATGAATAATGAAATAGACATTGTGTCTCGACTGTGAAAATGTCTTTGGAATGCTTTAAGAGTCTAATGTTGCTGTGTTTCCTGTGGACCTCATTCTAGTTTGCTGGACTTCTGGGGTAGGGGACCTCCAGGTACAATGTAACCCCAAGCTTCTTGGATAGGAATTATATCTAAAAAATAACCACAGAGAATATCTGAAAGAGAGAGAGAGAAAGAGAGAGGAGAGAAAGAAAGAAAGAGAAAGAAAGAAAAAGAAAGAAAGAAAGAAAGAAAGAAAGAAAGAAAGAAAGAAAGAAAGAAAGAAAAGAAAGAAAGACAGAGAGGGAGGGAGGGAGGAAGAAAGAAAAAGAGAAAGGAAGAGAAAGAACGAAAGAATGAAAGAAAGAATGACAAAGAAAGAAAGAAAGAAAGAAAGAAAGAAAGAAAGAAAGAAAGAAAAAGGTGGGGGAGTGAGGGAGGGAGGCAGGAAGAAAGAAAAAGAGAAAGGAAGGAAGAGAAAGAAAGAGAAAGAGAAAGAAAGGAAGAAAGGAAGGAGGAAGAAAAGAAAGAAGAAAGTAAGCAAGGAAGGACTGGAGAGAGGGAAGGAGGGAGGGAGAGGAGGGAGGGAGGGAGAAAGGAAGGAAGGGAAGAAGGAAGATAAACGGTAGGAGGGGGAGAAAGGGTAGGAGGAGAAATTAAGGGAGAAGGAAAGGACTCCAAGGAGAAAGGAATACCTAAGAAGTGAAGACCCCAGAAGATCACTTCACATGAACTGAATACTTTTAACAGCTTTGCTCCTCACGTGAAAACTCTTTGGTCTGTGGTTTGGTTTTATCTTTGGCTCCAGTTCTCAACCATGACAGGGTATCATTTCTGATGTCAGCCAGGAGCAAAGACTCTTGAGTTCCTGTTGAAGTTGAATTTTGTAACCATAAGAGGATGTAGGCCAGAGAGCAGTCATGTAGCTAACCATGATGCCACTAAATCCAAGGAGCTTTATTTTGGGTGGGTAGGTACACAGATTTTCTATAAAGAGAATATATACATATATATATATACATATATATAACTTCAGGGAAAAAACTTCATTAAATAAATTAAATGGTAAAATAAATACACAGTCTACAATGCATCAAACATCCATGTGTCTTATTGTCTGAAAAGAAGGCTACTGAGGGTAATAGAATCACACAGAATTACCAGTAGCTTCCAGCTGCAGATGTGTTAGCTGAAATATTCATAGCTAAGAGCTACAAGTCCAGCTAACTTGCACTGAGCACTTACTCTGTGCTAGAAACCTTATATATGTTGTTTCATTCCGTTCGCACAAAACTCTGTGACAGGAAACCACTATCCCCATTGTACAGATGAGTTAAACTCAGGTTAAGAGATGTTAAAGAACTCCACCAAGCTCACAGTTTGGAAAGGAAGAGAATTGGGATTTCAACACAGAATGGTCTCAGTTCTTTTCAGGTAACATTAACTGTCCAGCAAGTTTCATGGCACCGGGGAGCCCAGTGGGTCAACCGGAGAGGAGGACCTTGGCCAAGCAGGAGCACAGAGCTGGGCCGGGGTGGAGATCGGGAGCAGGTCAGGCTTGTGAACGAGACTCAGATGAAGACAGCTGTGGGAAATCAGGACTCTGAGGAGAGCCAGAAGCAGGATCTCAGAGTCCACTCTGAAATGCGGGAACGAGGAGCAAGGGCGGCCTCTGCGCTTGAACATGCCCAGAGCTCGGTGGCTCCGGCTGAAGTCACCTGCAGCTCCTGCAGTCTTTTGTTTGCCTCCTGTGCTCCCAGCTGATCTGGACGTCTGCCTGCAAGACACGGTTCCAATTAGTTTAAATATGCTGCGCCAAGCTTAAATAAATATTAAAACACATTTCTGCTGCTGCCCCTCACTCTTCCCCCATTACCTAAGCAGGAATCCTGATGATTCAAGTGCAACAAATCCCAATAGTTCTCTTGTTTTTATCTGTTAGAGAAGCCACTATCTAAGCCACATGATTCAACTCATCTGTGTGCCATCAGTTTCGAAAGAGATGAGGTTCTATGCAAAAGCTGAAACATGGTACCAAAAATTCTAACTGGGAAGCCAAGATTCCAAGTTATGATAAAAGTATCTATGAATTATGACTTCTATCTTGCTTTTGTTAATTTACCTTTTATATCCAGCATGCTTTCATGGAGCTTCTCTTATTGGAAAAATCATATGTTAATGCAATTTGTGGGATGCCAAATTAAACAAAACAGAATAAAATAATGGCAAAAATGTAATGTTCACTCATGAAGCAGAGAGAAGGGAGTTAGTTACATGGTAACATAGGAAGGGAAAAAAATACATGTATATTTTTATAGTATTACAAAGGCACACAGTTAAAGTGGCGCAGGTGCGATACAGATAAAATATTAAGTGGACTTAGAGACAGAGACCATGTCCATTTGGATAATACAGAACAGGCTTCTGGCTGGAAGAGGCATTAAAAGCAAGTTGGGAAACAAGGACAATGTTTGCCATCATAAGGACATAAGGACTTTGGATTAAATTCCGAGTATAATGAGAAGGCATTGGAGTCTTTGATCAGAAGAGTGTCCAAGCGCGTTCATAAGAGGGATCACACTGCTTCATGGGAGGGTTCATAAGAGGGATCACACTGCTTCATGGGAGGGTTCATAAGAGGGATCACACTGCTTCGTGGAGCCTTGAGAGCCCACATGGAATTGTGTGCCTGCTTCCATCACAAGTAATCTCTATGATTAGTTTCTCTTCCTAATACTCATTATCACCTAAGGCCTATATTTATTTACTTATTTGTCTGCCTTCTACAAGTAAGATGGAAGTTTTATAAGAACAAGGTCTTTGCTTTCTTTCTTCCATTATCCCAATGCCTAGAACACAACAGCACACAGCTGGCTGCTTGATAAATACTTAGCGTTTGTCAATTGTCAATTATGAGATGGAGCCTTACATAGTCTCTTTATTTAACCCTGTGTAGACACTTACCCTTGTTTCCATTTTATACAGGAAGGAACTGAGTTTCTACAAGGTTATCAACCTAGACCGAATCACTTGAGCACATCCCAGTGTGTGAATACGTGTGCTTGAAGGTGAGGATTTGGCAGAGGGTGGCTTGGCTCTCTGGCGAGAAGAAGGGGAAATGGGTCCCAACCGAGCCCACAGACTTTGTAAATTGAAAGGAGACTGTGTCCTTGGTGGAATCCTGTGGAATGTCACAGAGGCCTGGCTACATTAAAAGTCTAAGGTGGTGGCTCTTGAACCTTCCTGTCACTAGACTCACCCGGCCACCCGTGGTGAGGGCAGAGGATTTTATAAAATACTCAAGTCGGTTACCCTCCCCAGATATCTGGGGTAGGCAGAGACATTAAGAGATTGTTATAAAGACCTCCATGGCCCAGGGTGGCTTGAAAGCATCAGGGTGGATTCCATGTCTCCAGCAAGACACAAGGAAGGGAAGTAAAGGAGGGTCTGCATGTGCTTGGTGGCCACACAGACTGGAGTCAGGGGCATCTCATTGTAATTTCCAGTGGGAGGTTGGCCACCTCAGCAAACCCTGCATGGTGGCAATACATGAAGACAGACCGCGTCTCCCGGCCCCCAGTCAGTGCCGGGGTCTCATGGGAGTGCCCACCCTGATAGGATGCAGCTCAGCATTGGCCAAAAAAGGCAGAAAGGAATCAGACTCAGAACAGAACTTACCTTGAATTGAACAATGGTAAGGAAGCATTTGCATACACCTGGCTGTGTGGACGGAGGTCCTATTTGCCGCGTGCTGATTTTCATCCAGCACTGCAGGGATTGCACAAGCTGCTTGTGTCTGCCCCACGACCTCAGTACAAACCTGGAATTGGAAAGAAGTCCTTGGAGAGGTGACTGTGAACCTGAGGGACGAGGTACAGGCAGGAGGGAACTTTCAGAAGTTAGAGTGGATTCTGCTAAGAAGTTTGCAGTGCTGAGATGGGGTTTGCAGGAGGGCTGGGCAGTATGTTAACTTGTCAGCATAGATAAGGCCATGTGGCAGAAGAAAAAGAGAAAGGTGGAGTCAGCTTCCCTCCCTCCCTGTTTGCTGACAGCTGCTTTCAGGGCCAAAGATAGGAGAGCAGATCCCCCCAGCTTCTAAGCCCAACCAAACCATTCTCCCACTTTTTAAATCAAACATGTGATACACCCGGTTTTGCGCTTTTCCGGTGAGGAATAATCATTCTCAAAGCCCGGTATTCGGCAGGTGAATCCTCACTTTACGACCTTGAAGAATTGACTAACTTTTGTAGTTAGACAATGAAGGGCAATCCTAATAGCAACTACTCTTGCTGTAACCTAGAGTTGGAAATGATTTGACAGAATGAGAAACTGCAGTGGGGAGGAGTGACCCACAGCTATCGTGAGACATTGGCCACGTGGAGATAGAACTCAGGTTTCGCATCTGCCAGCTCAGTGTTTTGCTGTTGTTGTTGTTTTCTTCTCATCTTTTCCTGCATTGGTTTCTGTCCTTGTATCATTTTCTTGGGTAATTTGTGTGGGTAAATGTCTTTGCAAGAAATTTTATAGGAAAGCTAATTTTTAAGCCTATTATTAATAACATAAAAGCATTCCTGATATAATTCCTGCCTACAAAAAAAACAAAGCAGGCATCCACTGGTGGCCTGCTTGCCTTTCTGGTTCTAGGATTTTAGCTATGCTGCTGAAGCACCACCTTTTCCTTCTGGAAGTTTTCTAGAACATGAGCAGCTTTGCTTGGGGTTGGGGGGTGTCCTCTGTGGAGCAGGTCTGTGGAAGAGCTGGCTCTGCTGTAGCCTGAAGGCTGGGTGTCTATGCAGATTTGGAAGGGGGAGCTTCTGCTTTCATTGCTGATTGAAAGCAGAATAGCTGTAAAGAAATGAAAGAAAAGACCTTCCTGAAATCCAACTTACAGAACCAACAAAAGCTGAAAATCCTACCCAATCCTAAGGGCACGGTTCAGACGTGGGGCAAATTTTACATCTGTCAGTCCTGACCTTGCCCTGTTCCCTAATGGAGCAGACCTGTTCCTCTCCCAGTGAGTCCCATTAACCCTTTGAAGATAAATCCTAGGTGAAAATGCTCTTGGACATTCACCTATTGCAATATGTGCATATGCACAGAATGGACGCCCTGTGTGCAGGAGAGACTTTCTGGGCAGTGAGTTTGGATATGCAGAAGTGTTGGGGGCTCTATTTGAAGACCTGGGGACAGGGGAAGTTTGAGAGTTGTAGGGTTTTACAACCATAAGGGAAATGGGGCTTTGAGGCAATCAGGCCGATGAAGGTTAGTGGTTACGGGTTAAGCTCCTGGCTTGGGGGTGAATGCAATGCTGGGCCCTCTATGCGGTGCACATGCCAGGGAATGCTTGGGGCTTAGTGAGGAAGGAAGAGCAGGCACATCGCTGTGCGTAAAGCCCCGTCCTAACTGTGTGTTTACCTCTGCGCAGCAGGAGAACTGGAGGAATATTCCATGAAGTCACATCCATGGTTACTGCTTGGCACTGGGAAAGTCATAATCCCCCTGTTCTACTACATTTTTGGGGATTTCTGAACTTTATGTAATAAATAGAAAGTTTGTAAAAATTATTTAATGCTTTGCCATTTTTTCCTGATTCTAAAAACAGCATAATTTTATTTTTGAAAATGTTGTACAGAACAGCTTGAACAAAACATTAAAACTCCAAAATTTTATCGCTCAGAACTGCCATTACTAATCATTACTTCTTTCCGTTCAGTCTTTTCATCTACACAAATATGCACTTCTACACATGGACGGACAGATGTGTATATATTTTATATCACAAAGATGGAATCTTTCTGTATACGTCTTGCTGAATTTTTATGGTTTTTATCTGGTGAATACATCATCATCACATATGTCAAAAAATACTTCATAAAATTTGTTCAGTACAATGTTTAATTTTTAATTGTTCTATAATGTAACATTATAAGTGTGTAGGAGAATAAATTATTTTAGCCAATTATTTCCATGGGACAGTTAATTTATTTTGATATTGCCATTTTAAATGCAAAAGTATGATGAATTTCTCATTTACAGATGTTGTTTTATACTTGGCAGATTAATTATTAAGATACCTTCTGAGAAAAAAATTAAAGAAAAAGAGAAAACATGCATTTCTAAGGTTTCTTACTATATTGTTAACTTGTCTTGAGGATTGCTTATAACAAAAATTTTGGAGGAGTCTTAGAGTTTCTGCTGCTCCATACCCATGCCTGTCTCAGATATTATCATAGTTTTTATTCTTTCACATATACTGTTGTTGAGTTTTAAATTTATGTATCTCTGTGTGTGTGTGTGTGTGTGTGTGTGTGTGTGTGTGTGTGTATTCCAGATATGAGTGCTTGTCAGATTTGTGGTTTGCAAACATTTTCTACCAGTTTGCAACTTGTTTGTCCATTCTTTTTGTAGTCTTTCACATTGCAAGGCTTTTTTTACAAAACAAAAAAAACCCTAGAATTTTTTTTTTTTTTTTTGTGATTCTGAATTTTTTTTTTTTTTAATTATACTTTAAGTTCTAGGGTACATGTGCACAAAGTGCAGGTTTGTTACATAGGTATACAAGTGCCATGTTGGTTTGCTGCACCCATTAACTTGTCATTTACGTTATTTCTCCTAATGCTATCCCTACCCCTGCCCCCCACCCCAAGACAGGTCCCCATGTGTGATGTGTCCAAGTGCTCTCATTGTTCAATTCCCACCTATGAGTGAGAACATGCGGTGTTTGGTTTTCTGTCCTTGCGATAGTTTGCTCAGAATGATGGTTTCCAGCTTCATCCATGTCCCCGCAAAGGACATGAACTCATTCTTTTTTATGGCTGCATAGTATTCCATGGTGTATATGTGCCACATTTTCTTAATCCGGTCTATCATTGATGGACATTTGGGTTGGTTCCAAGTTTTTGCTATTGTGAATAGTGCTGCAGTAAATATACGTGTGCATGTGTCTTTATAGCAGCATGATTTATAATCCTTTGGGTATATACCCAGTAATGGGATGGCTGGGTCAAATGGTATTTCTAGTTCTAGATCCTTGAGGAATCACCACACTGTCTTCCATGATGGTTGAACTAGTTTACACTCCCACCGACAGTTAAAAGCATTCCTATTTCTCCACATCCTCTCTAGCATCTGTTGTTTCCTGACTTTTTAATGATTGCCATTGTAACTGATGTGAGATGGTATCTCATTATGGTTTTCATTTGAATTTCTCTGATGACCAGGGATGATGAGCATTTTTTCATGTGTCTGTTGGCTGCATAAATGTCTTCTTTTGAGAAGTGTCTGTTCATATCCTTTGCCCACTTTTTGATGGGGTTGTTTGTTTTTTTCTTGTTAATTTTTTTAAGTTCTTTGTAGATTCTGTATATTACCCGTTTGTCAGATGGGGAGATTGCAAAAATTTTCTTCCATTCTGTAGGTTGCCTGTTCACTCTGATGGTAGTTTCTTTTGCTGTGCAGAAGCTTTTAAGTTTATAGATCCCATTTGTCTATTTTGGCTTTTCTTGCCATTGCTTTTGGTGTTTTGGTCATGAAGTCCTTGCCCATGCCTATGTCCTGAATGGTATTGCCTAGGTTTTCTTCTAGGGTTTTTATGGTTTTAGGTCTAACATTTAAGTCTTTAATCCATCTTGAATTAATTTTTGTATAAGGTGTAAGGAAGGGATCCAGTTTCAGCTTTCTATGTATGGCTAGCCAGTTTTCCCAGCACCGTTTATCAAATAGGGAATCCTTTCCCCATTTCTTGTTTTTGTCAGGTTTGTCAAAGATAGGGTGGTCGTAGATGTGTGGTGTTATTTCTGAGGCCTTTGTTCTGTTCCATTGGTCTATCTCTGTGTTTTGGTACCAGTACCAGGCTGTTTTGATTACGGTAGCCTTGTAGTATAGTTTGAAGTCAGGTAGGATGATGCCTCCAGCTTTGTTCTTTTTTTCTTAGGATTGTCTCACATTGCAAGACTTTTCATTTTAATAAGGCTCAATTTATGAATTTTTCCTTTTGTGGATTGTGTATCTGGTGTTAAGTATACAAATTGCCTAATTCTGAATTTGACAAATGCTAAGAATTTTTGCCTATAATTTCTTCTAAAATTTTATAATTTTAAATTAAGCCCATTACCCATTTGGGGTTAATTTTTGCATAGAATATGAGGTTTAGGTTGAGGTTTTTGTTTTTTTTTGTTTGTTTTTTTGTTTTGCCTATAGATGTCTAGTTGCTGAGCAATCGATTCTCAAAAACATATTTTGCAAAAAGCCACATTATTTAGTGACTCTATTTAGCCATTAGTTTTTTAGTTGCTTTATACTGAGTTTTCAGATATAGTCTGCTTTTATTATTTTCTTATTGCTTTGGTTATTAAACTTTGTTTCCTTTGTGTTATAGTTTATTAGCTTTTTTCAAAAAATTGACAAGTGTATGCAACCATTTAAAAATTTGTGTTTGTATTTTTTTCTTATTGCTCACAGTGATTGTAATCTATACACTTTCTAATTTCTGGAACTTATAATATTTGACTTAATATAGGATAATCAGAAAAATGTTCCACAAATATGAGAAACTGAAGTACTATATGCTGGTTGTATGCTATGGATTTTATTAAATATGTATTAAATCAATCTCATTATGAAATCATTTATTTTCTTCTATTAGCAGGGAACATTGGTCAGTATTTATATTGGGGATGGTGAACAGTGGTTCATCTTATGCCAATTAAACAGAAGTTGGTTAAGAGACCATATACTATGAAAAACATAGCCACAGAAAAATCATAATGGAATTGGATCCACCTTTCTTGATTTTTACCTACCAGTTAGACACTCTTTCCCCTGCCAAAGCCAGGTTCACTGTTCCCAGTATGAACTGACTGGCCAATGCCCATATCCCACTGAGCACTGGCAGCCCAATAGACTGGTTCTTCATTGGACTCATACCTACATTTACTCTCTATTTGACATGTATGCTTATTAAGGGCTAGTTGTATGTATTTTCAGTGTTATAATACAGTTGAATTAAAAATTATGTACATTTATTATCTGTAATTGAGAAAAGAGAGGTTTTGTAGTTCTGGATTTAACATTAGACACATTAAGCACTGCTGTCAAAAAAATTGTATTGAATTTAGTAACACAGTGATAATTGCCACAACTTGGGGAAAATCAGAAAATTCTAGAACGATAGACATGCACATTGTTTCAAAAGGATATCTAAAATTTTGCTTTTTGTTAAAAAAAGGGAAAACTGTAAAAGTTAAATTGATAAGAGTATTTTCATGAGACATTCTATTCCTATTAGTTTTGAATTCTTGTACCTCTAGATTTTCATTTTATTATTAGTTGTAATAGTAATAGTGGTAAATTATTATTTTATATTATATTACTTCTATTTCAAGAACTCTGATTTCATCCATCTTTTAAACCACAATAATGATAGTTTTCCATAAAAGTCTTCATGCTAGGTTTCCAAAGTGTGTGTGGATGGAGGCTTCACTTTCAGTATCTCTGATGGAACAACGGAAAATTATGCATTCTTTTTCTCATTCTACAGAAAGAGAAAAGGATACACTAAAAGAAAGAATGACAATCATAACACAATGCTACTATCAGAAGAATATTCTCTTGCCTTTCAGCTTTGTAATTCTTCAGTGAACCTGCCCAGCACGAGATAGAAGTCAGCTTTCGAGAAGCCCTGGCTTCCTTTTCTTCCTCTCATCCCTGAATCTTGTTAGGCATGCACTCAGGCTCCCTGCATTTTATAGAGGAGACAAGTAAAGACAAGCTCAGCCCCCTGAGATTTCAGCATACACTCTGACCACTAGCGAAAGCAAATGCTTCCTTCTTAAAATAGTATAAGATGACTTAGAAAAATAAAACATATTTACATAATAATGTCAGAATTTTCTCTTAATGTGACCTATGAGGTTAAAAGCCTTCCCATTCAAGAGTAGATCAAAGTTATTTGAAATGGAGATCTATAGCCCAGAGGGAGATGGGGGTAGGGGGAAGACATTCGACATGGGATGAGAAGGACAACAGAGACAGAGGAAAATAAGCAGGAAAAAAAAGATGAAGAAAAAGAAAGTGGCAAGATGCTTAATTTGATGTTCCTACTAGGTCAGATTATAGTGGTAGGCTGGTAAGTGTAATGGTATTTAGTAGGGGCTGTCAGGGTTGGTGCTGGTCTCTTTAAGATAGGAAACTGGCTGGTGACTTTTGAGTGCCTACTGCACACCCAGCTCTGTGCTCAACACTGGGGGACACTGCAGCGAGGGGGTCCGGGGTGCACACTCTGCTCATCAAGTGTCAGCAAGGAAGTTACCATGTGGAGCCAAACTTAATGTCCACATCCATTTTTTCTTGAAAACACAACAAATACTTGATGGATTATAATGACATTATGTAAGACCCCATTTGTGGATGATAGAAAAAGATGTGAAGAATATAGTTCTTGCCATCAAAAGTTAGTAAATGCGCGGCCAGCCATGGTGGCTCACACCTGTAATCCCAGCATTTTGGGAAGCCGAGGCAGGCGGATCACTTGAGGTCAGGAGTTCAAGACCAGCCTAGCCAACATGGTGAAACCTCATCTCTACTAAAAATACAAAAATTAGCGAGACATGGTGGTGCACGACTGTAATCCCAGCTACTCAGAAGGCTGAGACAAGGGAATTGCTTGAACCTGGGAGGCAGAGATTGCAGTGAGCCGAGATCGTAATGTGTGTTGAAGGAAGTAATGAATGAATCAATGCGTGTATAATCCATACTTAGTATTTTTTACCCACCTCTTCTACCTACAAATGAGTAATAGCACAATGAGTTCAACAATTGCAGGATTTTTGTCTATCTTGTTTTATTTTCAGTAGCCTCATGTAACTAGACTGACATCCTGCTTCCAAAGGTGGAAATAATTGTATGTTCATATTACTTCAAATGTACAAGTCTTTAACTCAGAGAATACAAATTCACAAAGTATGAATTAAACAAAGGCAATCTGTAGAGAACCATTTTTGGTCCTCATTAGCCTTAGCAGCAGAAAAAGGCAGGAGATTTGCAGCTCAAGGGGATAAAAAATTATAAATTCCTAACCTTTCTGATAGGGTTTAGTGCAGATTTTGGCAGTGCGAACCCAGAATTTCTGAGACAGGTCTCAGTCAATTTAAGAAGTTTATTTTGTCAAAGTTAAGGATGCACGTCCATGACACAGCCTCGGGAGGTCCTGATGGCATGTACCCAAGGTAGTCCCAGCACGGCTTGGTTTTACAAATTGTAGGGAGCCATAAGACATCCATCAATAAATGTAAGATAAACATTGGTTCCGTCCGGAAAGGCAGGACAATTCAAAGTAAAGGCGGGACAACTTGCAGTGAGAAGGGGACTTCCACGTTATAGGTAGATAAAAGACAAACGTTTGCATCCTTTTGAGTTCCTGATTAGCCCTTCCAAAGGAGGCAAACAGATACGCATTTATCTCAGTGAGCAGAGGGGTGGCTTTGAATAGAATGGGAGGCAGGTTTTTCCAAGCAGTTCCCAGCTTGATTTTTTTTTCCCTTTAGCTTAGTGATTTTGGGGCCCCAAGATTTATTTTCCTTTCACAGCAGACAGAAAGGTAAGGCATTATTTCTGCTGCCTGACAATTTAGGTTTGCCACATCCAGAGACTCAGCCGGCAAGCCTTACAGCTACAGCAGGAAATTTGTAGTCAAGACAGAGTCTATAACTTTAAGACACCCTGGAAAGAGAGTGACAGGGCTCTTTCATGGGAGCCTAACTGACTACAACCATAACTTTAGCTCCAGCATTTGGAGACTGGACACCCTCACATGTCTTAGCAACCTAGCAGTCCTTTAAATTCTGTCACTCAAAGCCACTCCTGTTTGTATATTTTAGCCACTGCATATCTGCCTATGGTAGAATAGCTGCATCATGAGCAGGGCACCATAACCTGCTTTTTATTAAAAGCCTAGGGGCTTTCAACTAATTGAGGGAACAGCCCTGAGCACTGCTTTGCAAACTTAGGCCCCATGTAAATCAAGTGGGAGAATTAATTAAAAAAAAAAAAAAAGGGGTCCTGGTGCTGTGGCTCAAGTCTGTAATCCCAACACCTTGGGAGGCCGAGGTGGGAGGATCACTTGAAGTCGGGCATTTGAGACCAGCCTGGCCAACATGATAAAACCTCATCTCTACTAAAAGTACAAAAAATTAGCTGGGTGTGGTGGCACACACCTGTAATCCCAGCTACTCAGTAGGCTGAGGCAGGAGAATTGCTTGAACCCGGGAGGCAGAGGTTGCAGTGAGCTGAGATTGCACCATTGCACTCCAGCCTGGGCAACAAGAGCAAAACTCCATTTCAGAAAAAAAAAAAAAAAACAAAAAGAACAAAGAAAACACAGACATCTAGTTTCCACTCTGCCTAATTGCCCAATTCAATCAGAATGTCTGGCTTGGGGCCTGGGAATTAGCATGTTTAAAAAGTATCTGGTCCAAGTATGAGAAACTGGCCATCAACTTGGCTACTTAAAGTGAAGTCCCCAAACAACAGTGACATCTTTCAGGACTCACATTGGTCCTATGGGCCCAAAGTCAGCATTTTTCTAGTATTCTTCGGTGATTGAAATATACACTAGTGTCTGAGGCTAAAGAGATAATTTTTACCAAATAGCATATACAAAAGAGTTTAGTATCCAAAAGGAAGTCCTGAGTCCTCTACCAATACATTAGCAATGAAGCAGGTATTTCCCTGACCCTTTTGCGGGACTCGTGACTGGGTGCCCCATTTACCCAGGCCACAGCTTTCAACCCCTCACAGGAGGGAGCGTGAGAGTGAATGAGGGAGGAACTGAAGTGCATGAGTGCTGCAATCAGGTGGCTACTTCGTCACTGGCAGGAGCAAACACCACACACTCAGACCCATTGCATTCCACCCCTCACAGGTGAGGACACTCAGGTGGGTGGATGCAGGAGCCAGGGCAAGTGCTTTTGGGCTCTAGCAGGAGCAAAACTCCTTTCAGGCCCCATGGCAGCATCTGGGAGGGTGCCCACACCCCTAAAGCCCCAGAGGGAGTGTTACAGTGCTTCTTTAGCTCTGCCATCCATGGACAGTTTAAGTGTTAACAGCTCAGTGGACCCTCTGCCTTTTTGTGTGAGGCAGCTGCCTTCTGCCAGCAAAGTCAAAGGTTCAGTATGACAGCCTGTTGCATTCATACTCATGGCACCTGAGTTCTTGTCCGGAGTCCAGGAGAAATGAGGTCACACAAATGAATTGAAAGATGGACAATGCAGAGGATTTTATTGCTAATGGAGGTGGCTCTAAGAAGGAAGGGGAACTGAAAAGGAGATGGAGAAGGTTATCTTCCCCTAAGTCCAGCCATCCCCAGCTGGATTCTTCTCAAAAGTTATGCCGTCAAGCTGTCCCTTTGAAGTCAAGCCACATCTCTCTGATGTCTAGCTGGGTCTGGGGTTTTTATAGGCACAGGATGGGGTGGGGTGGGGCCATGGTGGTCTTAGAAAAGGTGACATTTGAGCAGGAGAACAGGAATGTAAGTTCTCACTTTGGGCCCTGGTCTCAGGTCCTCTCTGGGGACCCCCCTTCTTCTGCCCAGGATTTTCTTGCCTCCTGTCCCTATCAGCAATAACTATAAAATAAATGTTTGTTGAATTAATGGATAAATGTAAAATATAAAGAATGTGAAAGATGTTGGGGAGGAAACATTACACGAAGTAGTATAATCCATATGTATATGATGAATAAAGGCCCAGGCAGAATGCTTATGCCTTACTTACTCCAAGTACCTGTATCAATTTAGTTCCCTGTGTCCTATTTTCAACAAGGTAGTTTAGAATAAATGTCACTGGCGATACATCAGAAGTTGTCACTAAGAGACACACAAAACTGTTCACTTTTGTTGCTAGTTTATTTTTCACATATGATGGAAAATTTCCAGCCAAATATTCTGGATTTTCTGCAAATGCATGATCCTTGAGCTCAGCAGGTGGCTCAGCTGCTCTGAATTTCTTTTTGGAGCTGGGTGGTCTCTCTCTGTGTATGTACACTTGTGGTTTCAAGACTCAGTTTCCTCATGCCTCCCACCTCACCCTGCCAACTCTTGTCCTTGCAGATGACCTGTTAGCTATGCCACAGAGATGGAGACAGGCCTAGAACCATCTCCCTTAGACCTCTTCAGAGCCATGAAAATGTGTGCATATTTGACAGATTCTGGCTGTGGCTCTTCCTCTATCTCTCAGTTGCAAGATCAACTTAGTTACTAACATACTGTCTTTCCTCCCTTCATCTATTGCCTCTCGCCCAGGCCTGATGTTGCTCCAATAAGGAAAAATACATAAGGACAATAATGCACTCACAAGTCACATGCCAAGGAATCTTACAGTCATACCTGAGGGTCAATGGCTGATAAAATTCAATGTTGGTCAGATTTTCAGAGATAGCAGGCAAGAGTATGATAAGGAACAGTGTATCTGGTGAGGAGAAGACTCACAGCAGTACCAGAGAGAGGGAAGAATATTGTGATGTTTATAAGAACTGGCCCTCATGGCCTTGGACATCACAACCCTCCAGGACATTAGGCAGTCTGCATCTTTATTACAAATCGTCCAAAATATCCTACCATGGGTGGAGGGTGTACCATAATAGCTAATCAAAGTTTTTGAATAAACTTTCAAAGACTTCATTTGGTGTTTGCACTTGTTATTTTTGGTTTTAAGTATGCTTTGCAAATATCAGCTAAGTAACTGTTTTCTACAACTCCAGGACATTTTTAAGTGTCTGCCATGTGCTAGGCATTGTGCTTTGCAATGAGGCAAAATAGCAAGAGACAGAGCTCCTGCCCCAGGGACTTATTTACCTTACTGTGAACTTTCACTCAGCTGTCATTTCAATCATAAAGAGATACTCTTGTCTAATTGATAGTTTCCAATGTTTACAGTGGAGATATTCTATGACTGACGTCTAAAAATTAGTTTTCTGCCTTCGCTAAGTTAGAGTTGCCTGATACACCTAAAGAAACAAAATCTTCTGGCTTTGGAAATCAATAATCTGTTGGCAGAACACCCAAAGCATGGTTAACATTAATTAGAATATGGTACCAAAGCTGACCAAGGCAAAGCATTCCCAAATTGCAATTTAATAATTAAGAATCACAGATTATTACACTTTTTTTTAATTTTTATTTTTTGTGGGTACATACTAGGTATATATATATTAATATTCAATTTTTGTGGGTACATAGTAGATGTATATATTTATGAGGTATATGAGATACTTTGATACAGGCATGCAATGCATAATAATTACATCAGGGCAAATGATACATCCTATTATCCTTTCTCCTAAAGTTTTAGAATATGACTTTTGGTGGTGCGTGACATTATGTGAAGAAAGCAAGCAAGTAACTAAAACACACATACAAGCTCTGTTTTCTTGCATTCTCTATAAGAGGAAATAAGTTAAAGATGGACAGATTTACACTCCAGTGCTGCCCTGCATGTGTGCAGGATCAGTTTATCTGACTGAGCATACACCGAGAAAGAGCTGGAATACCACACTCCATTCTCTAAAAGAGAATTGGAAAGAAAGGTTTTGATGTTTATTTAGTTTTCAGTTGTGGTGGTTCTTTGCATAACAGTGACACTTCTTTTAATTCCTCTTTTAAACATACAGACATACATCATACATGCATACGTATAGTGTGTATACACACACATACATTCAAATACATGAACATGCGCACACACACACACACACACACACTTTCCACATCTTACAAACCTACACATATATGCAATGAAACCATACGTCCCAACAATAAGACTAGAGCCATATTCTTCATTTATAGGTAGAAATTTCAAAGTGAATAGTAAATTTTTTGCCTTATAGCTTGTTTGACAGTATAACTGATTGGATTCATCTCAAATATTCAGATGACCTTTATGATTCTGGTATTTGAGATGAATTAGACTTACTCCATTTCCTTGTGGATTTGTTCTATGTGGTTACCTTTTGTGGAACATAATTCGCCCTTTAGTACATAAGCTAAAGTGCCTTTTATTATTCCAGTTATAATGGCTTTTCATTGTATTTATTTGTTAAACACTCTAAATCACTGCAATTGTTTTTATCCTAAAGTATTTTAAGTGCTGTTTTGTTATAGTGTGATCAATCACTTATCTTTTCAACAAATATTTGTCAAACACCCACGAGGGGCAAGGCAGAAGGCTATAGTTTATATTTATCAAACTCAGAACAAATAGGCTCTGTCCTCAAGCAACTGAAATTTCTAAACAAAGTGATGATACCAGGTAGAAGGGAAGTCCAGCAAAGTCCTTTGAGCATCATGAAAGGAAACCTATCACCAATAGACACCACCATAGAATGCTTCCCATAGGAGGGGGCCAGATCAGAGTTGATAGGACTGGGCGTGGACACAGAGAAGAATCGTCGAGGTAGGAGATGCTGGGGCAACAGAGTCTGGAGGCTGCAGTGTAACTTGTCAGTTTCCCCAGTGGCTCACTTTTCTTTAGGACATGTCCTACTGCCTGAGTCAGATCCCTAGCCTTCAAGGGGCTATCTGGTCTAGTGGGTAAGCTCACACATGCCAGCTGCAGACACATCTGTGGTTAGAACCTGCCCTCTCCCACTTCCTGGGTGGATGACCCTGAGCAAGGTCTTTATCCTACCTGTGTCTCAGTTTTTCTGTCTGTTAACTGGAGATGCTAGAAATACTACCTACCTCATAGGGTGTCTGCGAGCATACGCATATGGTGTTCATGTTCTTGAAGTGATTGGAGCACAGCCTGGCCCATACTAAGCCAATAAATGCCGGCTTTCTCTCCAAGTGATTAGCCAACTTTTTAACTTTCTGATTGATAAAATCTCTACTCTTCTTTCCTTTTTCCTGAAGGTATTTTTTAAATATTTACCAATGTGCTAGATACTGCTTTAGAGCCTGGGATCTCAGGGATGACTTCGTGCCCTCTCACACCGAGCCCTCAGATGGTTTACAGGCTGGCAGAAGGTGTTGCTCCATATTTACCTCATATTAAGTAAAAAAAAAGATATTATTATTAGAATATAATGCTGTAAAAGTGCAGAGAGAAGAAAGACGGAAAGACCAGCTTCATGAGGGATGTGATAAGAGATGTTGGCTTTGAAGGATAAACAAGAGCTGAACAGGTGGACCAGACGCAGAGAGACCCATTCTAGACCTAGGGAAGAAGCACAATAAAAAAGAGGAGCATTTAGCAATCTTCTATGTTTAGTCAGCTCTGGCTGACTGGAAGAGAATGCATTTGGACTTGAGGCTGAAAAGAGTGTCAGGACCAGGATGAAGAGGGGCTGGCTTCTGATGAATTGTAAGACAGAGACAAAGAATAAAGACAAGATTTGCAGATAATTCATAACTTTTGCTGGCTTTTCTAGTAACCCGTAGGGACAGAACTTAGTCTAAAATGTCAAATAATTGCATGGGACCAAAATCTTCTGGAAAATTAGGATTAAACTTCTTTTTGGCATAAAAGTAGCACACACTCTTGCTTTTTACTTAGCTCCTTCAAATCCCAGAGAACTCAATAGAAAGATGCTTGTGATGAATACCCATCTGAAGAATAGACATTTGGAATTAAATAATTGTGACATCCATACAACAAATAAGTGATAATTCACAAAATCAGAAGGGCTTTACAACTATGTATTACTTTGTTAATATTTTTCTTTCTAAAAAATTTTAAATTTCATACTATTAGAAATATCTTTTCATGGCCAGGCAGGATGGCTCATATCTGTAATCCCAGCACTTTGTGAGGCCAAGGCAGGTGGATCATTTGAGCCCCGGTGTTCGAGACTAGCCTGAAAAACATAGTGAAACCCCGTCTCTGCAAAAAATACAAACATTAGCCAAGTGGGGTGGTAGTGCACACTTGTAGTCCCAGCTACCTGTGAGGCTGAAGTGGGAGGATTGCTTCAGCCCAGGAATTTGAACCTGCACTGAGCCGTGATTGTGCCACTGCACTCCAGCCTAGGCGAAATACTTCTTCCTTCTCATACTGCAAATTTGAACCTAAAATGGAGTCAATTATGCTTACTCAGAAAATAAAAACTTGTTTATAAGATATAAACTGACTTGGCCTGGTGCGGTGGCTCATGCCTGTAATCCCAGCACTTTGGGAGGCCGAGGCAGGTGGATCACAAGATCAGGAGTTTGAGACCAGCCAGGCCAATATGGTGAAACCCCGTCTCTACTAAAAATACAAAAATTAACTGGGCATGGTGGTGAGCACCTGTAGTCCCAGCTGGTCAGGAGGCTGAGGCCGGAGAATCTCTTGAACCCAGGAGGTGGAGGTTGCAGTGAGCCAAGATTGTGCCACTGCACTCCAGCCTGGTGACAGAGCAGAACAAGACTCTATCTCAAAAAAAAAAAAAAAAGATATAAACTAACTTATGGAAAACAAAACAAAACAATGACATGTGTGTGACATCTTAGCATGTTGAGTTATCTAGAAAGTCACAATAGAGAAAAAGGATTTTGATTTGCAAGAAAGGCCCTGTGGTAGGCGATCACTTCTTCCTGGGAATGGCCTGCAATGTATGAAGGTCAGACTGACAGATGCACAGAGGATTGGACAGAATCCAGAAGGCAAGATTTCAGCACAGGGCAGGTAGGAGTCCCTTGATGTGGCCTCTCACCCAAGTCATGTTTGAGGAAACAAGGTCCTAGGTGGGCTGAGGAGGGTATGACGTATGGGACAGGGGAAGGGTGGACATGGGGCACACAGAAATGAGAAATTTACTTATACAATTTGAACTGAACAAGCCAGACTTTTTCTTAATCCATGTTTCTTGATATTTGTATGTTCTCCATACAGAAACCAGTATCAGTCTACCTGAAAATCTCCAAATAAATATAACCACACTTTAATGTGCTGTTACCAATGGTCAGGAACTTTCTCTTTTTGCTCTGTCAGGAGAGTCGTTTAAGATTCCTGTCCCTGGTGGAAGGCCTGGGCTTCTGGGCAGTGGTGCTGCTGTTTAAATAACCGAGATTATCAGCACAAATGCCAGTGGTCAGCCCCCCTGGAGACACTTGGTTTTTGTAACATTTGAAGTAGATTTGCATTCTCAATGAAAATTAATCTTTTCTAAAAACAGCGAAATGTACAAGCTTTGTTCAAGTAAACATCAGGAATGTTAACTTTGTCTGTTAAAGGGCAGCCATATGCAGTCTCTTAGAGAAATATTTTAGTGGGTTGAAAATTCTATTGGGAAACAAAATTCTAAGAGGAAAACCCCAAAATTACCATTTGCTTCCCAGGCATAGTTCGCTGCCCCTCAATTTTTGTGGAGGCACATCCTGGAGCCGTTACTGCGGAAGTAAAACTCTTATTTTCCCCCAAGATATTGACTATGTTTATTGTCGACTGTTAAACCAGGGGGTGGAAAATCTTTTATGTAAAGGGCCATATAGTAAGTGCTTTGACTTCCAGGGATGTGGCGTCTGTCTCCACTACCAACGCTGCCTTTGGAAGCAGCCACAGGCCGTCCTTAAGTGGTAGAGGCAGGAATCTGCCTTTGGCTGTTATTTGCTCACACCTGTTAAACTTTCTCTAGATTAAGGTTTGCAGGATTTTTTCCACATCTTTTTCAAAGAGATATTTTTTGAAAATTGATTTTTAAAAATACGTACTTTCATGGCTTTTTAGTAGAAATTTATTGATAGCCACATATTTACTGAAATACGCAAAAGAAAAAAGTAAAAGTTGAGGTAAAGCAATAATCTAAAATAATCACTTAATAGCACGACGCTTTTATGAAATAAATGTGAATAAAGATGGTTTCTTAGATCTGAAAACTTGGTTTAACATTTCCTATTACAACACTTTGAACATGTGAATCTAAGATCAGTTCAATTTGCTGATTTTTAGTGTCTGTAATGGCTGTAAAAGGCATCTCACAATGATATTCAGAAAGAATCCGTGTTTGTGCTTATTAAATTATGATAGCGTTAAATCCCATATGCCAATTAACTAAAAATTGTGTTAAAATTTGTCCTGCAAGTTTTCATCTTTTACAATGTCAATCAGTTGTTCTCCAAACTAATTGGAAGATATTACATGTTTCTATTATTAACAGATGGATTATAATGCCACTGAAACTCTGGATTGAAATTTTTTATAAAAAATTAGAAACTATGTTTTCAAGATTTCTAGAAATGCACAAATGAGGTTTTTAGGTTTTTTTTTTTTGTTTAAACAGGTGAATTATATTGCTTTTGGCAATAAAATTACAGTGATGGAAATATTTCTGAACACCTGTTTATATAATATTCTTACCAAATAGAAATGATTAAAAAAACACAGTTGCTTCTGCACTCATCATTAAAATGTCATCTCTGCTCTGAAGGAATAGAGTCTGTTTGCATTCCTGTGGACAGCTGCTGGGAGGCATGGATCTGGTAGTCATTGGCTTGCTTTCAAATGGACTCAGAAAGTGCTTGCAATAGAAGCAGAAGTCCCAGCCCTGCCATTCTCATCCTGGGTCACTTGTCCTTGCATTATTAGTACAATTCTAAATCTAATACTTTTCCGAAGTAATCTTCCAAAACAGTTGTCCTTTTTTTGAAAATATTCAGATGATATTAGAGAATATCATCTCTAAATTCATAAACAAATAAGTAAAAAATAAGCCAGTACAGATGGTCCCCAACTCGAGACTTAAACAATTTTGTGACTTTACAGCGATGTGAAACCATTGCTTTTCACTTTCATTGCAGTATTCCACAAGTTACATGAGATATTAAACATTTTATTATAAAATAGGCTTTGTGTTACATGATTTTGCCCAACTTTAGGCTAATGTAAGTATTCTGAGCACATTTAAGGGAGGTTAGGCTAAGCTATGATGCTTGGTAGGTTAGGTTTATTAAGTGCATTTTTGACTTCCAATATTTTCCATTTTCGATAGATTTATTGAGATGTAATTCATCATAAATCAAGGAACGTTTATCAATCAATTTTGATAAAGTTAAACGAATGAGGGTGCTACAGTAATCCCCTACATAGAATAGCTCTCCTCACAACTTTTTCTAGTTACCTTCCATATAGCATATGATACATAATTATCTGATATATGGAAGACTGAGGATGCCAAACCAGTTCATGCAGTAATTATCTGTAAGGTATAGTGTCTTTCTTATCTAAAAGATACATGAATGTAAAGAGCCATTTCTGAGCTTTCCTCTGGGACCCCAGTGTATGGACTTGGGAATCCTCATTGTGCAGCACCCCATTTTGGACATTACTGCCCATCTCTGCAGTCAGGAACAAGTTTCTCAGATATCTAGAGTGCTTGGTTCAGTCAGAACTTCTCAGCCAGTCCCTTGAATATTGAGCCAATGATGCAAGTTTACAAAATGTCTATTTTCTATTGATTCCTTCAGTCGTGATTTGTGGAATCACATGGTTCTTGGTGGTTCACTTTCTCATCTGACTGTTTGGTTTACCCCATGTTCTTCTAAACAATTTCTTTTTCTCATAAATGTCTAAGACTTGGTTCCTTTTGTTGATAACCACAAAACCTTATTTGATGTGTATGGTATTAATGAGTCTTTGTGAACAAATGCACATATGTGTTTATGTGTATGTGTTTATGTGTCTACGTGTGTGTTTATCTGTCTATATGTGTTTATATGGGTTTAATTGAGTTGTGTGTATGTATGTGTATGTATGTTTCTGTGTTATGTATGGTTTATGTGTTTGTATGTGTTTGTGTGTATGTGTGTGAGTTTTATGTGTGTGTTTGTGGCTGTGCATGCACGTATGTGGGTGTTCATGTGTGTATATGGGATGTGTATTGTGTGTGAGTTGTGTGTATATTTGTGTATGTGTTTGTGTGCCTATGTGTAGTTTGTGTGTGTGTACGTATGTGTGCATGTGTGTGTATGTTTTTGTGTTTATGTCTGTGTGAGTTTTGAGTGTGTTTATGTCTGTATCAGCCTTGTGTGTGTTTACATATGTGTGTTTTGTGTGTGTATGTTTGTGTGTGAAATGTGTGTAAGTGTGTGCATGTGTGTCTGTGAGCTGTGTGTGCATTCATGTGGTTGTGTATGTGCATGTGTATGTGAGTGTGAATTGTATGTGTGCATGTGTGTGTATGTTTTTGTGTTTATGTCTGTGTGAGTTTTGAGTGTGTTTATGTCTGTGTCAGCCTTGTGTGTGTTTACATGTGTGTGTTTTGTGTGTATGTTTGTGTGTGAAATGTGTGTAAGTGTGTGCATGTGTGTCTGTGAGCTGTGTGTGCACTCATGTGGCTGTGTATGTGCATGTGTATGTGAGCGTGAATTGTATGTTTGTATGCATGTGTATGTATTTGTGTGTATGTGAGTGTTTATGTGTGTATGTGCATACATATGTGTTGAGAGAAGTGCATAGTTTCACTCTGGATGAGACCAAGTTGCGATACTTCCTTCCTCTACTCACTCAAAGAGATGGGAGAGGGAAGTGTCCTGACACCATGCCTTGTGTCCACTAACACACTTAGAGGGCCTTTCTAGAGAAGGAAATCAGGTCATAGCCCAGAAGGTGAAGAAATAAGAAAACACTAAATAAATTGCTTAATTTTTCACTATGCATAGATGAGGTTTGCAAGTCATTATAATTTCCTTCTTAAAGATGGAGTAACTCTGAAGCATCATAAGATTTGGAACATGCAGAGGATGGCCTCTGGGTTTCCTACAGTGTCTTATCTAGTCCTCTCAAAAACTCCATGTGCTAGACTTTATTATCTTAGTGCTTCTGTATTAGTAAAGATTTTGGGGTATGCTCAAGGTTCAGAAACCCAACCAGACCTCCAGAAATATAGAGAAAATTTGAGATAACAAGGGAGAGCAATGTGCTGATAAGCTCCAACGTCACCAGGCTCCTTTCCTCATCTCTCATGCCTATGTCTCCTTCCAGGTCAGCCTCATTCTCTCCAAGTAGCTTCATAAAAAGGTTGAAAAAGTGGGTTTTAGCAAATGCCAAAACTCATATCTCAGAGCTCTGTCACCAGAGAAAAACTGGTTTCCTCACTTCACCTTCTTCAATTCAGAAAGGTCCTAGGCAGGGGCCTGTCTTGTTTGACTTGGGTTCAATCTGGTTCTTAGATGAATCAACTTTTATGGAGCCAATATATATGCAATTAACTTCAGCTATTTTCTCATGCTGGCATAGGATGAAAAAGAAAAGAAAAGGAGAAGAAAGAAGAATAGGAGGGAGTGGGGAAAGGAGAGACATTAATGGGTATCCTCCTAGCCATTTCATTGACTAGGTGACTCAAGGGAGTCTACTGCAGGAGTCTTATCTTCCCCAGTTAGTCTTGGGGGCTGTGGCCCTGTCAGGAAATGGATATCTTTCCAAGCTGAGTCTCTACCACATCAAAATATGATTTTTAAAGCAGGATTTTCAAACACAAGCCAACTCATTTATGTAATGGTCACTTGAAGAAACAGCTGTCTTTTCCAGTCCTGGGGGAAATTCTGTCTATGTTGGATTTATTGATAAATACTATGTTACTATATAATTTGGAATATAAATATTGGTCTTTTTAATATATTTTAAAGACAATTCAAGGAATTTCACAATTTATACTACATTTTTTCTTACACGTGGCCTTTGAAACTTAATTTTTTGAAATCCATTTTAACAGAAAATAGATTAGTCATTGCTTAGGCTGAGTGGATGGGAGGATAGGTGTGGGGTTTGTTTTTGAGGTGATGAAATGTTTTAAAAATGACTGTGGTGATGGTCGCAGGTATCTGTAAATATATTAGAAACAACTGAATTATAAAATTTAAGTGGGTGAATTATAAGCTATGTTATTTATATCTCAATAACACTGTTTTAAGAAACTTAATTTGTTTTACTAAATTAGATGCTATGCTAGTATAGAAGAATGGGGTCAAATACTCAACTGAGTGGGTCAATAAGTCACCGACAATAAGACATGGTAGGGATATTAAGAATAGTGAAGGACATTGCATATCATTATGACAACTAAGTAGGGAAATCATTAATGAAACATTTCCTCAATGATGCAGGCATGAAAATGGATCTTATTTCTTTATTGATTAAAGATTTACTAAGTGTCTTTTAGCTAAGAGGAAACAAAGGCCTCTAGGAATAGAAATACCACGAGTCCAGGCTCTGCCATTCAAAGTTGCCCTAAATCCCCTCCTATGTCTTCTCCTGTTCTACACGGCAAATGTCCTCAAGCTAAAGTGATATTTGGGAAAACAGGATTGAAAGAATGAATAAAAGGCTGAGTACAGGAATAAGTATATGAAACCATGTGGGTAAATAGAACTGGGTGTGGAAGAAGAGAAAAATACTGTGACGTTGGAGAATGTGAAGGTCTTCTGGGCAAACTTCACTTCCTAAGTGTCCCAGGCAGTGCAAACCTTCACATTCAATATGCGCTAACTGAGGACAGTGTGTCTGGGTTGAAAGCACAACGGGGTGAGTGAGAGTAAAAGGCTGGGATCCTATTAAATAGGAGCAGATGGGAGGAAAACTGGGGCAGGAATTACAACCATAGATCTAAGGTGAATTGATTAGGCAAAAAAAAAAAAAAAAAAAAAAAAAAACCCAACGAAAAAAGTCACATGTTTTAAAAGGGGGTTACTATAAAGAAAGGCTTATGAAGACCCTGCTTCAGTCAGAGGAGTGGGAACTGTCAACAGGCCAGGAAAACAAACTAAGAGAGCCACGATAGCCAAGAAGTAGCCTGGCGCTGGACAGGAATGTGCAATTGCCATCTCTAAACTACCTAATGAGTCATAACACATGATGCTTATAAAAAATCATTGGAAGAGGTCACTAGACCATCGAAGACTGAAGGAACTATTTGGATTTTCTGAAATGAATACATAACATATGCAATTTAGAACCTTGGTAAATTCTGATGATTGCCTTTTTTTCTCTATTTTCTTACCATATACAAATTTTTGGAAAGCTTTAATTCTAAAAATGTTACATTAAAAATTACTTTCCCTAAGGTGCATCCAAACTTGTAGAAAACTAGGGTAATGGGCAGATCAAAATGGCTGGTGCATCTGGATGATTAAAGTGAACAGTACTGTTTTGTCAACACTAAGTCACAGGAAACACAGAGAAAGGGGAAGAGAGGTAGATTCATTTTGTTATTGGTCTCAATCCATTATTTCTCCCTTTTTCTGTTCTCTGAGCTATTTCCCTTTGTGGTTCTTCTGAGTAAATAAGTAAATTTTCTTTCTTACCCCTTGACTTCTGATGGTCATATGACCAGCTTTGGCCAATAGAATGCAGTGGAAGTGATCATGTGCCTCAAGACCTTTGCCTTTCTACATGCTTGCTATAGTGGAACAAGCTTGAGCTCACCTTCTAGAGATGAGAGACATGTGGAACAGAGTTAAAGCTTCTCAGCCATCCAGAGTGGCCATACTAGATCAGTCAACACTCGGCAGACTGCCAGACATGTGGTTAAGCTTAGCCAAGACCAGGAGAACCACCCAGCTGAGCCCAGCCTAGGTCTTTGACTTGAAGACTGCTGAGCTAAATAACTGCCTATTGTGTTAAGACACTACATTTTGTGTTTTGTGTTATGAAGAGTTATTGCAGCAAAAAGTAGTAGCTGGCAACTAACTTTAGTGAGTATCTCAGATTTTTTCTGGTGCTATACTTGGCCCCTGCACTAGTGTTAGCTAAAACTATCGCTCTCATTGTCTATGTTCCACAAATAAGGAGTCCCATAGAAAGTAAACAATTTTTCCAGATCACTGAACTGGCAATACAAAAAAGATTTGTCTGACTACAAATCCGTGACTTACCTTTTTCTTACAAGTTTGTTTTCTACTTTGCTTACTTCTGTTTTGTAAAAATGATCATCTAAGAGAAAAATCATTTAAAAGCAAAAAGACTGAATTTCTAAGACCATTAGTATGTTTGTGCATGTTCTGTGCATGACTGTAAGCTCCTAGCAACTTGATTAAGCAAACTGTAGCACCAATAGCTTAGTGGGAGTGAAATAACATATTTAAAATTGGGCAAAAAGTGGCCAAGATTTTTGTGACCTAATTGTGTTCTGATAATTTTGAATGTCAGTTGATCACATACACAACCATGTGGGCCTATAATTGAAGAATTCTCAGATATTTCACATTTATACTATATGAAGTATGAACAGATCTGGATTCAAATCCAGTTTCTGCCACTGAAGGGCTGTATGGTCCTGAGCAATCACTAAACCTTAGGTCTTGTATCAACACAGATTGAACTCTACATTAAAACATAAGTAAACCTTATAATTTATCTAAAGTAGTCCAATTTTTACATATGACAGATAAGAAAACATTAAATTCTCGTTCTAAATAGTGTGGAAACACCCCATGCTATTGATTTCTTAGCATATCCAGTAAAAGACGGGTGCATGATCACTTCTTTACTGAAGTTGTAGACATCCTGAGAAGTACCTTGTTTCCATCTGTGACAATGGATGTGAGATGAGAGTGGCTTAGAAACCATGACATATTTTGTTTCTGCACATTTTTAGTCTGGTTATCTGTAACAAGTTGGCTGGTGCTTTTGCAGGCCTTAGATCACCTTCTCAATTCTTGGCCTGGCCCTTTCTTCTTCAATTCCAGGCAAAGCTGGAATGAATTAGGGTAGGAGTGTGTGGCATTCTCTCTGAGTCTGATTCTTTTTCTGCTGGTGTAAGCCAGTGGTTTAACCTTAATTTAATCTCACTAAGCAGCACTTTACCAATGCAGGATTAGCTTCCTTTTTGGAAGAAAAATTTCAAAGTTTCCATAACTAATAATAAATGGAAGTAGCATGAGAGTCACATACAAGTCTATTTTACAGGATTATCTTTCTTTTAATACCATAAAATATTGGAAGGAGAAGGGACCTTAAAGACAAGCTTGTTCAACACTTTCTGTAGAGGAGAAACTGAGAACCAGAGAAGGAAATGTTATTTCCAAGGTCGTAGAGTAACATGAAAGTTGGGCAGGGCCACGCAGCAGATCTCCTAACCCTGAAGTCAGTTATATTCCCTACCATATGCTGCTTTCTTACTCTCCATCCCTCTACTGGGCTCTTCCAGAAGAGCCCTCCATTAAGATTTTTTGATTGGATATCTGTGAGCTTTCACCAACTTCTCTTAAGTGGCTCATATAATGTATATATGTCATAGTATATGTATATAAGTATATACTCTTCTATGTTAGTTTTACGCTGGCCAAATAATGTGCCTCGCCTTGTCTAGAAGGTGTTACCAGGAGGCCTGGGGCATTAGAATTCCCTTATTCATTTCTTATTGTAGACACCTAAGAGATGTCTATTCAATAATATATTGACTTAATAAATGAGAATTTTATTCTCTGGTAACAAAATGGAATACATGGTTAAAAAACCATTGGTGCATTAAAAATTTATATTTATGTTTTACACATGGCCATATGTGAGGGTTAATACTGATTGTCAACTTGATTGGATTGGAGGATGCAATATTGATCCTTGGTGTGTCTGTGAAGGTGTTGCCAAAGGAGAGTAACATTAGTGTCACTGGGCTGGGGAAGGCAGACCCACCCTTAATCTGGGTTGGCACCATCTAATCAGCCACCAGCAAATATAAAGCAGGCAGAAAAACGTGAAGCAATGAGATAGGCCTAGCCTCCCAGCCTATGTCTTTCTCCTGTGCTGAATTCTTCCTGCCCTTGAACATCAGACTCCAAGTTCTTTGGTTTTGGGACTCGGACTGGCTCTCCTTGCTCCTCAGCTTACAGCCTATTGTGGGACCTTGTGATCATGTGAGTTAATACTTAATTAAACTCCTCTTTTATATATATATATATGTATATATATATCTTATGTTTTATCTTAATTAAACTCCTCATATATATAATAGGATATATGTATTATAATAGGATATATATATATATGTCATTGTGTATCCCTCCTCCTCCTGCCAAATGTATTTACTTTTCAACAAGTATAGTGTATTAGTCAGGGTTCTCTTAGAGGGACAGAACTAATAGTATATATATATATATATATATATATATATATATATATATCTCCTATAGGTATCCTATAGATAGTGTATTAGTAGTCAGGGTTCTCTTAGAGGGACAGACTAATAGGATATATATATATATTAGTCTGTCCCTCTGAGAGAACCCTGACTAATACACCATACTTGCTGAAAAGTAAATATATTTGGCAGGAAGAGGGGAGATACACTATGACATAAAACTTTAGGCCATTAGGAATTCCTAGATCTGACATTTGCCTCAGAGTTTTTTGCCCATCCCTTCTGACCTGATGCTACTGTAGCTTTCAATGATCAGAAATAGGAGATGTGAAACAAAGTAAGACATGGAGCCGCAAGTCACCTGACAGAGTGAACACAAAGCCTTTCCCGAGAAGCACACTTAACACAGTTCAGATAAAATTTCAAAGAACATGGACTCATAACCAAGAAACTCCAAATAAATGCAGAAAGAGAAAATATCAGAAAGGAAATAATAACAATTAGAGCCACAAAAATGATAGATACCAGAATAATTGGCTATAGAACATAGAATAAGTACATAAATTTGGGCAAGAAAATAAAATAATGCTTTGAAAATTTGATAAAAGCATAAGAAATTATCAGGAATTCCTCTAAAGTTTCCAAAAATTTAACCAAATTCAATCTGAAAATATATGTAATATTAAGCATTAAAGATGTGATAGAAAGATTAAACAAGATAAGACCCAGCTGAAAAGAGAATTAGTAAATAGGATGATAGTTCCGAAGAAGTTATAGATCCAAATAAATAAAACATTGAATTGAGAGAAACAACAAAAAAAGAAAAGGCTTAAAGGACATCATTGAGATTAAAATGGGAAAACACAAATCAAACCTAGTTAGAATACCAAAGGGAAATAATATAATAAGATAAAAGAAATACTCAAATAGCAAATGGCTGATTATTTCAAAAATTGATGGAAGAAACCAATCTTCAGAGTTAAGAAAATCAACATATTCCAAAAAAGATGAATAAAATAAAATAAACATCTGTACACATTGTAGTGATATTGTAGGACGTTCAGGCCAAAAAACGTTATTAGAATATGCTGGTTTGAAATATAGATTATCTGCAAAGAAATAACAACATTAAAAATAAACATTATATTTCAGTTATACTGAAAACTGTCCACTCAATAACAAAAAGTTTGGCCTAAAAATTTCTATGGTTATTTAAGCAAGAGTTTACCAGTTTCTTAAAAAGTTAAACATAATGACTAACATATATAACTTAGCCATTCCCCCCCTCCAAAAAAATGGAAAACATATGTCTCCACAAAGTCTGCTCACAGTTGTGCAAACAACTTTGTTTGCATTTGCCAAACACTGAAATAAGCCAAACATTCCTAACAGGAAAATGGATAAATAAGTGATAGTAAAGACACACATAGAATACATTAAATGCTACTAAGGGGAAAAAGCGAAACTAATGATACACCTAAGTACAAGGACAAGTCTTCAAATTATTATTCTAAGTAAAATAACCATAACTGCAAAGAATAAACACTGTACAATTCCATCTATTAGATATTCAAAAAAAATACAAACTATCTATAGTGACAAAAAATAGATGCAGTGTTTTCCTGAAGTTGGACCTGGAAGATGTGGATTAACACTGTATAATTTCATTTATTCAACATTCAAACAAAATAGAAACTATCTATAGTGAAGAAAAATAGATGCAGTCAGGCATCTATTTTCCAGAAGTTAGGCCTGGAAGAACACGTGGATTGCAAAGAGGCCAAAAGGAGCGGTTTAGGTACTACATAAATGTTCAGAATCTTGATTGTGTTGGTAGATTCACATGTATGTATATATGTGGCAAAACTCACCAAATTGCCTGCTTTCGATATAATTAGAATTCAATAAATTTGTATAAAAAGACATGACTATTTAAATACAAAATCGTTGCTTTGTGTTGTAGAGTTTAGTATGTGTGTCTATGTAAGATATGCCTACACAAACTCAAGTAAAGAAAGGAGTGAATTGTCTTAGTTCATTTAGTGTTGTTATAACAGAACACCTGAGGTTGGGCAATATTTTTAAAAGAGACTTATTTAGTTCACAATCCTGTAGCACAGGAAGTAGAAGAAGAATGGCACCATTGGCTTCCGGTGAAGGACACATGCTAGATGGAAAGGGGAAGCAAACCCAAGTGAAGAGAAAAAATTCAAAGGTCATCCTGGTTTTCTAATAACACTCTCAGGAGCTAGTGCATTCCCACAGGAACACGTCTTCAGGGCAAGAACTTACTCACTCCCTGAGAATGGCACCAAGCCATTAATAAGAGATCCACCTCCATGACCCAAGCACCTCCCAACAGGCCCCACCTCCCAGCCACACTGGGGACCAAACTTCAACATGATTTTGGGTGGGAACTAACAAATCATATCCAAACTATAGCATAAACCTATACCATTGCAAGATTTCTATAACTTATATATACTAGTGTCAAATAATTTAAAATAAAATTAATAAAAATCGTAAAGTACTTGGGAATAAGTTTAGCAAAAGTCTAGGACTTCAACATTAAAAAAATGGAAAATATCATTGTGAGAAACTGAAAAGTACATGAATAAATGGAGTGAGAATTAATGTCATGACACCTCTTAAACTTTTAATTTGAGTTTTTCTAATGACTAATAATATTGAGCATCTTTTAATATACTTATTTGCCATCAGAATATCTTCTTTGGCAAAATGCCTGTACAAATATTTTTGACTTTTTTAATTAATTAATTTGTGTGTGTGTGTGTGTGTGTGTGTGTGTATATATATATATATATATATTTTTTTTTTTTTTTTTTTTTTTTTTTTTTGAGACAGAGCCTCACTCTGTCATCCAGGCTGGAGTGCAGTGGCCTGATCTTGGCTCACTGCAACCACTGCCTCTGGGGTTCAAGCAATTCTCGTGCCTCAGCCTCCTGAGTAGTTGAAATTATAGGCACATGCCAACACACCCAGCTCATTTTTGTATTTTTAGTAGACTCAGAGTTTCACGCTGTTGACCAGGCCGGTCTCAAACTCCCGACCTCAAGTGTTCCACCCACCTCGGCCTTCCAACCTTCCAAAGTTCTGGGATTACAGGCGTGAGCCACTGTGCCCAGCCATTTTTGATGATTTTTAAATTTGTTATTTTTTATTGCTGATTTTTGAGAGTTTTTTATATATTAGAGATACAAGACCTAGATCGGATATGTTTTGCAATAGTTTCTCCCTGTTTGTGATGTCTTTTTAGTCTCTTAAAAGCGTCTTTCAAAGAGCAGAAGTTTTTAAATGTATTCTTCTATCTATCATGCTTTTCGTATCATATATAAATTATTGTCTAAAAATTCTTGTCTAACTGGAAGTCTATGTTTTTTTCAAGAAGTTTTGTAGTTTTAGGGTTTACATGTGAATCTATGATATATTTTGGTTTAATTTTAATTATGGAGTGATCTGGGCATAGAACGAGTTTGCTTTCATTTTATTTTTTTACGTGTAATGTGCAATTGCTCGCCACTATTTGTCTAAAAGTCTATGTGTTCTCCATGGATTTGACTTTGCAGCCTTGTCAAAAATAAGTTGTCAGTGTACATGTGGATCAATTTCTGAACTATTTTCTTTGCCATTGATGTATGTGGTTTTTTTTCTCCAATTGTACACTGCTTTGATTACTCTAGCTTTATAATTCTTGAATCTGGTATAGTCCATTAACTTAGTTCTTGTCTTTAAAAATTCTGATTCCTTTTCTCTTTAATATGAATTTTGGGATGGGTATACTTTTATGATTTGTTACATGAGAACAGAGCACCACCCTGAGGAGAGCAATTATTCCTCCCTATTGAAGCATGACCTTCCGTGTCCTTGACCCAATGCACTATGAATCTTGAGATTTCCTGCCTGGCTGGTGGGAACAGGCATTGTCTCTGGCCGTGTGTGAGTACTGGAAACTGTTAACTTCATGCTTTTGGTGCTTCATTCCTTTGCCTTGATTGGTATCCTCACATGCATTTGCTGATCTATGCTCAGCTGTTGGTTTGAGGGGACCTTCTGTAGGCTTTTGGGATTCTGCTTCTGTGCAGCTGTCTCCTCTCCAAAACTTGTCCTTGAGAATCTGAACAGCTAAGGTCTCCCCAGATTTCCAATGTGTTTTAAAGTTGACACTGTGTTAGCATTTAATTGGAGAAACATACTTTTTCTTAGTGGCCATCTAAAAAGTATATATTACAATAGGATTTATATTAAAGTAGAAAAATAATGTAGTCATGTATTATTAACCCTGGTCAGATGCCACCTCCTCTGTGAAGCCTTTTCTACCAGCCGTAGTTCCTTGCAGTGCTTCCAAAGCACTTAGCAACTGTATTAGTCTATTCTCACGCTGTTAATAAAGACATACCTGAGACTAGGTAATTTATAAAGGAAAGAGGTTTAATTGACTCACAATTCAGCATGGCTGGGAAGGCCTCAGGAAACTTACAATCATGGTGGAAGGGGAAGCAAACAATTCTTCTTCACAGGGAGGCAGGAAAAAGAAGAATGAGAGCTGAGCAAAGGGGGAAGCCCCTTATAAAACCGTCAGATCTCATGAGAACTTACTCACTACGACGAGAACAGTATAAGCAACATGAGGGTAACCTTTCCCATGATTCAGTTACTTCCCCCTGGATCCCTCCTCCCACAACACATGGGGATTAAGGGAACTACAATTCAAGATGAGATTTGGGTGGGGACAGAGCCAAACCATATCAGCAACTGATTTATACTTTGGAGAAAGTGGAAGGAGAGGAGAAAGGGAGGGGGAAAGATGGAAAGAGGGAGTAAAAGCGGAAGGGGGAGCCCACGAATATCTAAACTCTGAAGTATCTTTTTAAACACTTTTACCCCTAAGCATAATTTTTAATGACTCTGGGACTTCTTTTTTTTTCTTTCCTATCAACTCTTACCTACTGACTATAACCTTTAGCCAGAATTTTACATTATTTAACCAGCAGTTAATGCAGAATAAAAGGTGAATTTATAAAGTATTTAGTCCTTTGGAACTTGAGACAATGTTTAGACTACCTTTTTAAACTATTCTCATTACATGCACAAGCAAATTTATGACCAAATGGAGGACTAAGAAAAAATCACTAGTGGCTTGAAAAGACATTTTGCAAAATTTTGGGAACGTTCATTTACATCCATTTCATTTAAGTGTTTCTTAAATTAGTTCATTTGGTAATACATTATTCATCAAACCAGGTTATAAAGTGTACTTGAATATCTTAAGTATGTATGTATTTGATATGCAATCATAGTCTTCTGTATCTTAGAATTCTCACTCAGCCCCCACACCTCCATATTCCCAGTGATCCCATGAGGTTTCATGGAAGTTTTGGACTTTTTCTAGTAGTTGAGCAGTAATAATAACACTTAGTATTTACTGAGCACTGACTTTGAGTCAGGTACTATTCTCAATGCTTTCCCTGTACTACTTCATTTAATCTGAGCTATCCCTAACCCATTTTCTTTTTTATCTTCCAGTGTCTTTGTTTTTTCATTTTATTTTTCCATAAGTTATTGGGGTACAGATGGTATTTGGTTACATAAGTTCTTTAGTGGAGATATGTGAGAACCTGGTGCACCCATTACCCGAGAAGTATACACTGCACCATATTTGTTGTCTTTTATTCCTCGCCCTGCTCCAACCCTTCCTCCCAAGTCCCCAAAGTCCACTGTATCATTCTTATGCCTTTGCACCCTTGTAGCTCCCACATATCAGTGAGAACATACAATGTTTAGTTTTCCATTCCTGAGTTAGTTCATTTTGAACAATAGTCTCTAATCTCATCCAGGTCATTGCAAATACTGTTAATTCATTCCTTTGTATGGCTGAGTAGTATTCCATCATATATATATATATATATATATATATATACACACCAGAGTTTCTTTATCCACTCATTGATTGGTGGACTTTTCGGTTGGTTCCACTATTTTGCAACTGTGAATTGTGCAGCTATAACCAGGCATGTTCCACTATATTTTTTGAATAATGACTTCTTTTCCTCTGGGTACATACCCAGTAGTGGGATTGCTGGATCAAATGGTAGTTCTACTTTTAGTTCTTTAAGGAATCTCCACGCTGTTTTCCACAGTAGCTGTACTAGTTTACATTCCCATCACCAGTGTAGAAGTGTTCCCTAATCACCACATCCATGCCAAAACCTACTGTTTTTTGATTCTTTGATTATGGTCATTCTCACAGGAGTAAGGTGGTACTGCATTGTGGTTTTGATTTGCATTTCCCTGATCATTAGTGATGTTAAGCATTTCTACGTATGTTTGTTAGCCAATTGTTTATCTTTTTTTGAGAATTGTCTATTCATGTCCTTAGTCCACTTTTTGATGGGATTGATTGTTTTTTTCTTACTGATTTGATTGAGTTCTTTGTAGATTCTGGATATTATTCATTTGTCAGATGTACAGATTGTGAAGATTTTCTCCCACTCTGTGAATTCTGTTTACTCTGCTGACTGTTCCTTTTGCCATGCAAAAGCCCTTTAGTTTAATTAGGTCTTAGCTATTTATCTTTGTTTTTATTGCAATTGCTTTTGGATTTTTGGTCATGAAATCCTTGCCTAAGCCAATGTCTAGAAGGGTTTTTCCAATGTTATCTTCTAGAATTTTTATAATTTCAGGTCTTAGGTTTAAGTCCTTAATCCATCTTGAGTTGATGTTTGCATAAGGTGAGAGATGAGGATTCAGTTTTATTTTCTTACATGTGGCTAGCCAGTTATCGCAGCACCATTTGTTGAAAAGGGTGTCAGAATGCAGTATACAGTTAGGCAGCTATGAAATATAGCTTTGTGAGGAAAACTGCAAGTTGATAAAAGGGAAACATACTTTTGTAAAATTTGAATATATAGATGGATCTTTACATCAGGCATTTCACCTAGGCCTTGCTGAATTATTTACACTTCACTTGTGAATGTCCATTGAAGATGAATGGCTGTCCAGAGCTGAGATTTTGTCCTAATGATAAGTACATAGTACACAGTGGGTGCTAAATTAATGTATCTTGAAATGAATCAGTCTTTCTAGTCCAATAATCATTTTAAAGTTAGTCTGTTCTAGGATTTATCAAGCTGGTTTGGACCTAAGAATGATATGTGGTGACTTCTCACCTCATTTCTTCCTCTAACTCATAGGTCAACAAAGGGATTTTGTGAAACCGAAAAGTCCAGGGTGTTTATCTGGCTTCAGCCTGAACGAAGTCAAAATGTTTAAATGTTGTAATATTAGTGCTCTGCTTCCTTCTGTTGCTTGACTGCTGACAAATTCAGCTTTTTTTTGGCTCCCTGAAGGAGAATTTTATCTATCTGTCTTGTCCGTTTGTCAGCATCATTAGCTATTGTCTTAGTCAGTTTGGGCTGTTGTAACAGACAACCATAGACTGGGTAGCGTATAAACAACAGCCATTTATTTCTCATGGTTCTGGAGGCTGAGAAGTCCAAGGGCAGATTAGGTGTTGGCAAGGCTCCAGTTCCTGGTTTGTAAGTGGCCGTCTTCTCACTGTGTCCTCCTTTGCCCATTTTCTGATGAGAAACTGGAAGCACCATTAAGGTGTTGACAAATATTTGCATAACTAAATACAAACCCAGGGTTTAGCAGAGGCTTCCTGGCTTACAACACTGGTGTCATTACCACTGGATGATATTACTATGAGGGGTTTTGTTTGTTTTTGTTTCAAATGTAATGTAGATTTTCCTGAAAACTTAAAAACAAAGTTTTGCCAAGACAAAGAAAAGCATTTTTTTAGCCATCCATTCATAATTTGCTTTAGATCTCAACAAATGGGCCCAGTTTGTGTATTTGTATTTGAATACATGCGAGAGTCTATAAAATACTTGGTTAAACATTTCCACTGCTCTTTGCTTTTCTGACCTTAATTTTCAATCTCTCTCTCCCTCTATCCTTCTTTCTTTTTCTCTATTCTCTCTCCCTTTCTTTATTTCAATCTGCACAACGATTTCATTCCAAAATGAATGTCGAATTCTAGGTTCTTACGCATAAAATAAAATATAAAATAAATATTTTTAAAACTTTAATGTCAAAATTCTGGCATTGCCTTTGATGTGGCCAGAATGAGTCTCTGATTTTCTATCCAGACCCTTCCCTCCCCCTCCGTCACAGGGCATCCTGTCCCTCCCCCTCCGTCACAGGGCATCCTGCTTATGAATGCACATTCATATTCTCGGCTGGGGAAATATTGCCACAGCTCAGGTACCCACTGGGCTTTTCTTTGCTTTTGACAGAAGTTATATAGAGTTTATATTTAAAGAAAGAAAAATGAAAGGTTTTTCTGAATTTCTACAGAAAATGTTGAGCTTTTTCAATGTTCCACTCACACTGGAGCTTCTTATAGAGGAGCCTAGTGATATCTTTTGCAAACAAAGGAAGCTTTTGGTGGTGCTCTTAATATGAAGGTCAAGGTTTTATTTATATTCACATTCAATTCAGAAAGAATAAAAAAATCAATACAGATATGAAGCTGGTATACATTGTCCACAAGCCCTGGTATTTTTAAATGTGACACAAAAAGGCACATGCAAAGGGAAACTGCTGAAGAAGGATTTGGCTCACAGACACTCATGAAACTCTACACTTTGCCACCAGTAATCAAATATAGAATCTGTTCTAGTTACACTTCACTACTTCTGATACACTTCAATTTATTGATTATTTTCTCTGGTGAATGCATTAAATTAATAGTATTAGAAATAGAGGGACTTCCAATACTGGTTCTTCTTTTTAGCCATTTCCCTGTTACAGAGGTCAGAGGGTTTATGCTATGTGCATTTAATGAGACTTAGAGTTGCAATGGATCAGGAATGCTCCACGGTTGAGGAAGCCAATGATAATGCCTAGCAGTGGTAGATTTTGGCTCTAATAGCAATGGCAAAAAAAGGCCGAGGCCCTTTCACTGGTCACATGTTCCTTTGCAATGACATCTTTCAGACTATACCTGCATGGTCCATTAAGCATATTGAAAATGAGACAGAATCCCTCAGCCAGGCAGAATTCTTTATCCTCTTTTTATCCTTGGATTTTGACTACAAAGAAATCTTAAGGATATGGTAAGAATTTTCTATTTGTCTGTGGATTTGCCTTCTTCCTCTCTTTCTGCCACTAACCTCAAAGTAACATTATTGAAATTGGACATACTGCACACACAAAGCCATGTGTACACATGCGAGGTGTGCTTATATTGTCAGATATTTTGGCTGTTTTTTTCTGAAATAGTATTGTTTTATTTACTAATTTGTAATTGACAAGTACAAATTGTTTATATTTGTGGTATACATGATTTTTGATATATGCATACGTTGTTGAATGGCTAAATCAAGCTCATTAACATATTCATTACCTCACATGCTTTTTGTGGTAAGAACACAAAATCGACTCTCAGCAATTTTCATGTATACGACACACTATTATTAACTATAGTCACCATGTTGTACAATGAATCTCTTGAAATTATTTCTCTTGTGTAACTGAAATTCTGTATCCTTTGACCAACATCTCCCCAGTCTACTCCCCATCTTCTGTCCCTTGTTAAAATAGTATTTAAACTGATGGGATAGATGTGTGTGCTTGTGTGTGTGTGTCTGCGTGTCTGTGTCTGTGTGTATAAATATAGAAAAGGGTAGGAAATGAAGTTATTTGCCATCATTGTAGCTGTTCAAAACAAAAGCAGTTTTGTGATTAGTTGGGGTCAAAAATACAAATAGATATTGGCAGAGGCATCTCTCCCTCGCTCAGGGCAACGCTGGTCAGCTGCAAGAGGGAACGAGAAAAACTTCCTGTTTCCCTGGGAAGGAATCAGTGGGCCCAGGAGAACAGGTCTCTCCTGACTCCCCTGTCTCTGTGAGGTCCTTGCCAGGCCCAGCCCTGAGCAAAGAAGAGCAGAGCAGTCTGTGTACCAGGCAGCTGAGCCCCGCAGAGCAGCAATGAAGGCCCTGGGCTCTCCTGGCAGGCTCCCGGACAGCCAAACAGGTCAAGTTCAGAGAATGTTCACACAAATACTTGGAAAACAAGAATTAAGATCCTTTATCCACGGTAATCCCCAGTGGGAAATACGCCAGAATCTGAGCAGAAGGTAATAAAATAAAGGAAGCCCCCTAATCATCCACATTTATTGGCTCAGATATGAATCGTGGTTCCTGGACTTCTGACTGTTGCATAGCTGCTTCTGACGTGGATGTTGTCAGAGCCAGAGCGTTGGCCTATTGAAGGCACAGTGGAAAGATGAGGGTGGATGGAATAACAACTCAAGACGCTACTTGAAACCATTAAGGTTTATGAGCACGTTTTAATCTAATACATATTAAAATGATTATATTCTATTTTATCTCATTATAAATTTAGCTTATTTTTTCTCATTGTAAAAATAAATAATAGAAATTTTTGACACTCCAAACTATTTTAAAAAAGAAAACTTTACATTTTATCATCAGAAGAAAACTACTGTTAACATTTTTATAGTTACATCTAGTCTCTATCTGTCTCTCGTCATATTAACATATATCTGACGGTTATCTCATGGTGAATGTATCATTTTTGTGCTATGCATTTTTCATATGGCATTATATTGTGAACAATTCCTAGTTTACAAATTGTTAATGAACATTGTATTCAGAGACTGTGTACTATTGCACCCTTTGGTGAAAGATAATTTTTTAAATTATTATTCTTTAACTGAAATATTAATTTTTTTGTGATATCTCCAAAAATATCAATATTTAAGACTTTGAACATAAAATCCTAACTTACTCCTACAACAATTTTTCTAGTTTAGACTTCTACCAGCAGGATGCCATCGTCAACATACTCTCCAATATGCTTATATTTTATTACTATTATTTATTTTTAATTGACAAAAATGTATACATTTATCATGCACATCAGGCGGTTTTGATACATGTGCACATTGTAGAATGGCTAAATCAAGCTAACTGATATCAGTCTTACTCTATATACTTACTTTTTTGTGATGAAAACACTGAAAATATACTTTTAGCAATTTTCAAGTATAGAATATATTGTATTAACTACAGCCACTGTGTTGTACAATAGGTTTCTAGAACTTATTCTTTTTACCTAACTTAAATTTTGTGTACTTTAACATGGATCTCCTAATCCCTGCCCTGCCCACAACCCCTGGTGACCACCATATTACCCTCTACATCTGTGAGCTTAACTTTTCTTTTTGTTTGTAGAGACAAGGTCTCACGATGTTACCCAAGCTGGTCTCAAACTCCTTGCTTCCAGCGATCCTCTTGCCTCAACCTCCAAAAGCACAGGGATTACAGCCATGAACCTTGGCAACTGAGCTGGATTTCTTATTTTTGATACGTGAGAAAATATATTTGAAGCTGTGTATATGAGTAAGAAACATACTTCATGTTTCCACAAACTTTCTAAAAATCTGTGAAAGTAAATGTTATTTACATATATTTATATAGGTACATATCACAAATTTATACCATAAACTTTTTTTTTTAATTTTTTTGAGATGGAGTCTCGCTCTGTTGTCCAGGCTGGAGCGCAGTGGCACTATCTCGGCTCACTGCCAGCTCCGCCTTCCGGGTTCATGCCATTCTTCTGCTTCAGCCTCTCGAGTAGCTGGGACTACAGACGTCTGCCACCACACCTGACTAATTTTTTGTATTTTTAGTAGAGACAGGGTTTCACCATGTTAGCCAGGATGGTCTCGAACTCCTGACCTCGTGATCTGCTCATCTTGGCCTCCCAAAGTGCTGGGATTACAGGTGTGAGCCACCATGCCCGGCCACCGTAAACTTTTTTAACTGTTAGTTTTATTTTTTGAGAAAAATTAGAAACATACGGTTTTATAGCTATATAGACCTTATATATAATTGAATTTGTAGCCTATCATTATCATATTCTAATTTACAACTCTAGGAAAATTACCCAGCCTCTCTGTACCTCAGTTTGTTTATCTACATAACAGTGGTTGGATATGGATTTTGGGGGATGATTAAATGAGTTACCTGTGGAAATGGCCTCATGGTAAATAAAGACTATTCATAGTCATTATTTTTTTTTCCCACAAATCAGAAAACTGAGGACCAGAGAGGCTAGATAATTTTCTTAGGAAAATGTAATCCAGAAATAGATATTCTGAATTATATTCTTGTGATTTCTCTATTCCCTGCATGAAACATCTAGCAGGCCAAAACATAGTTTATCTAGGTAGCTTTCCTCCACCCTAATACTGATAATGAAAAATTGACTTACATCTTACAATTTCAGGCCTTTATTTGTTTGCAGATCACATAGTCCTATGGAGAAGGTGTTTTTATTTTGTGTTTTTGTTTGGCTGGTTGGCTTACATGTTTTCTTCTCCCTGTTAGGCTTAGTAGATACTTAGCTAGGAATGCATTTCTGGAAAATAGTAACTAGACCTGCAGTGTGACCCCAAAGGCCCAGAATAGGAACCTGCACTGCCAAGAGCATGGAAGGAAGTAAAAATCTGTGTTTGCTCTTCTCAGGTGTCAGAGTCAGTTGTTCCTGAAAAATACACAGCAATCTCAGGCCAACTGACTATTGTCTATGATTCAAGATCCCTCCTTTGCCTCCAGGCTCTGAAAATACATTTTGTTTATGTGACAGAAACACAAAAACTGGGAGGAAATGAAAAATTACAAGTCTGTACAGAATAAGCCACATCTTGTCAACTCGCATAGAATATGCTTTCGTCTCCTTCGTGCGCTCTTACAGTTGAAATTTTACATTATCCATGTGATTATTTGATTAATGACTCTCCTCCAGTCTATAAACTCTATGAAGACAGTAACCATGATTCTTAAAGTAATAATTTACTGGTGATCCTCCGTATCTACTCCTTCATCAGCAACAGTACAAGAATTAATAAGCAATGGCCTAAAAGTATTTATTCATTTATTAAATACATTGTAAGTGCCTGGAGAGCGAAGGCCATTTTGTACTTCTGTGTATTTCTTTGAACAATATTAGGACAATGGAAAGGGCAGGAGTTGCATGTAGCTGAATCTGGCTTTGAATCTCTGCTCCTGCATTTACGGGCTGTCACTGAAAGATACATGATCTTTTGTAGCTTTAATATTTTCATCCTTAAAAATGAATTATTGATGATGATGATGATGATAAGAACAACCCCAAAATTTCTTCTGAGAATTAAATGACTCTGCAAAATTGTTTATCCCACCTTGTAGACACCCAACAAATGTTACTTTATTTTCTTCCTGCATGGGGCTTGGCTTCTTTCTAATCCTGTGGCCTCAGAATGTGCTAAAATACTAGCAGACTGATACACCAAGATACACGAGTCAGAGACATTGCAGTATTGGCCAAATCTCATATTGTTTTCCTCCTAGTCTCATAGTTGGATTACATTTTCCATTATCTCTTGCAGCTCAGAGGCCACAAGACTGCATTATGATGACAGGACATAGATAGAATTGTTTTACATGCATTTCAGTATGTCCAAAGCAGTCCTTATTCATGCCTGTGTTCCCGGCATTATTATGAGCACTGTGCTTTTAGCTCTCAGAAGTGTCCCAGTTTGGATGACAAATTATACGATCACTCTAGATAGACAATCATTTTCAGGCTGGGCGGTAAACCTTCCCGTACTTCCTCCCACTCTTTCTCTTTACCCAACTGCAGTCCAAGTGTGGTGGATCCTGAGGGGAAGCCTGACTCCCAGGGGATGTGGAAGCAATCCTATGTCCCTGGATGACTATGGAGCAGCCACTGTCCCCAACCCACATTGGACTATATATAAAGTGAGATATAAATAAAACTTCTTTTTGTTGAGCTTGTGAAATTTGGGGATTACTGGCCATAGCAGCTAGACCATGTTGATTCACTAGACATACCTAAGTATAAAAAAACACAGAAAATATATGAGGATTTATGGCCAAGTAAAATATTAAAATTTCAATAAACTTAACTCATCCACAAAAGAAGCTCAAGGAAGAAACACAGAACTAATGCACACACAGGTATACTTTAATATGGTTTATTTTTAAATTTATTAATGTGTCTTTCTGAATTTTCAGAAGGATAATTATTCCAGCTATACATGTTCAGGCAATAATTGTGTATGCTTTAAAAATCTCATTTGATCTTAAATTTTACAGTTTCTCTCAATACTCTTTCATAAACTTGATAATGAAGATTTATAGTTATGCTTTTAGTCTGTTATACCTTTGCAAATAATTTTATTTCAAGGTAATACAAAGAAAATCTCCAATGGTGTTAATGTCATCTTTACTAGCCAACAGTAAGTATTCTGTAGTAAATGTCTGTGAAATTAAAGTGCTTTTCAAAATTCTATAAAATTAAATGAATACAATTTGTACATAGAACTTTATGTAAAAAGATACACCTTCAATTTACACAGAATAGTTAAAAGCTATGTTTTGAAGATTTCATTCCCAACATTTACCATCGTGACTTTGCAATGTTGGTAAAACTAGTTAATGGGTGAAATCAAAGTGCCTTTATTGGTCCAACCTCATTTCCTATCTCTCTTTCCAGATAATTGGCTTGCTAAGATCACACAGTCAGTCTTTACCGGGGCCAGGCCTGGAACGTGTGGTCTTACTGAATTCCTGACTTAGATGCTTGTTCTTCATCCTCCACACCTCTCTAAATGAGCTCAGGCTTTATAGTGCACAACACTTTGCACGTTGAAAAGCACTTATTTATTTACTGCTTATTCTATCATCTCAACAATTCCATAGCCTAAGTAGAATGCGCATTTGTGATGGTGAATTTGATGTGTTAACTTGTCTGGGCTAAGGGGTGCCCATGTAGCAGGTAAAACAGTATTTCTGGGTGTGTCTGTGAAGGTGCCTCCAGCAGAGATTAGTATTGTAATTAGTGAACTGAGTCAAGCAGGTGGCCCTCTCCAATGTGTGTGGGCATCATCTAATCCATTGAGGATCTGAGTAGAACAGAAAGGCAGAGAAAGAGTGACTTTGCTCCCTTTGCATAAGCTGAGCCATTCATCTACTCCTGGACTGGAATATCTGTACCCCTTATACTCAGGCCTTCAGACTCAAACTAAATTCACCATCCACTTCCTGGCTCTCCAGCAAGCTTGCAGACAGCAGATTATGGGACTTCTCCGCCTCCATGTGAGCCAATCCCTATGATAGATCTCATTTACATATAAAATCTCTTGTTGGTTCTGTTTCTCTAGAGAATCCTGACTGATATGGTATCATTACCCCAACTTCTACAGATAAAACTAAGACATCTCGCCACGTGACACACTTGTGACCCCTGCGGATGCTTCCTAATGACAGAGCTGGCCATGCAATGTCGAGCTACATGTGCTGACTCCCAGCAATTCCTCCTCTGTGCCTCACTGCCCCTCCCCTACATGCAGCCCTGTGTGCCTTCCAGCCCAAATTTCATCCATTGATTCTAAAATGACACATTAAACATCAACCAACAAGGGCAGTAATCCTCAGGGTAATGCTTTTAAGTAGGAGTGGGTCTTCTGAGACCAATTCTTTTAGTTAAACTTCTCAATTTCTCTAACCCCAAAATTTATAACATTGCTAAGACCCTTTCTGCAATGCAGGCTCTGGCTGTTTTGTTATATAAACTAGAAGCAGAGACTTTTCTTTGAATCAATTAATGATGATGAAGGATCTCCTGATATTGATTGAGCCTCTGAGATGGATGAGGGGGTATGAGTAAAAAATCCCTCATGCCTCCCATGATTGTTGGAAAATGTAGACATATCCTTCTCATGCTGCCCTCTTCACCCCCTCAGCTTATTAAAATTAATGACTAAGTGTGTGTGATGGTGGCTTGACCCACCTCTTTGTGAAGTGTACGCACCATGTTTTCTACTGTGCTTCTGATGGTAATTCTTCAGTTAAATAATTCATGGTAAATTACAGAAGTAATAGTATTATTGTTTCCTTTATTATGAAGGAAGAAGAGATTTACATAAAAATTATAAAAGGCCAAGGGAAAGGTTATCAGTTATTTTAACTGAAGAAAAATTATATGGTTCATTGAAAACACTGAAATAATAAAAAGTAGATTAATTATCAGCTACAACATTGATAAATATGCTAATATCAAATAAATACGTAAACCTATTGCAATCATGCAGACAAATTAGTTTCCAAAAGTCAAGATCCAAAGCAATTTATGTGCAATTTTATCAGTTGGAAGCTATAAAGAATAAATATTTTATTTTGGGGGTCATATGAATTGGGCAAAATCAGAAAAAAATGAGAAATATTGCATCACTATTAGGTGCATAAAGAAGAGAGATAGACTTTGCCTAAGATCTATGATCTAGGTAGATCATGCCAAAAGTAGTCACATTTCCTTGGCCCAGAGTTGAGGATCACATGTGATAATACATGAAAGTCCTGTGAATGTGAGAGTGAAAGGGGAACGCTATACAAATGGGAATTATTCACATTAATATCAAAACTTCAATTTAAGAATATATTTGTAAAATCTTGTGTTACTTGGGAATTTTCAGAATTTTATTTTATTTTACTTTTGTATATTTTTTATTTTTCAGACGAAGTTTTGCTCAGGCTGGAGTGCAATGGGCGATCTCGGCTCACTGCAACCTCCACCTCCTGGGTTCAAGTGATTCTCCTGCTTCAGCCTCCTGAGTAGCTGGGATTAAAGGCACCTGCCACCATGCTCAGCTAATTTTTGTATTTTTAGTAGAGATGAGGTTTCACTGTGTTGGCCAGGCTGGTCCTGAACTCCTGACCTTAGGTGATCCACCCACCTCAGCCTCCCAAAGTGCTGGAATTACAAAATAAGCCACCGCCCTCGGCCAAATTCCAGAATTTTATAACTAATCTTTGTAATCAAGTTACATAATTTTTCTATAAGCGGAGCGCAGAGGCTTTCTGTTTTCTCTACCATTCCAGGCCCAGGCTTACACTGGAGATGAAAAGTGAAACAGCTATTCTTTGTTTCCTTTTTATTGATTTGTTTATTCATTCATTTATTTTTAAGTTTTAATTATTATAGGCACATAATAGCTATATGTATTTATGTGGTATATGTAATGTTTTGATAGTCGTACAATGGGTAATGTAATCATCACAGGGTAATTGGTGTATCCAGCATTTGAAGCATTTAGCATTTGCTTGTGTTAGGAACATTCCGATTTTATTCTTAGTTATTTTAAAATATGCAATAAATATCTTGAATTAAAACGTATTTCTGTACCTTTTAAATCTAATTCTGCATTTTCTTGGCATTCTTGGTCTAAGTAGATGATAACCATTTACACACATTACCTGCTTCTGTGTGGTGCAGAAATCAGTGATTTTAATGGGAAGACAGAAAGAAAAGAAGAAAAAGACAGAAAGGAAGAAGGAAGGAAGGAGAAAGAAAGAAAGAAAGAAAGAAAGAAAGAAAGAAAGAGAAAGAAAGAAAGAAAGAAAGAAAGAAAGAAAGAAAAAGAAAGAAAGAAAGAAAAAGAAAGAAAGAAAGAAAAAGAAAGAAAGAAAGAAAGAAAGAAAGAAAGAAAGAAAGAAAGAAAGAGAAAGAAAGAAAGAAAGGAAAGAAGGAAGGAAGGAAGGGCAGAGGAGAGGAGAGAAGAGAAGAGAGAGAGAGGGAGGGAGGAAGGAAGGAAGGAAAGAAGGAAGGAAGGAAAGGAGGGAGGGAGAGAGAAGGGAAGGGGAAGAAAGGGAAGGGACAGGAAAGGAAATGAAAGGAAAGGAAAAGAAAAGAAAGAAAGGAGGGAGGGATAGATGGAGGGAAGGAAGGAAGAAAAGAGGGAACTAGGGAGAAAGGGAAAGGAAGAAAGATGAGGGCAAGGAAGGACTTTCTAAGAAACAAGCACGTTAATGCAATAAATTGATAACTCCTATTTAGTAGCAGGACAGATTGCCTTTGCCCATTACTGTCCTGTAACTTTTCAGAAGAAAAGATATTGTGAAGCAACCTTGTACAGTGGACAACAAGCCATCAGTTGAATGTTTGGAATGTCTTCCAGAAGTTGGAGTCTGGTCAAATCCTCCCTGACACGTCTGTTACTCTACGCTTGGTTCATTTTAATTCCCCTTGCCATCAATACACACGAGAATTTCTGTAAGCTACAGAAAGCCTCCAATGCTTCTCAGTAAGACACATCTGTTAAAGTTCTCAGGAAAGATGCTGACTGCTATTATGAATATTCCATGGGAAAAATGCTTTTATTAAAATATCACGTAGGTGAAGAGGGTACTTTAATCATCTACTAGGGTAACTTTGTATAAATTTCCTATCTTAATTCATTATATTCAGCAGTTCCCCTTTTTAAAAATTATTTTTAAATACATTTTGTTTTAGACCAGTTTTAGATTCACAGAAGAATTGCAATAAAAATGCAGAGTTTCCATATACCCTGTAACATTTCCCCTATACTCCACATCAATCATGCTACACTTGTTATATTTAATGAACCAAAACTGACACATATTTATTAACCAAAATCCATTCTTAATTGGTTTCCCTTAATTTTTGCCTAATATCCTTTTTCTGTCTCACTATCCTATACAGGATACCATATTACATTTAACCATCATGTCTCCTTAGGCACCTCTTTTCTGTCAGTTTCTCAGAATTTTCTTGTTTTTGATGACCCTAACAGTTTCGAGGAGGGTTAGATAGGCATTTTGAAGAATGTCCCTCGCTTGGGATTTGTCTAATATGTAAATATATTTATTTATTTATTTATTTATTTATTTATTTTTTCTTCTTATTTTTTTAAAATTATACTTTAAGTTCTAGGGTACATGTGCACAACGTGCAGGTTTGTTACATATGTATATATGTGCCATGTTGGTGTGCTGCACCCATTATCTCGTCGTTTACATTAGGTATATCTCCTAATGCTATCCCTCCCCCCTCCCCCTACCCTACGACAGGCCCCAGTGTGTGATGTTCCCCACCCTGTGTCCAAGTATTCTCATTGTTCAATTCCCACCTATGAGTGAGAACATGCGGTGTTTGGTTTTCTGTCCTTGCGATAGATTGCTCAGAATAATGGTTTCCAGCTTCATCCATGTCTCTACAAAAGACATGAACTCATCCTTTTTTATGGCTGCATAGTATTCCATGGTGTATATGTGCCACATTTTCTTAATCCAGTCTATCATTGTTGGTCATTTGGGTTGGTTCCAAGTCTTTGCTATTGTGAATAGTGCCGCAAGAAACATACGTGTGCATGTGTCTTTATAGCACCATGATTTATAATCCTTTGGGTATATACCCAGTAATGGGATGGCTGGGTCAAATGGTATTTCTATTTCTAGATCCTTGAGGAATCGCCACACTGTCTTCCACAATGGCTGAACTTATGTAAATATATTTTTAATGATTAGATTGTGATTTTTTTTTTTTGTACAGAAGACCATGGAGGTAAAGTGTCATCGTTATCACATCATATCAAGGGTACGTACCACTAACACTACTTTTCATCAATGATATTTGAGTTTGATCACTTGATTGAGGTGGTGTTTGTCAGGCTTCTCACCTGTAAAGTTGCCCCACCCTTTCCTTTAGAAAGAAATGACACACACTGAAGAAATATTCTAGAGGGATTGGTTCCAGGACCCCCTAGTATTTTTGTAAGATGTATTTCTGAACTGTTTTCCCTTCTTATACTATCTTTATTTAGTTTTGGTATTAGGGAAAGTTGGATTCATAAAATGAGTTAGAAAGTGCTCCATCTGCTTTCGTTTTTTGAAACACATTGTGAACAATTGGTATCATTCTTTTTAAAGTATTTGGTAGAATTCACCAGGAAAACCATCTGGGCTGAGTGCTTTCATCAGGGGAAAATTATTACTTATTAGTTCAATTGCTTTAATAGAGATATAGGTCTATTCAGATTATCTATTTCTCCTTGTATAAATGTTGACACTTGGTATCTGTCAAGGAATTACTCCATTTCTTCTAACTTATACAATTTGCTGATGTTTAGTTGTTCAAAGTATTTTTTATTATAATTTGACACCATATGTTCAGTAGTAATGACACCTCTTTCATTTGTGATATTGGTAATTAGTGTCTTCCATTTTCTTTTCTTGATTAGCCAAGTTATAGAACAACCAATTTCATTAATTTTTTTTCAGAGAGTAGGCTTTTGAGTTGTATTTATTTTCTTGTTCTTCTCATTTTATCAATGTCACAATTTCACCAAGTTCACTGTTGATTTATGCTCTAATTTTATTTCTTTTCTTTCGTTTACTTTAGGCTTAAATTTTTTTTTATCCTAGTTACCTAAGGTAGAAGGGTACTTTGATAATTTTACATTTTTCTTCTTTTCTAATATTTACATTTAAAAACATAAATACACTGGGTACTTTTGTGCATCGCACAAATTTTGATGTTTTATTTTTATTTTCTTTTTTTCAAAAAATTTAAACTTTGGTGTGTTATTTATAAATATGCTGTCTAATCTCCAATATTTTGGAATTTCCCAGCTACCTCTCTGTTTTGATTTCTAGTTTAATTTGGAGAAGATATTTATTCTGAGAACATACTTTGTATGACCCCAGTGCTTTTAGATATGTTAAAGTGTGCTTCATGATCTAGAATTTGGTATATTCTGGTGACTGCATTATGCAAGCTTAAGAAAAATGTGCGTTCTGTCGAATGAAGTATTTTATAAACATCAATTACATCAAGTTGATTGATAGTGCTATTTAGTTTAACTATATTCTTATTTAACAGGTCAACTACTGAAAGAAGCATTTTGAAATGTTAAACTGAAAGACTGGATTTGTCTATATTTTTCTTGTAGTTGTATTAGTTTTTACCTCATGTCGTTTGACTCTGTTGTTAGGTTTATACACATTAAGAAATGTAAGGTCTTCTTGGAGAATATATCTCTCAACATTTTTAAACTCTTTTTTATTCCTCATCATTTCTCATTCTGAATTCTGATTTATGTGTAATTAATGTAAGTACTCCAGCTTACTTTTGATTCATTTTAGCATGGTATACCTTTCTCCACTTTTTACTTTTATGATGAGTTTTTATATTAAAAATAGGTTTCTTGAAGACAACTATTGTTGGCTCCTGTTTCCATCTTTGATTATTCTGTCTTTTAATTGGTGAGTTTATACAATTTACATTTATAGAGATTATTGATATATTTAAATTAATAACTGTAATTTTATAACTGTTTTCTCTTTCTTATACTTTTTATCTTGTTTCCTCTTTTTTGACTTCTATGATTTTAGTAGAGCATTTATGATTCCATTTTTTCTTCTTTCTCAGCATAACAATTATTCTTTTCAAAAATGTTTTCAGTTATTGCCTTAGAGTTCACATATACATTTTCTACTAATCTAAGCCCATCTTTAAATAATGCTATACCACTTTATGTGATATGCAGATACCGTGTAACTGAGTAGTTCCAATATTTTCTTATGTCCTGATGACATTTGTATAATTCATTTCACTTATCTATATGCTATAATCATCCAATATGTGTTTAAATTTATCACTTTAAAAATCAGTTATACCTTTTTTATAATTATGGCTATTTTGTATTACTTCTGTCTTTTAACTTTTGGATGGGAATCAAAACTGATTTATATACCACCATGAGAGTATTATAGTATTTTTATTTGTTAATATATTTACCTTTACCAGTGAGTTTTATACTTTCATATGTTTTCATGGTGCTGTTTATTTTCCTTTTGTTTCAAGTTGAAGAACTGCCTTTAGATTTTTTTGTGAGGCACATCTAGTCGTGATGAACTCCTTCAAGTTTTGCTTGTCTGGTAATGTATTTACTTCCTTCATTTCTGAGCAAAAGCTCTGCTGGGTAAATTGTTCTCGGTTGACAGGGGTTTTTTTGTTTTAGTTTTTAATCTTTCAGCACTTTTAATGTAATACTCACTCCTGGCCTGCTAGATTTCTGCTTAGAAATCTGCTAATTATTTTATGAAGCTACCTTTGTGTGTAAGCTTGCTTTTCTCTTGCCACTTTCAAAATTCTCTTGCTTTTCTCTTGGCACTTTCAAATTCTCCATTATATGCATACAGATAATTATGTTTGTACATATGTATACGTACATACAAACATATGTATACATTATGTTTGTATGTACGTATACATATGTACAGTACACAATTACATGTATATAAATTATAATATGTATGTACATAATTATATATGTGTATAATATACAAACATAGTATAATATTTTTTGGCGAAGTCCTCTTTGTGTTGAACCTTTTGGGAATCTCTGAGCTTCATTTACCTGGATGTTCATATCTCTCACTGAGTTTGGAAAATTTTCTCTCTTCATTTCTTTAAAAAAGTTTTCTATCTCTTTCTCTCTTCTCCTTCTAGGATCCCATAATGCATATATTTGTTGTTTAATATTCTCTCATAAATTGCTCAGTTTTTTATTTTTAATATGTTCTACTTTTTTTCTCCTGTAACTGTAGAATTCCAAATGTCTTTACATTTGCTGATTCTTTCTTCTGCTTGATCAAGTCAGCTGTTGAAATCATGTAGTAATTTTTTCAGTTTAGTTATTGTATCCTTCAGCCCCAGAATTTCTGTTAGTATTTTTTTTTTTTTTTTTTTTTTTGAGACAGAGTCTCGCTCTGTCGCCCGGGCTGGAGTGCAGTGGCGCGATCTCGGCTCACTGCAAGCTCCGCCTCCCGGGTTCAAGCCATTCTCCTGCCTCAGTCCCCAAATGGCTGGGACTACAGGCACCCGCCACCATGCCTGGGTAATTTTTTGTATTTTTAGTAGAGACGGGGTTTCACTGTGTTAGCCAGGGTGGTCTTGATCTCCTGACCTCATGATCCACCCGCCTCGGCCTCCCAAAGTGTTGAGATTATAGGTGTGAGCCATCGTGCCCGGCCTAGTATTTTTTTATAGTTGCTATCTCTTTTGTTGATATTCTTATTTTGTTCATGCACTGTTTTTCTGATTTTAGTTAATTGTCTATATGTATTGCCTTGTAACTCAATAATTTTTAGCACACTTATTTTAAATTCATTGTCAAGTTATTCATAAATTTTTATTTCTGAGGTTGATTATGGTAGATGCATTTTTTCCTTTGATTGAGGCTTTAATCACACTTGTAGCTTTTATTTTCACATAGTTTTGATGTAAAGCTTGGTAAATTTTAATGTATTAATTTTTCTCAATTTTTAAAATATTTTTTCTTTATGTTTCTTATTTAAGAAAATTTTCCCTTCCCCAAAGTTACAAGTATTCTTATATTTGTTTCTAAAAGTTTAAATGTTGCTTTTTAATGTATTTGAAATGTATTTTTTATTATAACATGAAACAAAGCTTCAATGTTGTGTTAGTTCATTCTTACATTGCTATGAAGAACTACTTGAGTGATATGGTTAGGCTTTGTGACCCTACCCAAATCTCATCTTGAATTATACTCCTCGTAATCCCCATGTGTCAAGGGAGAGACCAGATGGAGGGAATTGAATTATGGGGGTGGTTCTCCCATGCTGGTCTCATGATAGTGAGTGAGCTCTCATGAGATCTGATGGTTTTATTAGGGTCTCTTCCCTCTTCACTTGGAACTTCTCCTTCCTGCCACCTAGTGAGGAAGGTGCCTTGCTTTCCCTTCACCTTCTTATATGATTGTAAGTTTTTTGAGGCCTCCCCAGCAATGCTGAACTGTGAGTCAATTAAAACTCTTTCCTTTATAATTAGCCAGTCTCGGGCAGTTCTTTATAGCAGTATAAAAATGAGCTAATACACTGAGAGTGGGTAATTTATAAAGAAAATAATTTTAATAGTAGTTTTAAATGACTCAGTTCCACAGACTGTACAGGAAGCATGTCTACGGACATGTCCAGGAAACTTACAATCATGGCAGGAGGTGAAGTGGAAACAACAACATCTTACATGGCCAGAGAAGGAGTAGGAGAGAGCAAAGGGGGAGGTTCTCCACACTTTGAAACAACTAGATCTCATGAAAACTCACTCACTATTATAATAACAGCAAAGTGGTAATTACCCCCCATGATTCAATCACCTCCCACCAGGCTCCTTGTCCAACATTGAGGATTAGAATTTGACATGAGATTTCATGGGGACAAAAATCTAAACCACATCACTCTGCCCCGACCCCTCCCAAATCTAATGTTCTTCTCACATTGAAAAATACCATAATCCCTTCTCAACAGTCCCCTAAGTCTTAGCTCATTTCAGCATTAACTCAAAAATCCAAGTCCAAAGTCTCATCTGAGACAAGGCAAGTCACTTCTGCCTATGAGTCTGTAAAATAGAAAACAAGTTAGATATTTCCAAGATGCAATCAAGGTACAAAAATTGGGTAAATATACCCATTCCAAAAGAGAATAATCAGCCAAAACAAAGGGGTTACAGGCCCCATGCAAGTGTGAAGCCCAGTAGGGCAGTCATTAAATCTTAAACCTCCAAAATAATCTCTTTTGATTTCATGTCTAACATCCAGGCCTTATCTTTCATCTTCTTTGGAGGCCTCCAAAATCTTCTGACATCTGAGCATTACCCAGTTCCAAGTCGCTTTCACAATTCCAGGAAGCAATTCTCAACTTCTGGTACTGATTTTCTGTATTAGTCTGTTCTCACGTTGCTATGAAGAACTATCTGAGACTGGGTAATTTATAAAGAAAAGGGTTATTGGCTCACAGTTTTGCAGGCTATACAAGAATCATGGCTGGGTGGCCTCTGGAAACTTTTATGTTGAAAGGCAAAGGGGAAGCAGGCACAACTGACATAGCCAGAGAAGGAGGAAGAGAGAGTGATGCAGGAGGTATTACATACTTTTTAACAATCAGATTTCAGGAGAACTCTCTCTCTATCATGAGAATAGAAAGGGGGAAAATAGGTTCACATAATCTAATCACCTCCCAACAGGCCCTTCCTCCAACAATGGGGATTACAATTCGACATGAGATTTGGGTGGGGACACAAATTCAAATCATGTGAAGTGTTATATTTTCTTTGGATAACCATTTGTCTTATAAATTACTGAGTCGATCATGCTTTCCCCACTAATTGGCAATATTAACTCAATCATATTGCACATTTTCATATACTTGAGTCCAGTTCATGATAATTCACACTGAGAAATAAATGGGATTTTTCTCACTTACTAGGACTTAATATTTAGAACAACTTGTTTTAAATTTTATTTTCATTTATAATCAGAAATATATATTATGTCAGAACAACAGTTTTCATCAATTTAATGTCTGATGAATTGAACACAACTATATTATCTAAAAAATATAATCTATTTTATCATGATGAACTTTCAATAGGGCAAATATTATAGACAGAAAAATTGATTTAAAACTCATTGAGGTGTCATTTTACTTTTGAAAGCTGAGAAGATCACTGCTAAATGTGGATTTATTTTTTATTTTATTTGTTGAAACTTTTTCCAAGTGAGTGATGTTCTCCACTAAGTAGACTGAGAACTAGTAATAATGACAACAATGACTGTAAGACAATATCTGACATTTCTTGTTATAGAGAAAAGAAGACGGAAGGGATGGAGGAAAAAATAAAGAGAAAAAATTGGAGGAAGAGACATAAGGAAGAACTGACTTAAATAAATTTATCTTTGTAACTTTTGTATTTGTAGCTTTTATAAGATTAAGTTATGTAGGGAAAAAAAAAAAAGATTTGACCTCTCTAAGTATCCTCAAGGGACAAATTTCCCAGTGGTAGCCCATTCCTGGGCAGTCAAGAAGAGTGAGAAGTCCGAGTATAGAAGCAACTCCTTGATGTCCTTCCACTTCATACAGCCCTCTACCATCATGGAGAAAGACATGTTGGAACAGATGTAACTTAGGTTGGAGGAAAAGCACATTCTCTGAACTTAGAAATATTTTCTACATTTTACTTCTTACCTTTTGCTGAAAAATAGTGTGTTATTTTGTTGCTGTTTTTATAGTTATGGTTGTATGTAACCCAACTAGTGAGAATGTCTCCCTGATAGATGCTTGTTACTTCACTTCAGCTAAATTTAAAATAAGCCTGTTTATTAAGGCAAAAAAAAAAAGAAATTGGCAACATTGATCACATAAGGTAAGTTCTTAAGACTTAGTAAATAGTTACTGGGACAACTGATTCAACAACATATATAACCAGGTTCGCTATTGAGTGATGATACTATGAAATGCAGTAATATGAAAAAAAAAGAAATGAATTAGAAGCCAGAGAGGTAACCAGATACAACAATGGTATCTGGTAAACCATAGCTGACAGGAGCATTTATACTGATTCATTTTTAAAAAAGGAATGAACTTACTAATACATTCATACAGAGTGATGAACAAGTAGAGTTTTAGAACTACTGAGATGGTACATGGATGGTATTTTGAGGGTAGTGACACAGCAAATATTTATGCCCCTGTATGCATACCAGCAAGAAATAAACACGAAATTCAAGGGGGTGTATAAGTAGGGGGCTAGAGAAGCTATCACATAAGGTTCATATAAGATTAAATTGTATAGCTGGGCTAATTGAAATTATTTGGAAAACACACAGAAAAACATTCTACAAACAAAAGACAAATCTTTAGAAAGAGGATGACTTTTTAGCCAAATAGCTAATCAGTCATTAAACTCCACCAACATATCGCGGTGATTACTGTATGCCCAGATGATTCATACTTATTATACTTGTCTCCAATATGGTAGTGCCTTGGAATGGGAGATAAAATAAAGAAAGAATAAAAATCTAATTTGTGGTAAAAGCAATTTTCCAAACAGCATTTCATGGTAGACTTGTTTGCAAGAGATGAGCATTGTTGTTAAACATAGTAATGCTGGCTTCCCTTACTCAACACTTACTATATTTGACAAGAGTTTGATCTTCTAGACATCTTCCCATGATGAGTAGATTTTAGGAGGTTGATGTTGCAGAAATCCAGACTGATCCATCTAAGCTCCTTTATGTTTCTGGCACAAATTCAATTCTGGGCTTCAGTTTTATTTTTGACACTAATCTTGGAGTTCGTAAAACATGATTTTATGAAATCCCTAAAATATATGTAAAATAATCATCTATAACCTATAAACATACTAAAAATGAGTATTTGCAGAAGCTCAGGTACATAAACAACTCTATGCTTTCTAAGGAAAGGAATAGACAGATACTATTATCCCTTTTCCTGATGTTGAGTTTAGTTTTAAATCTAGCTGGAAATTGGAAATATAGTCACACACACAAATGCTTATAATTAGAAAAAATAAACATCAAGTTTAATATTCTTAATTTAACATTAAAGGTGACGTGTAGCAGAAAAAGCAGAGTTGAGCTCAGAAACCTCTAGACTCAAACCTTGTTTTAATGCCTGTAAACTCTATGACTTAGTTGAGCTCAGAGTGTCGGATTCTCCCGTGAATAAATAGGCCTATTGTGAGGGTAAAACAAGACCATCAATGTGAAGTCTATTGAATAGTTCAGCATACATGAGTGACACTGCCCCACTGTTCTCATTCTTCCCTGGATTCTATATGGCCTCGTTAGTGTTTAACATCCCAACTCACAGCCCCATTTGCACCCAAATAAAGGACAGATACAGGAATTAGACAGTTGAAAGGATTTATTACCAATGAAGGCTAGGTGGCAAGATTTGGTTAACATATAACCATAAGGGCTTGCTGGCACTACCTGCCTGATGCCCCTCCCCTGAGTTAAATTCAGATCTTCAAATTGCCCAATAGGCAAACTCAGTGGGAAGGTTTAGATCTGCAGAGTAGACACCCATATGAAGGAAGAATGTCTCCCCCTATCTCAGAAGGAACTAGAGGAAGAGTCTAAGCTCTTCAATGCTTAAAGTTTTATAGAGTGATTCTCACCAATTAAGAAAAGAGGACCCAAACCTGTTATCAGCCAACCAATTAAGATTAACTCAGTTCTTCTTTGCAGGGAAGAATGAGTAAGGAGTGGAAAGAGGCTTAGAGGATCACTCTGATAGGTGGCCATCTGTCTAGGCAATGAATGAAACAAAAACTGAATCATTCTTTCCATTAAGCAGGCCCCAGTTTCTTCAATACATGCCGTTTATTCTCCTTCTTCTATTCTCTACTCATTTTTATACCAACCTGAATTCTCTCCTACTTCCTACTTTTCTATTCATTCTGCACTCTGTATCTAATTACAGCCCCCTCTCATTCATTCCCATGGTTCCGATTCAAATTGTATCTTTCTACCTATTTTTTGTTTGTTTATTAGTAAAAAGTATTTATAATCCTTATTACATCACAACTACTCATGCGTAACAACAGTGATCAAAAGAGCTTACATTTACTGATGATTCACCCTGCGCCAGGGACTATACTATACTTTACATGCACTAATTCATTTATTCTCCACAATGCCTTGTGATTTAGGGGTGTACTTTTGGGTTCATGTTGAGGTAATCAAGGCTTATAAATGTGAACTAAGCCCAGGGTCCTGAAGGTCTGACCCTGACTGGACAGTGCAAACTTGCAGTCAAAGGCTTGGAGGATTGCCTTCTGATCCACTCCCTCCTTGTGAGGATGGGGTACACTGTTGTTCAGATGAACATGTCAGGACTGCAGTTAAACAGCTTGTGTTAAGCAAGAACATGTGACAGAAGTAACACAACTGGCAAAACAGTCTATAAATTTTTAAAATTCATTTCACAAATAAGTTGCACCACTAGAACTGTGTCACATTTGCCACCAGAACTACGTAATGAGTGCCTTAAAGAACTTCCTCCCTCTCCACTGGTGGGTAATTAATTCTGTTAATTTCGTAGACCTAAATCACTGTCTCTGTTTTGTTTAGTATTGCTTGTTTTAAGAATTAGTCTTACATTCAGAATCATAATTAGTAAGTCAAGTGTTTATCAAAATATCAATATTGGTTACTCAAGGTTTTCTTAAATTATTTTATTTCTGCCAGGAATAATAAGCAAATTGAATCTGTCGTGATCATAATCTACCTGTATGGTGCCAAACCTGATCTAGTTACAGTCAAAGCAAGAAAAAAATAATGCAATAATTTGAATCACTGTTAAACAGTTCACACGTGTTTGTTGTCTATCCATTGCCCTAGAATTTTTGAGAATAAAGAGAGATAGAGAAAAGCAGTATATGCTAATCATGCTATGTGTCTTTCCACATACTTCATTGCCCAAGAGGGGAGACTAACTAAGGCATCTTTAATGACAGATTCTGGGCAGCTGCAAGATGTTTTTTCTATACACTAATTTATGCAGCTAAGAGATAAGTAAATTAATCTCCATTATCAATCTACCAGATAGCAAGAGTCAAACCCGAAACACCACTCCGTTGATGCAGGAAGGAAATCATCCTTATCACAGATTGCATGCTTTTTTGTTTTTTGTTTTTTAATGGATCCAGGTGCACCCATGACAGATTTTGGCAATGAGAATTATTTCCAACCCCAGAAAACCTGCCAGTTTCTGCTGCTTACTTCTGTTCATGCCTCTTGATGAGGGGCAATTGCTATGAGACAAATTACATTGTCTGTAATCTGGTCTCCTTCCCCATAGCCATGATTCATTCTGACAAGGAAAGTTTAAAAGCAACAAGTAAAATATGATAAACAATATCCATCATTGCATAGGAGAGCCTGGCTAAAAGCTTTCTGTCATTATCAATAATACTGTTTAGTTTTCAGCCTCCCCTTGTATTGCATTAGTGGCAAATGTGAATTTCTGTGAGCAGCAAAGGTCCAGTTTGGGCTACCTGTATGATTCTCGTTTCAAGTGAAACTGTGCCCAGTACCCTTCCAATGGTCCTTAATGCAGCCAACGAGACCCAATAAAGGTTAGATATGGCATAAAACTGATGGATGCAACCCAGAGTTCTCTCCTCAACTCTCACTTATTTCTGACTTGATTTACCTAATCAGCTCCTCGTTCTTGTTTCTGAGAAGCTGACCTGAGTTTTCCTTGCATACCCTTGTGTGTGTGGTATTTCCTGGATTTTTCTAACATTGGCTTTTACCTTCAAATAATGCTCTGTCCTGCTCTTTTAACTCTTGGGGTCCCAGATACCACAGAATGCAATGTTCCACCCAAACCTACAGAAACTCACCTCTGACCCCAGAAATGCAATAAGATTACATCAGTTATAGCCACCCTTTAAAAGAATTTTGCAGTGCATGAGGTTTACATGTGCAATACAGACCTTAAAAGTTCTTGGTTGAAGCATTCACAAAACTTGTATATATTAAGAAATATTATTGTCAACCCACTATGCTCTTGTCCATTTTTAATTTCTTCATTGAGCAGAATTTCACATCTCATCCCCAATGAACATTTCTATTTTTTATGGTTGAGTTTCGCTACATTTTTTTTTTCTACACACAAGTTACTTTTCTTGCAAAGTAATTACCACATCATTTACTTGGTTCTTAGAATTAAAAAGTGAGGAAGTCACATCCAGAGAACTCAGCCCTGGAGTCCAAACTGGAATCCATTCGGCAATAATTATCAGAGATCATGATCATCTCAATAGCAATTCTTCATAGTTGAAAGAGCAGATTAATAAAAAGAGAATATTAGGAGGACTTTTTTCATAGTTTCTTATTTTGTTTATGAGGCCATTGAGGCTTAAGAATGGTGAAAGACTTATCTAACCTCCCAATATCACACAGCATATAAGGGCCAAATCTAAGTATTGAATTACTAAGTTCTGATTCCAGTGTAGGTCTTCTTATGATGTCATAAAACAAATCAATATTTCAAAAAAATGGTTATTTTTAATACCTCACCCACTTCTTATAAAACAGACAATACCTGTCCTGCCCACTTCACTGATTCACTGTGAAACTATAAGATAAAATAATATATATGATAGTACTTTGTAAATGGTGTATCCTTATAGACATACATGATATTTTTATTATTAATGTGGTAGTTGTAGGAGTAGTCATAGTAGTAGCTGTTCTTGTTTTAGTAATATTAAAATCACCCCAGATTTTCAATATGACTTCATTATGTAAACCTTCATTGTTTATAAAATACTTCTATATTTTACCACTACAAAAAAATGGAAAAGTATGATCATTTTTATTTCATTAAAACCTGCTTGAAACCAATGTTTTTACATTAATCTATAGAAGCGCAATTTCTCTTCTTCCTGACAGAATCAATTGATAGATGCCCCAACTTTTCAATGCCTCCTGCATTTCTTGGTAATAGCTCCCTGGTCTCTCTCTACCATTTAGTTTTTGCTAACTAGCAAACCACCCCAAAACTCAGTGACTAAAACAGCAGAGAAGTGTTATTTACCACACTTCCATGGTCAGTTGGGAAGTCATTCTTATCTTTATCTCTGCAAGCAGCTGAAGATTGGGCTGGACTGAGTGGTTCAGCCTGGCCCTGCTCACATGGTTGGGGTTTGTAGGCTGCTTGGTCTGGACAATATCAACAGGAACAACCCAGTCGCCATGGCCTCTCATCTTCATCTTCATGAACTAGCCTGAGCTTCCTTCCAAGTTGCTCTCAGGGATTCAAATGCAGCAAAAGGAGGCAGGACCCAATAGCAGATACTTTTCAAGTGTCTATATCACTTTTAAGTGCTCTATTGGCCAAAGTGAATCATAGATCAAGCCCAGATTCAAGGGTGAAGGCATTCGTGTTGTCATGTTTGCAAACAGTCTACCACATTTGTTCATGTCTCTGATACCCAGAGGACTGCTTGAAAGCAGCTGTTGAGTATTTTTCTCGTGATCATTCCTATACAGGGCAATGTGGGGCATGCAAGGAAACATCACATCTGGAGCCTGATCTTGTAAAGACAAAGTATGCATAAAACAATTAGAGATTGAAGCAAAAGAAAATGGAATAAAATGATGGCTACTCTGGAACAGGTCAATATTCAATAAAAGAATCCAGAAAGTTAAACTCAATGGGGGAACACAGGGATGACTTTTTGTTAAATATTTATGTTTTATTAGACTTTCCCTACGTTTTTGTATGGCTTTAGCCTGACTGGTTTATTTGTGAAAGAAAACGGTGTGTGTCTGCATGTGCATGGATATCTGTGTGTGTATAGATGTTTCCTTCAGACACTGTCACTCTCCTCTTCAAAATGTCTACACTGCACTTAGTGTCAAGCCACTTCCATGTGCATAATCTCCCTTGATCCTTACAGTAGGCATGAGGAAAGCATAGTTTCCATTATGCAATGGAGAAATGGGCAGAGAGGAGACCCAGGGAGCCAGCTGGGAGGCTTGCTAAAGAGTCTGAAAGGAAGGGGAATTTCACTCTTGTGAGGTAAGGACTGCAGGCATAATTTCAGGAGAGGAAGTCAACATAAAGTAAAGATCACGGTGATTAGTAGTGCATTTACTCAGCAAATAGGTATTGAGTGTCTACTGCCATCTCTAACAACATAGAACTTACATTCTAGGTAGAAAGGAGACAATAAGAAACTAAAAAAAAAAAGATATTTCTGGAAAAGAATAAGTACTATCAAGAAAAATCATGATGATATGATTAGATAAAGAATTACAAAGCAAAGGTGTATGTCCCAAAGTAGATGGCGGGTACAGTGATTTGCAAACACAACACATTCAAAAAAGCCAGCTTTGCAGCTACTCACTGTGTGACTTGAGTAAATATACTTAACTTTGACTTTGTTTCCTCATCTATAAAACAGAGGAATTTGTAACCAACCTAGTTTCTTCCCAGAACTTTTTAGGGATCAAAGAGATAATGCATTTAAATGCAATTCACAGGGGTTATGTCAGAACCTAGTATCATTACTATTGGTGGTATCAGTGTGTGTGTGTGTGTGTGTGTGTGTGTGTGTGTGTGTGTGTGTGTGTGTGTTGTTCTTTTTTGTAGCAATCACAGTGGAAGCAAAGTTAACAAAGGTCCAACTAAAAATAAGTTAAGACCAAAACTCTGGAGGGAAAGCAATCTGGCAAAGTGTAGCTCTCAACAACAGTTAAGCTGAATTCAGGGCATTGAGAATATGGAGCAAGATTATTCACAGTTGACTTAAGTTAAAAAATAGGTGGCATCCTTCTCCAACCCTGCCTGGCCTTCCAGCCTTTCTGAAAACCTGGGAGTTTGTGTTCCACAGAATGATACATGTTTTTGCCATTTATGCCATGATTCATTTTTTTGGTCTCTGGTGTCCTAATACTGCCGGTCAGAAGGATTAGAACTTCAGGTTAATTTGGTGTCAACGTGTCCTGCATAGATATTGTTACATACATAACAGCCAAAAATAGCCTTTGAAGGGATGAGGTACAAAAAATATCTAAGATAGGAGATTATATCTTTCTTTTACTCTTGGTATCCCATTGATGTGGAAGCCGCAGGAATTTCTCCTGACTTGACAGAAAAGTAGGTTAGCCACTGACTCTTTTACCTGTAAGTCTTAGACTTCGGTGAATTTCTTTTTTTAAAAAATGGCAATGTGAACTGTGCTCAGTGTTCATAACAGCAAACATTTACTGTGCATGTAACCTATTATGTGTCATGCACACCTTTTTTTAAAAATAATTGTTATTGTGTATATTGAAGGAATGCAATGTGATGTTATAAGATAGATATGTACAGTAAAATTGTCACTATAAAGGATCAAATAACATAACTAAGGTCTCACCTAGTTATCTATGTTCCCCTCTGTGGCAAGAGCAGCTATAATCTTTAACCTTTCTGAGACTGACCATTCCCAGAAGGAAAGCATGGAGGGAAACACTAGCACTCTCCAATTGAATGGAATATATGAAATAGCCCATGAACAGTGCCGGCACCAGGTAAGCACAGTGGGGTTTGTCATTATGGTTTTGGTCATCGTTTTTGAGGCAGTCACCAGTGTTTCACACTCTCTGGAGGATCATGAGAGAGGCTCTTGCACTACTGAAGGTAGCACAGCCCCTTTCCAGCACCACACTTCCTGCCTCATGGGATTGGCCATATTTGGGAGTAATACTATACTAATGCCTCAAATGCTTCTTACCTGTTCCTGGGTACTCGCTCCCCTGCCCACAGAGTGTCTCATTCCATGTTAACTTTCAGGCATAGGAATCGAGCCACATGTTTCTGATACTGATAATAGTATAAGTGCCAAAAGAGTATCAGAGAAGTCAAATGCTGGGACTTATGTTTACATAACTTTAGGCCATTACGATGATCCCAAGAAAATTTCAATTACACAAAGTTTATGTTCTAGAGGCCTTGCGGCTATTAGAATACAGTTTATACCTAAAGCAAATATAAAACACAGAACTCAGTGACTTGTTAACATGTATGCTCTGAACTAAATCATTCCTTCACAAAGCACTTGTGCAATGAAGCAAAAGCCCCTTAAAGACATAGGATCAGGGAGATGGAATCATCTCTCAGCCGTCTGGGGCACTGGCATCCCACTGCTAGGATGGTTGGGACTGTAATTCTTAGACCACCTACTGCTAGCTTATTACACTCTATTTTAAGTTTGGTTATTATTTTACTGTAACTCAGTTTCTTTCAACCCAACATGTGGACGAGTTGCATGATCACTGTCAATGATATCAAGACCTACTAGATTTGACAAGAAGCAGAGAGAATGGCCTAAACCCAGTAGTTTTACAGTGCTGTGAACTACAAGAGGGCTCTTAGCACTCTGCGGTTGAAATGCGGGACGTGTGTGTGAAACACACAATAAGTGTGTTTAGTTATCGTCAGTGAGTCAGGAAAGGGCCCTTTGAGGAGACGACACTGAGTCAGGCATTGGAAGAGGCATGTAACATTTGCAGATTTCAGGAAAGCAGAAAAGACAGGCAATTTTCACAGTGGGAACAGCAAAACACAGAACCATGGGTGTGGAAGTTTACACTTATTTAGGAGAGAATAGTTTTCTGTGCCTGCAGCAGGCGTTTTTTGGAAGCTGGTAAGGGAAGGAGCTGTAAGATACAGGAAGGGAAGGTAGAACCTGTGCTGTAGATCAGAGTGAAAGACCTCAAGGCACGGTCAGGTTTGAATTCTAGCATGTAAGTGACAGCGAATGGGATGTTAGAGGATTCTTCACAATATCCACTTCATTCTGACGTAAATTCTTATGAGAAAGGGTTGCTCTGATTTGTAGAATCTGCTCACGTATGCTGATCTAGATTGATCTACACGTTTCTGGGAATGTATTGAACAGCGTCCAGATAGTGGGTCTAATTAGGGCTGAGATCCATTGGTGAAAAAAATCCCTCAATAAATTATCATCCTTTCTAATACCATCTTGAGTTTATATAGCATTTGTTTCTCCCAAGTTGTTCAGAACACTTCACATATACCATTGCATTTTTCCTAATGTTTCCAAGACATAATTAGGTGCATGTATCACTGCGCTTATTTTATAAATATTGACATCTGACATATTGATTACAGAATCTGCTTCAGATAACATGGCACCACAACTGTTATCAAATGACACATTATTATCAGTCATTTTGCATACAAGCAACCATGTAAATAGAAACATTATAAGCAGTTCTCTGTAATTGATTTCATACATTGAATATTTTCTCAACTCTATAGTTTTAAAATAAATTACAACACAATATACAAATTTTCAGCACTACAGAAAAAGTATAAAAGAGAAAAAGAAATATTACACGTCTCATTGTTAATATTATGAGATCATTCTTTTGTTTTTTGTTTTGTTTTGTTTTGTTTTGTTTTTTGAGACATAGCCTTGCTCTGTTTCCCAGGCTGGAGTGCAATGGCACGATCTTGGCTCACTGCAACCTCTGCCTCCTGGGTTCAAGCAATTCTCCCACCTCAGCTGCCTGAGTAGCTGGGATTACAGGCAACCACCATCATGCCTAGCTAATTTTTGTATTTTTGTAGATACAGGGTTTCACCATGTTGGCCAGTGAACTCCTGACTTTAGGTGATCCCCCTTGGCCTCCCAAAGTGCTGGGATTACAGGTATGAGCCACCGCACCCGGCCGAGACCAGTCTTTAAACACTGTTCCTTGCAGTGGTAACAGAGTCGTATTACTTCAGGGCCCAATAAGGTGAAGTAAATATGGAAGTAGCTGGGTGCAAGTCAAGCAGCGACAAAGTGGCTGTGAAGAAGCAGAAATGGTAGACCTTGACTAAATGCATTGGGATTTAAGTTAGAAAAACATCAGTCCCAGCTATTCTGGAGGCTGAGACAGGAGAATCGTTTGAACCTGGAAGGCGAGGTTGCAGTGAGCCAAGATCATGTCACTGCACTCCAGCCTGGGCAAAAGAGCAAGACTCTGTCTCAAAAAACAAAGCAAAACATCCAGAGCATTGTGTGGGACAAACAATTACCATCTGTAGATAAATTTGGTCCAGTAGGTGAGTTTACAAGTCTTGCCCATGCCTGTTCGTTCATCAAGCTATGAGATTAGATAAGCAAACAGACAGTAGATAAACTGACATACAGAATAAAACAATTTTATGAAAATGGGATCATGCTGTATTATTTTAATGAAAATTACTGAAATTAACTTCCAATGTAAGAGAAATTTTTTAAAAAAACTAAAAACACTCTGACTTTTACATTTTCTAAACATTTGTTTTCCCCCAAAAGACTTTACATTTAATAAATTTGATTAATTAAAACAATCAAAGGAAAAAAACATATTAAGATGGCAGATGGGAGTCGGGACTAGCTTGCAGCTCTTACTGGGATGGACAGAGCAGCATGTGGAGACCCACCATGAACTTTTGCTGCAAGAACTACTGCAGGAATATACTAGGAAAGTTGAGAGAATCCACATACCCTTTGAGGGAACTGGATCGCTGCTGCAGGCTCCCTGAGACACTGAAAAACTGCAAGTCTGCTTGCTTTCTCAATGCAGTGGCTCATAGTCTGGGGCAAGTTCTCAGCCCTGGCCACCAGCTTCCTGCAAATACACTCAATGCTGTTGGGGTGGCACAGTGGGAGTGAGACTGACCTTTAAGAATGCAGGCTGCATGGGAGTGGGGTGAGGCCTGTGACTGCTGGCTTTCCTCTACTTCCCTGGCAACATTTATGACTCAGCAGAGGCAGCCATAATCCCCCGGGAACATAATTCCACTGGACTGGGAACGACATCGCCATCCCCCCACAGCAGCCACAGCAAGCCCCACACAAGGAGAGACTGAGCTCAGACACCCTATTTCTGCCCCCACCTGGTGGTCTTTCTCTGCCTGCCCTGGTAGCCAAAGACAAAGATCATAATCTCCTGGGATCTCTACGGCCCTGCCCACTCCTGGGAAACCTGAATACTTGCCCTAGGGCAAGTCTGCATCTTCCCTATAGGACAGCACCTGATGTACTCTTGAAAGCGCCACCTCCTGGCTGGAGGCCAACCAACACAAAGGCAGTGTACTAAACAAACAAATACATAACCAATAACCCTCAGAGAGTCCACTTCACTCCCCTGCTACCTCCACCAGAGCAGGTGCTGATATCCACGGCTACAAGACCTGAAGATGGATCACATCACAGGACACTTTGCAGACACTCCACAGTACAAGCCTGGATCCCAGTAGCTCAGCTGGGTGGCTAGACCCAGAGGAGCGAAAGCAATCACTACAGTTTGGCTCTCAGGAAGCCCCATTCCTAAGGGAAAGGGGAGAACACCACACCAAGGGAGCACCCTGTGGGACAAAAGAACCTGAGCAGCAGCCCTTGAGTCCCAGATCTTTCCTCTGACATACTCTACCCAAATGAGAAAGAACCAGAAAAACAATTCTGGTAATACGATAAAACAAGGTCCTTTAACACCACCAAAATATCATACCAGCTCACTAACAATAGATCCAAATGCAGAAAAAATCTCTGAATTGCCAGAAAAAGAATTCAGAAGGTTGATTATTAAGCTAATCAAGGTGGAACCAGAGAAAGAGGAAGTCCAACTTAAAAAAATAAAAAAAAAAAAATGATACAGGATATGAAAGAAAAATTCTTCAGTGGAATAGATAGCATAAATAAAAAGTAATCACATGTTAGATACTAGTTCTAAATTTCGTTTCAAAAAATCAATACGTCAGTATGTTCAATTATTTGCCTTCTACTTTTAAACTGAACTTCCTCATAAAGCAAACTTTTTTGATTACCTGCTGCACACTGACTCATTCTGATTACCTACTCCACCCTAACTCATTCCTATTACCCACTCCACCAAGACTCCTTCCAATTATCTGCTCTGTCATAACCATTTTTCCCGCCAAACCACTCACCCCATCACTCTCTTTAAATTAGCCAAACAAAATTAGTTTAGCCTGTGCAGTCTAACCCTAGCCAATAAAAACACAACAGAGCAACAGAGGCCACGTTCATCAGGGATAAGAACCCCTTCCCCTCCCTTGTCCAAGTGTGTGCTCACCATTGCTCTATCTATAAGGGCACACTGTTCTGTAAAATTACCTTGCCTTGCTAAAAATTAAAATATATATATATTCTAGTACTATTTCTTTTGTGGCACCAAAATTTATTTATAACATCACAACTTCTAGAAATCAAGGATACACTTAAGAGAAATGCAAAACACACTGGAAAGTGTCAGCAATAGAATCAAACAAGCAGAAGAAACAACTTCAGAGCTGGATGACAAAGCTTTTGAATTAACCCAATCCATCAAAGATATAATAAAATAATTTAAGAAATGAACAAAGCCTCCAAGAAGTTTGGGACTATGTTAAATATCCAAATCTAAGAATAATTGGCGTTCCTGAGGGAGAAGAGAAATCGAAAAGTTTGCAAAACATATTTGAGGGAATAATCAAGGAAAACTTTCCTGGCCTTGCTAGAGATCTAGACATGCAAATACAAGAAGCTCAAAGAACATATGGGGAATTCATCACAAAAAGTCATCATCTAGGCACATAGTCATCAGGTTAGCTAACGTCAAGATGAAGGAAAGAATCTTAAGAGCTGTGAGGCAAAAGCATCAGGTATAAAGGAAAACCTATCAGATTAACAGCAGATTTCTCAGCAGAAACCCTACAAGCTAGAAGGGTTAGGGGTCTTAGTTTTAGCCTCCTTAAACAAAACAATTATCATCAACCAAGAATTTTGTATCCAGTAAAACTAGCTTCACAAATGAAAAAAAGATACAGTCTTTTCCAGATTAACAAAAATGGTGAGAGAATTCACCACTACCAAACCAGCACTACAAGAACTGCTAAAAGGGGCTCTAAATCTTGAAACAAATCCTCGAAATACACCAAAATAAACCTCCTTAAAACATAAATCTCACAGGACATATATAACAATAACACAATAAAAAAAATCAAGGTATTTAGGCAACAAATAGGATGATGAATAGAATAGTACCTCACATCTCAATACTAACATTGTATGTAAATGCCCTAAGTGCTCCATTCAAAAGATACAGAATGGCAGAAGGGATAAGAAATTACTAACCAAGTTTCTGCTGTTTTGGGGAGACTAACACATAAGGATTCACATACACTTAAGATAAAGGAGTGGAAAAAGATATTCCATGCAAATGGACACCAAAATTAAGCAGGAATAGCTAGTCTTGCATCAGACAAAGCAAACTTTAAAGTAACAGCAGTTTAAAAAGACAAACAGCAACATTATATAATGAAAAAAGGACTATTCCAACATGACAATATCACAATTCTAAATATATATGCACCTAACACTGGAGATCCCAAATTTATAAAACAACTACTACTTTCTTAGTTCTATAAGAAATGAGATAGACAGTAACACAGTAATAGTGGGGGACTGCCATTGACAGTACCTGACAGGTCATAAAGACAGAAAGTCAACAAAGAAACAGTGGGCTTAAACTATACCCTATAACAAATGGACTTAACAGATATTTATATAACATTCTACCCAACAACTGCAGAATATTCATTGTATTCATCCACATACAGAACATTCTCCAAGATAGACCATATAATAGGCCACAAAACAAGTCTCAGTAAATTTAAGAAAATCAAAATTATAACAACCACTCTCTCAGACCACAGTGGAATAAAATTGTAAATCAACTCCAAAAGGAACCCTCAAAACCATGCAAATACATGGAAATTAAAAAACCTGCTCCTGAATGATCATTGCATCAACAATGAAATCAAGATGGAAATTTAAAAAATTATTTGAACTGAAAAATAACAGCGTTACAACCTATTAAAACCTCCGAGATATGGCAAAAGCTGTGCTAAGAAGAAAGTTAATAGCATTTCTACACCAAAAATTCTGAAAGAGCACAAATAGAATCTAAGGTCACACCTCACGGAACTGGAAAAACAAGACAATCCAAATCCAAACCCAGCAGAAGAAAATAAATAATGAAGATCAGAGCAGAATTACATGAAACAGAAGCAAACAAAAAAAAATACAAAAGATGAATGAAACAAAAAGCTGGTTTTTTGAAACGATGGATATAATTGATAGACCATTAGCAAGATTAACCAAGAAAACAAGAGGGAAGATCCAAATAAGCTCAATTAGAAATGATATGAGAGATATTACAGCTGATATCACAGAAATACAAACAATTCTTCAAGGCTACTATGAACTTTTTTTTTTTTTTAAATGAGACAGAGTCTCGCTCTATCGCCCAGGCTAGAGTGCAGTGGCGCGATCTCGGCTCACTGCAACCACCGCCTCACAGGTTCATGTCATCCTCCTGCCTCAGCTTCCCGAGTAGCTGGGACTACATGTGCCCACCACCATGCCCAGCTAATTTTTTGTATTTTTAGTAGAGATGGGGTTTCACCGTGTTAGCCAGGATGGTCTGCTATGAACACTTTTATGCACATAAACTAGAAAGCCTAGAGGAGATAGATAAATTCCTGGAAACTAGAAAGCCTAGAGGAGATAGATAAATTCCTGGAAATATACAATTCTCCTAGATTAAGCCAGGAAGATATAGATCTCTGAATATACCAATAACAAGCAATGAGATTGAAATGGTAATAAAAAAATTGCCAAAACAAAACAAAGTCCAGGACCAGGCGGATTCATAGCTAAACTCTATTAGACATTCAAAGAAGAATTGGTACCAATCCTATTAACACTATTCCAAAAGATAGAGAAAGAGGGCCTTCTCTCTAAATTATGTCATGAAGTCTGTATTACCCTAATACCAAAACTAGGGAAGGACATAACATAAAAAGAAAAGTGCAGACCAATATCCCTGGTGAACATAGACTGAAAAAATCCTCAACAAAATATTAATATTAGAGAACTGAAATCAACAGAATATCAAAAAGGCAATCAACTGGCCGGGTGTGGTGGCTGACGCCTGTAATCCCAGCACTTTGGGAGGCCGAGGTGGGCAGATCATGAAGTCAGGAGATCAAGACCTTCCTGGCCAACATGGTGAAACCCCGTCTGTACTAAAAATACAATAAAATTGGCTGGGTGTGGTGGCACTCACCTGTAGTCCCAGTTACTCAGGAGGCTGAGGCAGAAGAATCTCTTGAACCCAGGAGGTGGAGGTTGCAGTGAGCTGAGATCGTGTCACTGCACTGCAGCCTGGTGACAGAGCAAGACTCTGTCTCAAAAAAAAAAAAAAGGTACTCAACCATGAACCATGATCACGTGGGTTTCATAGCAGGGATGCAGGAATGGTTTAATATATATAAGTCAATAAATGTGATACACCACATAAACACAGAATTAAAAACAAAAATCACATGAGCATCTCAATAGATGCAGAAAAAGCATTTGACAGAATCCAGCATCGCTTTATGATTAAAACCCTCAGCAAAATTGACATAGAAGGGACATACCTTAAGGTAATAAAACCCATCTACAACAAACCCAGAGCCAACATTATACTGAATGAGGAAAACCTGAAAGTATTCCCTCTGAGAACTGGAACAAGACAAGGATGCTCATTTTCACCACTTCCGTTCAACACAGTACTGGAAGTCCTAGCCAGAAGAATCAAACAAGAGAAAGAAATAAAGGGCATCCGAATCAAACTGTCACTGTCTGCTGATGATATGATCGTCTACCAAGAAAACCCTAAAGACTCATCCAAAAAGCACCTGGAACTGATAAATGAATTCAGCAAAGTTTCAGGACACAAAATTAGTGTACACAAATCAGTAGCTCTGCTATACACCAACAGCAACCAAGTTGAGAATCAAATCAAGAATGCAACCCCTTTTACAATAGCTGCAAAAAAATATAAAATACTTAGGAACATACCTAACCAAGGATGTGAAAGTCCTCTAAAAGGAAAACTGCTAAATACTGCTGAAATAAATCACAGATGACACAAACAAATGGAAACACATCCCATTCTCATGGAGGGGTAGAATCAATATTGTGAAAATGACCACACTGCAAAAAGTAATCTACAAATTCAATGCAATTTCCATCAAAATATCACCATCATTATTCAAAAAAAAACTGGAAAAAAAAATCCTAAAATTCATACAGAATCAAAAAAGAGCCCACAAAGCCAAAGCAAGACTAGGCAAAAAGAACAAATCTGGAGGCATCACACTACCTGACTTCAAACTCTACTATAAGGCCATGGTCACCAAAAAAGCATGGTACTGATACAAATATAGGCACATAGACCCATGGAACAGAATACAGAACCCAGAAATAAAGCCAAGTACTTACAGTCAACTGATCTTTGACAAAGCAAACAAAAACATAAAGTGGGGAAATGACACCCTATTCAACAAATGGTGCTGGGATAATTGGGAAGGCCCATGTAGAAGAATGAACTTGGATCCTCATCTCTCACTTATACAAAAATTAACTCAAGGCGGATCAAGGACTTAAATCTGAGACATAGAACCATAAAGGCTCTAGACGATAACATCAGGAAAACCCTTCTAGACATTGGCTTAGGCAAAAACTTAATGACCAAGAACCCAAAAGCAAATGCAACAAAATCAAAGATAAATAGATGGGACTTAATTAAACTAAAAAGCTTCTTCGCAGCAAAAGAAATAATCAGCAGTGTTAACAGACAACCCACAGAGTGGGAGAAAATCTTCACAATCTACACATCTGACAAAGGAGTAATATTCAGAATCTACAAAGAATTCAAACAAATCAGCAAGGAAAAAGCAAACAATCCATCAAAAAGTGGGCTAAGGACATGAATAGACAATTCTCAAAAGAAGATATACAAATGGCCAGAAAGCATATGGAAAAATGCTCAACATCACTAATTATCAGAGAAATGCAAGTCAAAATCACAATGGGATACCACCTCAGTATTGCAAGAATGGCCATAATCAAAAATGAAAAAAAAAATAGATGTTGGCATGGAAGTAGTGAAAAGGGAACACATATGCATTGTTGGTGGGAATGTTAACTAGAACAACCACTATAGAAAACAGTGTGGAGATTCCTTAAAGAACTGAAAGTAGATCACTGTTTGATCCAGCAATCCCGCTACAGATACTTGGTATCTACCCAGATAAAAAATAAATCATTATATAAAAAAGATACATGTATGTTTATAGCAGCACAATTTGCAATTGCCAAACTATGGAACCAGCTCCAATGCCCACCCATCAGTGAGTTGTTGAAGAGCACGTGGTATATATACACATACAATGGAATAGCATTTAGCCATGAAAAGGAACAAAATAATGGTGTTTGCAGCAACCTGGATGGAATTGGAGACTATTATTCTAAGTGAAGTAACTCAGGAATGGAAAACTAAACATCGTATGTTCTCACTCATATGTGGGAGCTAAGCTATGAGGATGCAAAAGCATAGGAATAATACATTGGATTTTGGGGACTTAAGGGAAAGGGCTGGGGGTGGCAGGAATAAAAGACTACACATTGGATACAGTGTACACTGCTCGGCTGATGGGTGCACCATAGTCTCAGAAATTACCACTAAAGAACTTATTCATGTAACCAAGCACCAACTGTTCCCCAAAAACCTATTGAAATAAAAAAAATTAAAAATTAAAAATACTCTGAATGATAGAGAAATAAAACAAATAAATAAAACAATAAAACAATCAGAAGTTGCCACTATTATATTTCAATTTAAATCTTTGTTTCAATTCTACACGGTATTAGTTTATCATATAATATTGTAAATGAAAGAAATTACCCTCTTGCATTCCTCCCTTCCCACTTCCTGATTCTAAAAATTATATTTAGTTTGTATTTTATTAAATTTACATTTAGTCTTATAGCCAGAATTGTTCACATTTTTAAATATAGCTCACATTTTTAAATTTAATTGATTCATAATCACTGATTTTTTTCCAAAATGTCTTTTTTTCATTTTTTTTTTTGTTGATTCCTTGTTTGGTTGGGTTTCATCTTCATCAAGGCCAAACAGTTCTCGTCCATATGCTGCCATTATACCTGACTGGCATCTTAGGTGCATATGAGAGCACTGGGTCCCTTTCTTGCCCTTGGGATTTCATTAGAAGTGCCCCACTGTCTGCTGCACTAAGAACAACACACGTTCTTTTTACCATTGCATCTCTGCTTATCTTTTTAGGGGTTAGTTATTTATTAAATATATACATATATATGTATATACTTTAAAAGAACATATGGAGTTTTCATTCCTTAGGTATATTCATGTTTGAGGATATCTTCTTGTTTCCTTTTCACAATAAAAAATTTCCAACTGGGCATGAAATTATCTTGGCTCACTTTTTCTTTCCCTAAAAAATTAGTAGAAATAAATCAGTTGGCAGATTTCTGGCAGTGACTGTTGCTGCTGAACAGTATGAGATAAGACTAATTTCACCACTTTTAGGAAGCTTGATTTTTCTGCTTGGTTTACTAAAAAAAATTTATTCTTTCCCTTCCTTCCTTCTTTCCTCCCCTGCAAGCTCCTTTCCTTTCTTTCTTATTTTCTACTTTCTGGACTTGTTCTATTCTGCACAGAATTAGATTTTAGATTAATCATTTTGTTTCATGAAAAACACATGAACCCAAATAGGGACCAGAATCATTTATTTAGCAAATTATTTATTTAGTATATTTTAATATGTATGCACAAACATGCCATAAGAAGTAAAAGCCAGAGCCTTGAACATAACCTACATTTCACCGTCTAGTTTCTCCATCTCATTCCCATGACAACCCCATGGGAGACAACACACATTACCCCCGCCATGTTCATCATTCCTTTGTGTGCTTTCTTATCTAGGTTTATTATGCCAATATTTTTGTATACATTATCTTAGTTGTTTTAAACTTTACAAAAAAAAGTGTTTCTACAATCTTTTTGGATTTACTTTATTTACTTATATTTATATTTCTAAATTTCATCCACATCATTGTTATTTACCATTATTAACCACATCACTGTTATTAAACCATTTTGCTGTAACAGTTATTATAGCTCATTCTTCTATTTTCTTTGAATACACTTCAAGATTGTTGGCAGATTTTTACATTTTACAGAGTCCTGATGTGAAAATTCATGTGCCGATTTTTAAAAAATTATCTAAAAGAATGAGTATATAATTATTTTTCATTGTTTTCTTGGCTTACATTTTCTTGACCACTAAGCACTTTGATATCTTTCTATATGTTTATTTCCTATTTGTGTTTTGTGTTCTGTAAAATACTTGTTTATATCTGCCCATTGTTCTGTTGAATGTTGTGCTTTTCTTATTGCTTTGAAGTAATCTTTCTAAAATTGTTTAATTTTTTATCATCAGTTGCAAATATTAAAAATGTTTTTTTCCACTTTGAAATTTGTCTTTTTACTTTTTAGATCCTGTGGCTCTAGTAAAACTTTTTTGAAGGAATTTGCATCTTGATTATGTTGTTTTATTAGCAGCTGAATTTAGCAAGGTGTAGCTGAAAACAGACAAATTAAAGAAAGAACCAGTTTATAAGCAGAAATAAAAGAGAATATGGAAATCAAGGCCTTGTAGTTTGGAAAATCCAATTATTTCTACCCCCATCCCCCAGTATTGTATTGCTCAAGGTTCTACACAGAAACACAACAAAATCTCCCTTGCTGTACTGTCACTCTCTTTCTTTGTCTCTCTCTCTCTTGCTTTCTATCTACATATATGTATATACATATATAATGTATTTTGTACATTATAAACATATTTGTATACACGTATAATGTATTTTATATATGAAAGATAAACCCTTAAGGAAGATAAAACTCTTAATGAAAATGGCCTTAATGAAGATGAAACCCAAGCTAACAAGGATTCAACAAAAGAAGATATTTTGGGAAAAAATTCAGTGATTATGAATCAATTTAAATATTTATGTATAAGTGTATATATACACACACATACACACACATATTTATATACATATATACACACAAAAATATATCTTAACTTTTCATCTCATATTGAACTCAAAGTTTCATGTAGGTGCAGGATTGCTATAAGAAAGGCATATCTATACATTATAATCTTAGTCAAGAAAAAGAAAAGTCATTGCATGACAACTTAAAGCAAAAGGAAGATGCAGAAATTAATGCCAGCAAAGGATAGTTTGATAAAGTTAGAAAGAGATTTGGCTTAAAAATTTTCATGATAACAAGAGAATCAGCCTCTTCCAACCAAGAGGCAGAAGGCAAGTTCCCAGACTCCACTAAGAAAATCATTGAGGAGAAAGGACATCTGCTTGAACAGGTTTTCAATGTAGGCAAAAGGACTTATTTCAGGGGAAAAAATTAAAAAAAAACAATTATTAATAAGGAAAAGAAATGAGCACCAGGACTTAAGTCAGGAAGTCTACTGCTTTTGAAAATGTCCTTATCTATAACTCCTGATCCTTGAAGGGGAAAGATAAACATCAGGTGCCAGTCCTTTGGTTGTACAACAAGAAGGCTTGGTCAACAAGAAACTTATTTCTAGATCGGTTCTTTCAACAATTTGTCCCTGAAATCAGAAAGTAAATACCTTGCCAGTAAGGTACTTTAAAGATTGTTTGATATGGGACAATGCCCCCAGTTACCCAGAACCCCTTAAGTTCAACCCTGGTGGTGTCAAAGTGGCCTATTTGCCTCTAAACACAATGTCTCTAATTCAACCTTTAGATCAGGGTGTCATAAGGACCTTTAAGGCTCATGAAACACGGTATTCTGTGGAAAGGATTGCCAACGCTATGGAGGAGAACCCCAATAGAAACAACTAGTCATAAAAGTCTGAAAAGATTACACCACTGAAGAGGCCATTTTTGTTACTTAGAAAGCCATGAAAACTATCAAGCCTGAAACAACACATTCCTGCTGGAGAAAAGTGTGTGTGGATGCTGCACATGACTTCACAGGATTTACCACAGAGCCAATCAAGGATATCATGAATGAGATTGTAGATGTGGTGAACAAGGTAAAGGGTGAAGGGTTTCAAGGTATGGATCTTGGAAAAACCCAAGAGCTAAAAGCCACCACAGCAGAGAAACTAACACAAGATGACTTGATGAATATGAGTGCTTCCAAACCAGTGCCAGACAGTGAGGGAGAGGCTGTAGGGGAAGCAGTGCAGAAAATAAATTGACACTGGGCAATATGGCAGAGGGTTCAGACTATTCAAGACAGCTTTTGGCTTTGGCTTCTTTTACAACATGGACCCTTCTATGTTATTGGGAATGAAACTAAAGCAAACAGTGGAAGGATTGGTACCATATAAAAACATTTTGAGAGAAATGAAAAGGTAATAAATTTAGACGGAAATTACGATGCATTTCTGTAAAGTTACATCGAGTGTGCCTGCCTCCCCTGCCCCCCCTTTCACCTCCTCCATCTCTTCCACCTCTGCCACCCCTGAGAGAGCAAGACCAACCTCTTTCTTCTCCTCTTCAGCCTACTCAACATAACGATGATGAGGATGAAGACCTTTATGATGATCTATTTCCACTTACTAAGTAGTAAATACATTTCTCTTCCTAATGATTTTCTTAATACCACATTTTTTCTAGCCTACTTTATGTAAGAATACAGCATATAATATGTATAACACAAAATATTTCTCAGTGGACTATTTATATTATTGGTAAGGCTTCCTATCAACAGTAGCCTAACAGTAGTCAAGGTTTTAGGGACTCAAAAGCTATAAGTGGGTTTTCAACTTTGGGGAAGGTGGGATTGGTGCCCCTAATTTTTGAGTTGTCCAAGGGTCAAATTTAACTCATGTCTTTGTTAAAGATCAGACAAGAGACCAGAGGCAAGAGGATCAGGCATGGGGGCAAGCAAATGGACACATAAGACTGAGCAGGACGTAGAAAGAGTTCTGCATTTTACATCAATACCCACAAGAACAGGCACTGAAGAACGAAGTCAACACAATGCCGCATGCAGTAGATACCAGCTAGCCTTCATCATCTTGTACCTAAAAACCAGCACAAGAGCAGTGACTGTGACTGGGGTAGCAACCTGAGGCCACAAAAGAGCTAGACAGCACAGAGTCCACAGTGGAGACTGGGAACGGGCCAGCAGGGAGCCTGGGTCCCTGAGTGCCTGCACTGACCACACCGAACTAAGATGCTATAATGGGAGCTAGGGATGCATGACAATTTGTTAAATCACTGAGATTGAGAGGTCAGTTTGTCATAGCACCCATTGTTACTTACCTGAAAAACAAGGAATATTGCTGAACTCTTCTGCACGTGACTTGATACAGCACAAATATTCGTGACTCCTCGTCAGCAGAAAAATGTCACAACTCTGGAGCCTTTGCTCTGGACCAAGAACTTGACATATTCCAGTGCGACACATGATTGCTTTTGTGTTACTTCTTTCACAAGATATTAATTAGCCCCTGAGGAAGAAGCCATAAAGTGGCTTATAGCTTAATGTAGTAGCACTTTGACTCTTCATGTTGACCAGAGCACTGATTAATTTTTTAATTAGTCTTACGACTTCCTTATTGAAATATATGTTACCGAATAGTAAGTAGTGACTACCAGCAAGCTTCTGTTTCTTAGAGGGAGGGTTACCAGGCCTACAAGTTAAGACAAAGCTGCTGAGCTTGCCACACAAAGCCTTCAGGACTGGCTTCACTGAATCACTCCAGCCTCATCTCTGGATAGACTGCTTTCATTTCACTCTTAGACAATGATAGCATGGGAAGTTTTTAAACCGTATAACCTTGCTTTTGCATTACCATGTCACTGCCTAGTTGGCGTCTTCTGCCTGGAATCACTTTCTTCCCACTGGGAGCCCCTTGAAGATTGCCTTTTTGTTGCCCCAAACAGCTCAGGATTCATCTCTGCCGTGAGTCCTCTGAAGTTTATGTATAGTTTGTGTTGCATTAAACCCACTGAAATGTAATTAAGTTGTGTACAAGTCTATTTGCCCAGAGTCAGGATGGAGGAGTTTGATAACTCTGCCTTTTTACAGCCCTCTGTTCCCAGCATGCAGCTCTGACCTCAGGAAAAGCAGGAGTACATAGGGGACAAAGGCAGTTGGGGAACTGGGACTTTGGACTGTGAGGTTAATTTGAGTTATCCTACAACACCTTGAAAGTCTTTGTGGACATGGCTATCATGGAGGGGGTTGACGATATGAAAGTAGGAGGAACAAATGGAGTTTTCTGAAGAAAAGCTGTGAGCATAATTTTGTGACATGAACTTTAAAGATGGAATTGAGAGAAGGAGGCGAGTCCCAATGTACACTTTTTAAACCCTGCTTTAGTTCTTTAGTGACTTATCGGCAGGAGTATTAACTTTTGCATTTCTATAAAAAATTAGCAGATATCTGGGGTTTGGAATTAATGAAATCCAGGTGAGAAGCAGATGTGAATTTGTCCTCGTCACTTACTGTGTGATGGTCAATACAGATGTTCAAATGGCCGCTCTGTGAGCCTCAGTTGCCTCTGCCAAATGAGGAAATACTGTTGTCAATCTCACAGCGCTCTTCTGCAAATAATGAGTGTTAAGAAGTGATAGATGTAAACACTGGCCTGTAATAGCTGTGTAATACAATAAGAGCTCAATGTTGTGGATAAGTTTTTCAAAACTGCGACTTGAAGCCAAATGACATATAAGCAAGCCAACCTATCTATTAGCTAATTGATAGAAATAAGAGTTAGGTTCCTAAGGACTATTTCTGGTCACAAAAACATCACCAAACATCTAAAGAAAGACTTGAAACACTTCTAATATTAAACAAATAAATGTGAGCTATAGACACATTTAAGAAAGATTCATATAAATGGATGATTATGTATCTGCTTATTCTCGTTCAAGGTCATAGGTGGCTGGAGCCTGTCCCATTGGCTCAGAGCAAAGGGCAAGAATCAGCTCTGGACAGGTCATAGCTCCATTGCAGGGACAATCACATCCAACCACACTCACTCACACTGGGACCATTGAGACACACCAGTTAACCAAAGGTACACATCTTTGAGATGAGGGGGGAAACCAAAGGACATTGAAAGAACCCATGCAGACATGGAGAGAATGTGCCTACTCCACACAGAAAAATGCCCCCCAAAAGAATCGAATTTTTTCTATCAATGTTATAACAAAATGATGCTGAACAAAATGACTCTGTGTGAGGACCTGCTGCACATAACAATTATTGTGATTGCCATTATTTTGTATAAGTAATATTTATGAAATATCTTACAGCCATACCTTCTACCTCTGTGTTATGGTTCTCTTGGATGCATATTAGAGTCATATTTACTGTTAACATTTTAAATAGTGTGAGATAACTCTATACAATTCATGGCATAGTGTCAGAAAAAAAGCATTGATTAAAGAAAGAGCTAAATCCCAATGCCAAACTTCCCAGTGATCATTTACATGACTTTGAAAATGTAATTTCTCATGTCCAAGGCTGGGTCTTTGCAGCAGAATTCTCTTCGTAAGACTGAATGCCTGTGCCAGTGCTGGAAAGGGCAGGAATGTCCTCCGTATGCATGTCCTGGCTCCTCTCTCTCTCCTTCTTTTTATAAAGACACCACTGTTACTGGCACTCTTCTGTTTATAAACTTTCTTGGTTTTGTGTCCCCCGCAGAGTCTTTGATATGGTTTGGCTCTGTGTCTGCACCCAAATCTCATCTCAAATTATAATCCTCACATTTTGAGGGAGGGAGCTGGTGGGGGTGATTGGATCATAAGGGTGGTGTCTCCCATGTAGTTCTCATGAGAGTGAGGGGGTTCTCACAAGTGCTAATGGTTTAAAAGTGTTTGCCACTTTCCCCCTCTCTCTGTCTCTCTCCTGCCACCATGTGAAGGAGGTCCTTGTTTCCCCTTCATCTTCCACTATGATCATAAGTTTCCTGAGGCCTTCCTAGCCATGGGGAACAGTAAGTCAATTAACCTTTTTTCTTCAGAAATTACCCAGTCTCAGGTAGTTCTTTATAGCAGTGTGAAAATGAACTAATGCAGTGATATGCATGCAGTTGTCAGCCCAGCTGAGCTTCCCAATTGTTTCCAAGATGTCCCTTCCCTCTCCAACCCTCTCTATATAAACCCACCTTACTAATATCCCAACACACAACCTCCCCAGCCTAGCTTTGCTGCCTGTACTGAGACTATATTATTTACTCATTCACAAATCTTCAAACTTTAACCCTGAGCTTTCTTCGTAGCACAACTTAATAGCTACCTTTCTATTCTGCTTTTGCAGATCCCCTAATGCCCTTTACATTGTTTGACTGTAATTTCTCTTCTGAATGGAGCAATGCACTTAACGAACCTCAATGTTCTGTATTTTATATTAATTAAAGAACACATCTTGTCTCTCAGATATTAAGAAGTGGGGAATATAGATTTCACTCTCGTTCATTTCTACATCAGACCTTGTATGCAGTAGACACACAGTGAATGTTGCTGAATGAGAAATGAGAGATAGAAATGGAAGCCAAGGGTTTTGCTTTCTTTTGGTTTCAGTTTAATTTTACTTGCCCAGCTGGTTAGAAGACATTTTAAATGTGAACTTCACCTGTAAGGAAACACAGTTCAGCACAGAGAAATTCTTATTCACCTTAGTCCTCCACAGAGCTTTCCCCCAAGCTGTGATTCCTCTGCAGGCAATTTCGTGTCAATACATATGCAGTAGGGTTAGTACAACCCAGGGGAGAATGAGATTTCATCCCCCCAGGGAAGCAGAGCAGGACGCTGAACTATGTAAACATCCCACCCCTCATTTATTATTATTATTATTATTTGAAGAAATTTCACCAAGCTATTTCAGATCATCCAGATTATTTCTTTGAAAATTTTTGTATTTTAGCTCTGCTGTTTTCTACTTTATGTCATTTACTTTTATTATTTTATCCACATTTTATACATTGGAGATCAGATTGTAGCAATAATAAGGAAATCTATTTATTTGGACCTGGAGGCAAAATTCTGAATATATATTCTTCTCTAGTAGACCTCAACCATATAGTCTTTTCCTAGAAATGGTTTTATTAGATTTCTTGGAAGAAAGCAGAAAAGATTTGCTGAATTACATCTCTAAGTCATGATCAGACAGAGAGCGGTCACAACGCTTTCAGATGATGCATGCGCTCAGAGGACCCATTTACTATCTTTCCTGAGGCCAACAGATATATTCTGTGTTTTTAACTGATATCTGAAATAACACATTTTTCTTTTCTTTTCTTTTGAGATGGAGTTTTGCTCTTGTCACCCAGTCTGGAGTGCAGTGGTGTGATCTGGGCTCACTGCAACCTCCACCTTCCGGGTTCCAGTGATTATCCTGCCTCAGCCTCCAGAGTAGCTGAGACTACAGGTGTGGGCCACCACGACTGGCTTATTTTTGTATTTTTAGTAGAGATGATGTTTCACCATGTTGGCCAAGATGTTCTCAACCTCCTGACCTTGTGATCTACCCTCCTTGGCTTCCCAGGGTTTTGGGATTACAGGCGTTAGCCACTGCATCAGCTGACACGTTTCTTATTCAAATAGAAAACCTTAGAATATTTTAGCCACTTATTTTTATCTGTAAAATAATAACACATATTAAGAGTGCATGAGTACACACAGATTTCACTCATGTATGTGAATGCATTGGGTTCCCATGACAGCCTCTGGAAGGAGGGTCTCTGCTGTGTTATTTTCCAAGATTTACAAAGGTTCAGGAATGTTAGGTGACTTTTTCCAAATTCTAGTGACTTATGAATGCGCTACAAGTAGACCCTGATTTTATGAATCTTAATCTATGGTTCTTTCTTTGTGCCACCCAGTCTAAAAGCAGCCACATTAAGAATCAGAAAAAAATATAGACTGATTTATACCCCATTGTTCCAGGTCTCTCTCTAAGAATTTGATCCAACAGGTAACAGCAAAAAAAAGTAAACTTTTGTTTATGAATTGTCAATTATGCAGGAGTGGCCTTTGTCTTCTTTAAACATAGTCTGTCTATAGTGTGTTATTATAAATCTGCTAGTATTACCTAAATTTCAAGACATTTTATTGTTCTCCAGTACCAACATATTAAAAATCCAAACTTCTCACAATCTCTGTAGTAACTGCCTCCAATTTTCCTTGGATTGGCTGACCCTTGTCCAGTCATCGTTTTTAACCCTTGATCCCCCAGTCCTAACTCTCCAAAACACACAAGCCACACTGTGGACACATTAAACCTCTTGTAGCACTGAGCATTAGGCCTTTTAAGTCTCTGAGCCTCATTATGAAGAAAGCCTGAACTAGGGGGAGCTGAAGCTGGCATATGTCAGGATGTTTAAACCTGTGGTTCCAATTCCTGGAATTATTTAGCCAGTCCACAAGGAAAGAGGAGGTATAAAGAAGAAAAAGCCCAAGGTGCACGCAACTCTCTGATTAGGGAGGGTTCAGCAGCTGCCATCAACTTTCCTCCTTTATCTCAATTATCAGCATAAACTTGACTGCCACCCACAGCTGTGAGGACTCCTGGGACATGTTTTCTTCTCATTGTCTTTGTGCCTTTCTTCCAGTATGAGAAAAAAAGTTACCAACAGATATTGGGAAATGACTAGCAGTTTCCTTACTCAACTTTTGGGAGGTCAAAGCAGAATATCATAATCAAATGTAAGACTGAGGATTCTGCTAGCCACAGGAGAAAGGACTGGGGGACACATGACATTGAAAAGAGAGCAGCAAGCATTGGGAGATACATTGAGGAGGCAGTGTAAGAGCTAAAGAAAGAAGAAAGAAACATGAAATGTGGCTCAACAGTCAAAGATAGATTTATTTTAGAGAAGTAAACCTGAGAGGGGCTTCTGGTTGATTTCAGTTAGGAGTGCTCTCTCTTTCAGACTAAGAACATAGATTGGTTTTAGGGTGAAGGGGCTTATCACAAGCTTGGAATGTTTCTGTGTGGGGGAGAAGTTTATGGCAGAGTTGGAATGTTTCTGGGAGGAGGGGAGGTTATCCTGTACCTGACATCTTTCCAGCTGGAGGGGAGGTTGTCTCGGAGCTGGCATGTTTCTGGTCAGGGAGGGGTTTGGAATGTTTCTGGTTGGAGATATTATTTGCGGTTTATGGTCATGCTGTCCTTAGCCATAAGGATGATGCCCTTTTGGATTCAGGTTGGTTTTGATCAAGGAAACTTAAAATGGCATACTTGTCCAAGATGGTGATGCTCTTGTTCCATCAGACAAAAGACACAGGGCTGAGTGAGGGACAGGGAAGCACTGTGAGGATGCCCAGGCTTCCACTTTGGCGACCAGGATTGCTTTCTCTTATCTCTTCCTACGTATTCTTCTGGAAATCAACTGCGTTTAAGATAACCAAGGAAAGTAATTGTATTTTCTACCCACGAGCTCATCCTGGTGCTCCTGTGAAGAACTCGCAGCATCACCCAATACCACCATGTTTACCAAGTGCCCTGCCACACACTCTCCAACAGAAACTCAGCCTTGAATTTCTTAATGCCATCTGCAACTCACTGCTTATGAAGGAAATGCTGACGTGCACCCACTTTGTGTCAGACACGACATAAGGGTTTTGCATGGAGTGGTGCACACGAAACACTCTGCACTTAACTTTCTTGAGCTCTATGTCTTCATCCTTATCTCATCAGTTAAAGTAACTCAGCTACCAAATTCATGAGTTTGGTCGCCTCCTGAAGCTGCCTCTGCCTGGCTCCTGGGCCAGTGCTTCTGTTGACTTGTGAACTCAACAGGTGGCTTCTTGGCCTATTGCATGCATTTCCTCAATGGCACTACTTGAACAAGAACCCCCAAATATTGAGGAGTCCAGCAGGGTCAGGCTCAGAGGCTGGACACGGACAATGCTGATGGGTCATCCCTGATGGTAGCTGTGGAACTTATAATGGGGCCATTGAGGATGAGTGAAACCCAGTTGCGAGTTGGAGACTGGTTGTGTAGCTCTTCCCTCCCTCCACCTTGGTTCCTCCCCTTTCCATACAGCCAATGGGAGATTTTTTCCCCTGAAACTCTCATCATTCAGAATCATAGTATTCTGTGTTTATTCAGGGTTGCTCAGATTGGAACTGCTGCCAGAGAGTAGATAAATACATTTATATTAAAATAACTGTGCCTGGTATCGTAGGTTTGGTGCCCCTCCTAAGACAACAGTGTATTAGTCACATTAATAAAACTCTAATGGCTGGGCATGGTGGCTCACGCCTGTAATACCAGCACTTTGGGAGGCCAAGGCAGGTGGATCACGAAGTCAGGAGATTGAGACCATCCTGGCTAACACGGTGAAACCCCGTCTCTACCAAAACACAAAAAAATAGCTGGGCGTGGTGGTGGGCGCCTGTAGTCCCAGCTACCTGGGAGGCTGAGGCAGGAGAATGGTGTGAACCCGGGAGGCAGAGCTTGCTGTGAGCTGAGATCGCACCACTGCACTCCAGCCTGGGCAGCAGAGCGAGGCTCCATCTCAAAATAAATAAATAAAATAATAAATAAATAAAAAATAAAACTCTAATGATAGATTTGCAGAGACTTGAGGAGCTCAGTGGGGAAGCTATCTCATAAAACGCACGTGAGTTGTTTTCACCCATTCCTACTTCTTGCTCTCATCTTTGCAGGTTTCTAACCCTGCTTATTTTATGTACATTTTCTGTATTTACCAGTATTCTCATGCGTTTGTGATGCCAGGCCCAGTGTTCACTCCTAGACAAGATTCTGGTGTTTTTCTCACAGGCTCATTCCCTGGGAGATAGGAGAAACTTCTCTGCTGCCTACGCTGGCCTGCTGGGGATAGAAGGAGGGGATGAGTCCATTCCTTCCAGCTGGGCCAATCACTGAGGACAAGGGGAACAGACAGGACCTGGCCCAAATTGGATGTAGGACCCTTCTCTGTCTCCCGCCCCATGCTACCAGACCCCATTCCCCCAACACACACATCAACTGTGCTTGGATGACACAGCTCTCACATCCTGCCCTGAGGCATACGGTGTACACGCTGCTGTGGCATCCTCTATGGGTCCTGGGCCACTTCAGCATCATCGCAATTCTAGCACGTGGACACTTCCTACCTCAGATACCCATGAGCTCAGCTCCTCTGCCTGAGGCTTTCTTGGGCACCGTTGCAGCTACCTGGGCAGCAGAACGCACGAGCACTCTCATGCACCAGCAGCTAGGAGTGTGGACACTGGGGCTCAGTAAGACAATTCAGGATGTGTTCCACCGAGCTTCTCTGAGGGATCGAGCCCCACGGCCACCCACTGAGGCATGCAATTGGCTCTCTCTCTTTTTCCCAAGGCACACAGTTGGCTCTGTCTTTTACCTGTGCTTCCTGAGATCACTTGGAAACCGCTACCTGCCTCCAAGTCCTTTCATCAGGCGTTTCTCTGGGGGGATCCAACTGAGAAACTTGTGAACCTGTTGAGCAAGCTAAGAAAAGAGTGTCCTATTCTATTAGCTCCCAACCTGTAAATTATGGCAAAGAATAACTGAATAAAAATATATCAAAGGCTGAAGAGTGATTAATGTCTCACACTTGTAAACTACATTTCCAACAAATGTAATTGTGAATAATAAAATTAAAAGTGACTCAAAACATTACTGAATTTATTATGTTTAAGTGGAAACATTTTAAAAGTCTGTATTTTTGTATTTCATATTAAAATTAGAGTTTCTGAGGAACTGCCAAAGTGATTTAATGAGGGAAAAGATAATTTTGTCAACACATGTTCCTGGAACAGGTGGAAAAAATACTATCTACCCTTACCTCAATTCCAAATAGCTCATGAATATAAATATGACAACTTCAATGATGAAGTTTCCAGAAAAAAAACATAAAAGAAAATCCTTATAGGGTAGGCAAAGATTTCATAGGTAAGAACTGAATGATAACAAAGAAAAGGTGTTTACCTTTGTCAAAACTCATCAAACAGTGCAAATAAAAAATTGTAAATTTCATTGTAGATAAATTATACTCAATAAATGTTTTGGATAAAAGTACACTTACTGTTACTTAGTTCACAAAATATTTTCACATCTATGAATATAATTGAGAATGATTCATAGTTCTTTGAAATCTCTTAAAAAGAAACTAAAATGATACTACTAAAAGGACCAGTCCTCACTGGGTCCTGTCCATCTCTCCAGCATCACCTGCTGTTGCATTATTGCTTTTCATATCTGTCTTTCCTAATAGCTACATTGGGAAATATCTAATAAATTTATATTAAAGTAACCTGTATCCTGTGCATTTAGTATGATTCCTGTACACACCAAGTGCTTAGTAAATGCTGAATGACTGAAATCTCATGAATAAGTATTCACATAATAGAATTGCATAATTGGATAGAATTGTCGAGATGCAGGTGCATATCTAATATCTATGCTGACTCAATTGGATGAAAGAATATAGTTCTAAGAGGATGTCCTTTATGAAAAAATGTCAAAGAAGGAAAGATAAAACTATGAGCTTCAATTAATATAGATAACTATTGCAGCATTATCGATAATAATCATGGGAACAACCTGAGTGTTCATCAATAGGTTAGTGGATAAAGAGATGGCAGTATATATGTACAGCGAAATACTATTCAGCCTTACAAAGATGGAGGCTGTACCAGTTGAGACAACATAGATAAACCTGGCAGACATTATGGTAAGCAAAATAAGCCAGACACGGAAAGAAAAACACTGAATGATGTTACTTTTGTGTGCAATCCAAAAAAAAAAAAATGGAATAAATAGGAACAGAGAGTAGAGCAGTGGTTACCAGGGTGAGGAGGGGAGGAAATGGGGATATGGAGATCAGAGAGGACAAACTTGCAGCTGTGCAGGATGAATAAGCCTGGAGATCTACACACAGCATGGGGTCTATGGGTCATAATACTCTATTGGATACTGAAAATTTGCCAAGGGAGTAGATGTTGGGTGTTTTCACTGTGTGCATGCACACACACACACTCACACGCACACACAGTGTCTTCATGAGGTGACAGATATGTTAATTTACTTAATTGTAGAAATCACTTTTTATGTATTTGTAATTGAAACATCATGTTGTATACCTTAAATATATACAAGAATACAGGGACAAATACAAAGAAATTTAAAAGGCTAAATTAATGATTAGTGCTCTGAATCCACATTTTCAGAACAAAAATCTGTGCCCAGTGCCATCAGGTGTTGCTGGTTGGCACAGGGAGTAGAAACAGTGGCATGGCTTCCCATTGAGAGCCTGTGCACTGCTGATGGTGGATAATTAAAAAATTAAAATCAAGACATGGGAGACTATTGCAACTTGGGAATTATTTCTCTTTGTCACTGGGGTTGAGATCCAGGAATTGTGTGATCTCTGCCTGTCAGTCAGTCAGGAGCATTTCCTGGAGGCCTGCTGTGTGGGGAACACTTGATTAGCTACTGTCAATTGGCTCATTTACATATTTATCAGAAATTGAGAGTATCATGCCCTTTTCTATTTGTAAGACAAATAAATCATTTACTTCACAGCCTCATAGAGACACTACTTCAGACCCTGAATATGGGAAGCTGGTTTGTATTTATTAGATAAATATTCTGTATTGGAACAGAATACGAAAGAACAAGTGATTGTTCTGCCCAAATGGCCTGTAAAGTGAATTTCCATGAAGCGACTGGAGAAAATAAAACACAAGACAGAGTTGAGTGGCTGGATTGTTTGACACGGATAAATGCATTTTATATGTAGAGAGGGGAAAAGGCCTCTACTGTACAGGCAGGGGAAGCAGAGGGATTTGTGCGGAGGGGAGAGACTGAGCAAACTTTCTTGTGCTCTCCCTACATGCCTTGTCTCATGCTAGACAATTTGCATCTGTGAGTTAATTGAGTATTTTATATAACAATGCAGTATATCTTGTGAGATGAATATCCCATTTTTAGAGGAAATAAAACTGGGGGTCAGACAGGTTTAAATAAATTTTCTATCATTATTTAGCTAGCAGGAAGCAGTAGCAGCATTTGAATGTGGATCTGTCTATTTTCAACTGGGTGACAATTTTCAATTTGCTGACTAAACAGCCATTAGAATGAAAAACAGGACCACATATCTGGGGAGGCTTGGAAAACACAAAATAAATAAATAAATCAAAATTAGCAGGAAGATAAATTATAGTAGTGGCTGGGTTTGAGCAGTGTTAAAATGAGATTCCATAAGAAGGGAAGGCATCTGTCGAGAGGTGGCCTAGGACTCCAGACTGAAAAAAATTAGATTGGATTTTATAAGCATTAGGAAACTGGAAGTTCCTAATCCAGAGGAATAATAAACTGACCCAGCCAAAGCAATCAGAATTAGTTGAATCAGCACCAATGGATTGATTCTGCATATAATCGAGGGAAAACAAAACTATTTAAGCCATCAGCTAAGTGTTTTCCACTATAAGTTACATAAGCCTAATTGGAAAAGATCATCGGTGTCACTGGTTTATGGTTCCTCCTATAGCTTCCTGATAATAGGAGTTTCACTTTCTCTTTTCCTGGAACGAGGGATTTAATCTTTGATGGGAAAGATCCAGAAGACCTTTGACTCCTAATTTAAATAGCCCCAAATTGGCGGCCATTCATTGTTGGTGGATGTAGCTGCCTTCACAATGGGGCATTTCACAGTCGCTCTCAATAGGGAATTCAGCTTTCTCAGGTCGGGAGAGGATGAATCAGATTGCACACTGCTCAGCAGGCTGAGCACAGCATCATGCCCCAGCTGTCATCCTAAAGAAGACCGGGGTTAGGTACCAATATGCACCAGGAGAGCGAGTTCTCCATTAGCCAGATGGAACTTCAAGCTGTTGCCAGAACTTGCTGTCTTCAACTTACACTGTGAAATGATGCACTGAGAGACAAAGGAGTGTGGAGCATCCGCACGGCCCTCGAGAGTCGAGCCGACCAACTCGATATTGATGTGACTCCCTCCTCCAAGACACGATAAACTTTTACCCAATGGTCTGTGAGGCCACCGCTGGCCATGGTTATCACATTCTGGCCTCCCTTGATTTCATCCGAACAATTTCTGAGTGGGTTGGCAAGACACATTCCCAGCTCTGAGACCCTGGATTGCAGCCAGGGCCATTGAAACTGCACACCCCGCATCTGGCATTCTTCACACATTGACAACAGTAGGAGGCAGGAGCAGCTTCTGTGTGGAATACGGAACCAGGCACCTCTGCGGGCAAGAGTGGGAGAGAAGGCACCGGGACCCGTGATGTGGAGAGCGGGAAGGGGCTTCTGGCTTCTGGGAAACACCAGGACAGCAAGCCCTGGCCTAGTGGGGCCTCTCCAAGGCAGGGTGGCTCGTTGAGTGGCTGTTCATTCCACCTTCCTGGAGCTCAGGGAGCTTGGATCCAGCTGGTGCTGCATGAGCAACCTCACTCTCTCCAGGAGGACCCAGGAAGAAATGGCATGATCTCGGCTCACTGCAAACTCAGCCTCCCGGGTTCACGCCATTCTCCTGCCTCAGCCTCCCAGGTAGCTGGGACGACAGGGGCCAGCCACCACGCCCAGCTAATTTTTTTGTATTTTTAGTAGAGACGGAGTTTCACCGTGTTAGCCAGGATGGTCTCGATCTCCTGACCTCGTGATCCGCCTGCCTCGGCCTCCCAAAGTGCTGGGATTACAGGCCTGAGCCACCGCGCCCGGCCTGACGGAGAGGTCTTTTAGATTCCCTTGTACAAATTAAAAATTAGTCTTAGGATGATGAAGGCCGAGCTCTAGAGAAGCTCTTGTGCACCCAGGTCACATTCTCTTCCATTCTCTCTTTAGGTCTCTCTTTTCCTCCTCTGTCCAACTCCCTCCCTCTCTGAATGTGTCCTTATCTTTCTTCTTTCCCCACTCATGTTTTCCCTAATTTTCTGTTCAACTCCCATTCTTCAGCTCCTATCAGTATGTCCCACAACTGTAATTTCAATCTTCTGTTTTTCTTTTGTATTTTTGACATATTTCAGACTCTTCAAAAACTGGCAAGAATGCTACAGAATTCTTGGATACTCTTTACCCAGGTTACTCAAACGTTAGCACGTTACAGCAATTGCCCTGTCACTCTAGCCTCTCTGTCTCCTACTTTATTTTTCTCTCTCATATACATATGCACATCTGCTTACATAATTTTTTCTGAACTATATATATTACAGTTGCAGACAGTTCATTTACTTCTAATAATTCAGTGTACATTTTCAAATATAGACATTATTTTTATATGCAATGTACAATTATCAAAATTCAAAAAGTAGTGATACTATTGCATTACATAATCAACAGAACTTATTCGGATTTCACCCACTGAAGAGTATAGGCCATTTATTTTTTAGAATCTCTCTCAGTTTGCATTAGTCTAATGTTTCCTTATGATTGCTCAGAATACTTATTTTTTGGCAGGAATACAACAGAGGTGATGCTGAGTTTTTCCTGGTGCACGCTATCAGAAGCCACATGCTGTCAATTAGTCTCCTCACTGGCAATTATAACTTCAGTCTTAACTTCCTTTGACTGAGCGCACCAGACCCACAGGCCCAGGTGACAAGTGAAAAGCTGTCACTCAAACCCCATATCCTCAGAGTGGCATTACTTGACAACCCAATGGAAAGGAGCCTCCGATTCCCATTGCACAGAGAATCACTATGATGGTAACAGATTTCATCTTTTGATAGTACTCATCTCTATCTGAAATTCTCCATTTATTTATTCTGTGTCGGAGAACATGACGTCTGCTCACTCTGTATCCTGAGTGCCCAGACAAGGAATCATTCATAGCAGGTGCTCAATACGTCATCTTGGAGTGAGAGCACCTTGACTACCTCAGCCCAGATGCAACTGAACCCACCAGCTCTTCCTCCTGCTTTCAGGTCCGCTTTGGTTCTTCTTCCCTGCAGTCAGTGCTCTCTCAACACAGGTTTACTATCATTCTAGGAACATGGCATAAAATTTCACACCACCCCTGAGCCTTAAGTTATTCTGGCTGCCTGGAGTGATATTTCCCATTTAACTGCTTGGCAAAGTCCCACTCACTTTTCAAGTTCTAGTGCAAATGTCAATTCTTCTGTGAAGTGAGCCCTAACTCCGCAAGGGAGAATTAATTTCTCTCATCTGCAATCCCATAACAGTTTATACATAATTAGAGTGTAGCATGTCGCCCATAACATACTGTTTAATCGCTAGGTTTCTTCTGAGTTCCTTAAGGTCAGGATTATTGTACATCTCCAACTCCAGCAACAGAAAATAAGCTTTTTTTCTTCTTTTTGCTAATAAAAGCTTCCACCCAGAAAATCAGCGTGGGTCTCCTCCAGTGTCTATGTGTTTTCTCCGGGATAGTCAGGCCAACCATCTCTCTCAGGTTTCTGATGGGATGTGAGCTGGCATTCCCCCACCCAGCCCTACCTTCATGATATCTGCTCCACTATTCTGGTACTGAAGAGAAAATTCCAAATTAGTCACTTTTTGGCTCAATATTTCAAAAACGGCCTCTGAGCAACACTCATTTTTAGCACTATTTATTTTGAGCTAAGGTGCTAATGGATTGAGTAACATGTTTGCCTTTCAGCAGGGGACAGCACGCCTTTACCTCAAAACGAAACTAATGGGGAAGCTTTGGAGGTGAGATGAGGTGCCTTTGAAAATGAGGAAAAACATATTTTAAAAGAAAGAAAATAAATACTCTAGGAATACTCTGAAGTCAGCCTCTGATTAAACTCAGGAATATACATTTCCCCACAGTAGATCAGCCTGGCTATATCAATGATTAAAAAAAAATACCACACACAATAAAAAGTAAAAAAGAATCCCAGCATAGATGACAAATAACGATGGATATTCATGGAGTGTTTGCATTCCTTAGCACCTTATGGTATCCCGAGTTCCCATACCCTCTTTGCCAGTGTTTGAGAGGTAACTATGCTGAAACCCATCCTCCCTGTTACCTAAGGGAGGGAAGGGCTTGTGCATGGGTGTTCATGTATGTTGCTGTACATACTTTGCTACATGAAACATGATGGAGGTCCAAAGGATAATTAAGAGAATGTCTTGGGTGATAAATAAATACATTTAGAAGGTAAGATACAGTTGACCCTAGTGTGTGCCAGGTTTGCTATTAACCAAAGCAACTAGCCTACTAGAGATTACACACGTGCTCTGCAGGTCTTTTTCATATAACAGTTCTTTGTTTAGGAGCTCCTCCCATTTAGGTGCATACTTGAGTTGTTTTTCCTGCTCATGCCTGTATCACTGGAGTCTAATTTCGGTTGTCTCTTCTTACAAGCTGAGGACCCTTTCTCTTCTTCTATAAGACGGGGAGAAAGGAACTGCTCTTACTAGGGACTGCTTAATCTCTGTTAGAATGTTAGAATATAACTGCCTGTTATGCCTGGGTGTAGAAACAGGGACTAGAGCCAAGTTCCAGATAACTAAGGTGAATGTGAAGGGCATGCATTTCCATATATCTGTTTACCTTCTTAAGAAAATGAGATTAGTGTGTAACAATTATCTGTTAGAATGTTTCAGAATGTGATTTCCAAGAGCTCTCTCTCCCATGTGGGGACTCAGTCCAGCCTCCAAACATCTCTTGATAATTAAAAAGTATGTTATCTGTTGCCAGTTTATTATAGCTGAAGTAAACTGAACACCAGTACTCCTAATCCCATCAACCCTGTCTGCAGGAAGCTTGAGGGGTCAGGAACTACTTCTAAAGCAGTGTTCTGGCAGGGCGAGGTGGCTCATGCCTGTAATCTCAGCACTTTGGGAGGCCGAGGTGGGCAGATCACCTGAGGTCAGGAGTTCGAGACCAGCCTGGCCAACATAGTAAAACCCCGTCTCTACTAAAAATACAAAAACTAGCTGGGTGTGGTGGTGCATGCCTGTGATCCCTGCTACTCGGGAGGCTGAGGCAGAAGAATCGCTTGAACCCTGGAGGTGGAGGTTGCAGTGAGCTGAGGTCCTGCCACTGCACTCCAGCCTGGGCAACAGAGGGAGACTCCATCACAAAAACAAACAAACAAACAAACAGACAAACAAACAAACTACTGTTCCAGTGACTCCACACACGCCCTCATCTACTCAGCAGCTGCTCACAGACAATTTCAGACCTGGCCTCCTGAGATCCTAAGGGACTTCTTTTCTACAAGAGGCTGACTTCTGAGTAGAAACCCGCACACATATAACCTACTTCACGTGAGAGGCTGAACAAGAGTCAGTTGTTTACTTTGAAACAGGAACACAAAGTAAATTAAAAAACAAAAACAAACCTTAAAGTGAAGGAAAATTTCACTTTTATTTAAATGAAAAATGAACTTCACTGGCTTGTAAATAAATGATTGTCCATGAGAAAAGAATGGTTGTTGTTTTTAATTGCATAGAAAATTCTGTGAGCTGGCAAACACATGCTCAGAGCGAAAGGTGCTATCAATTGGCTGCTGTGACCAGCACAGAGGGGAATGCTCACTCTGCAGTTATGAGACTGAAGCTGGGTGTGTGCAGACATGTCCAGCTTCACAACGCAAGAAACGCAGAATGTCCCATCATATGCCCGTGAGAAACAGGGCGAGTAATTTTAGAGATTTTATATCCATTTATGATGACCTTTTAGACTGGATTTATTCATGTGGAATTAGAAGAAGGTGAGAAATTTCAACAATAAGTTGAGCTTTTTTTGTACAGCTCTATGGGAAGAGTGTACACTCTCAAAGCTTAGGCATCATATGGACCCGTGTGTACACAGAGCCAGGACCACGTGGAAGAGGGTGGCTGGCTCTCCCCGTCCTGACTGTGGCAGCCCCAAACAAGCCCATATGACTGGAGGAACAAGAAAGTATTTATAATTGCAAGAGGAGTCTTTAAAAACAAGTGATAGTCATAATAAAGATGATACCACAGACTTTTAAAATTAATTTTTCCTCATTGTTCTTTACATAGTTTTATTTCCTTGTGCCCTGAGTTGATTGTTGAATCCCCTTACAGTGTCTTTGCTCTCTCTCTAACTCATCATCTTTCTTTCTGTCTCATTTCCCCCTCTTTTACCAGTGTTGGAAGAATTCCTAACACTGCAAGAAACCCACCTGTAAGAATCTTTTCAGAGATATACACAGTGACTTCTACAGATGTTTTATAATGAGTGATATTTCTTATTTTTTAAAAGATCAAGATTTTTTTTTACAAAAGATTTATTTAAAATTGCCATGATCGGTTTTTGCTTTAGGTGATATGAGAAAATAAGGATCCCAGTTTTCTTTAGAGGAGGACAAGATTTATCTCATGCACACCAGAACATCACAGAACCAGTGTCTTGACTCTTCAGGAGGTGCTCCTTTCTCCAGACTTTTAGTATTAAAAATAATCAAATACTGATACTGTCTTGCAGCACTGAAGCATAAACTTTAAAAATCTTTCTTATTGAAGTCATTATAAATTTCCTCTAAATAACTAAATGCAATATGTGATCCTGGAATTTATCTAGGACTGTGAAAACATTACAATACAGGACTTTATTGGGACAATTGACAAAATTTGATTATAGATTGTAAATTAGATAGTAGTTTTGCATTAATGTTAAATTTGCTGATTTGAATAATTGTCCAGGGATTATGTAAGAGAACATTCTCATTCTTAGGAAAAACACAGTGAAGTATTTAGTGGTAAAGAGACATTTTGTTTTCAACTCATGACAAATGGTTCAAAGAAAAAAGAAAAACTATCATTATACACACGCAGAAAAAAGTTGAGAAATCAGATGGTCAAAATGTAAATAATTGGCAAATCTGAGTAAGCAGTATGAGATTTTTGTACTTTTTTTGTAACTCTTTTGTAAATTAAAATCATATCCAGATAAAGACCAATTTTTTTTTTAAAAAGAAGATAGTCAAGGAGACAGTCTTACCATTTAATCAACAAGTAATACTTAAACGTTTTAAATTTATTTTCTTGGCTATGCCCTCTTTTCTTTTAGAAGCACATTTATAAGTTGGCTAAAAATGTAATTAAAACTGTGTAGAGATGTGCGTGTGTTTTACTCCCTCAAATATTGCATTTAAAAATAATATCTCCCTTTAGAAAGAGCCCTGTTTTGTAGAAATTGTAATAAAAACATTTGGAATAGCATAATATTTTGCCTAAGAATATGTTTTAGTTTTGGTCTTGTGCATCCACCCCCTCTCCCTCTTTTGAGTTGAAGATACATGATTTTGGTGTCTCCTCTGTTCATATTCACAGAGGACAAATAGAATCTCTGGTCCCTTGCATTTTGGCTTTGCAGGTGGTTGCCTATTTAAAGTATTCTAGACCCCACTCAAGACTAAAATGAACCCTCAGCAATCCTTCTCTTGTGGAAATTATGACAATTATTTCAATCATTACAATTTCTTATAAAATTGTATATGCTTTATTTAAAATATGTTTGTGAAGCAGAAAAACATTCTAAAATAACAATTTTCCTGTTGGAGGAAATGACTGGGTCACGATTTGCTATCACTGAACTTACAGCATCCAGATTCAAAATGCAAATTTGGTATTATTTTTTTAATTGGCCACTGATGTTTAGGGTGTGAGCGAGGTCCAGCGAGAGACACAGCTAAACCCTCAAACTGGAATGCGATTTCCCAGCCCTCGTGGGCCCCATCAGCCTACACACATGAAGCTGCTTTCCTCTCGCCTGTGTCCTCCGCAGATGCCTCACAAAATGCAAAGGAACCATCAGCCCATTCGAGGTGTTAGCTTCAGCCTTTGTATAAATTGCCCTGATCTATGTTGCCTTGTGCAGAAAAATAAGTCAACACACTTGCAGGATCAGTCACATGAAAATACCTCCTTGTCCAGGCCTGCTAATCTCTTCTTTCTGTCGCTTGTTGCTTTATTGTCGACTTCAAGTCCTAAATAATATCTTATAAGCAGCACAGACCTTAGTGAAAGCTCTTAATGACTGTGGGGGGAAGGAGTTGGCATTTGAACATGGAGCTATAGTGTTCCCTTTCTTTCTTCCCTTTCTCTCCTCCCCTACCTCTGACTCCCTCCCCCACACCCCCCTTTTTTTTTTTTTTTTTAAGAAATCCACCTTCCTTGCTCAAATTCCAAATCATTGCAAAGTTCAGTGGAGGCTTCTCCTCCTTGCATACCCTTATGATTTCAAAGTGAGACCATCTTAACTGAAAGAGAAAGTTTATTCAGGTGGCATGAATCAGACAAGGGCTCAGTGACGCAAACTGGAGCCGCAGACAGCGGCCGCTGTGTCTCTGGCAGCGCCTCCCTCCTAAAGAAGCATAACAAAACCCCAGAAAAACAGGCCGCCAGTAATCTCCTTGCCTTAGCCAGAAACAGGGGTGACAGAAAGCTGCCCTCTCATTATAGTCTTGGTCTCAAGGTTAGAATTAGACCCTTAGGGTAAGGAGCTGTCAATTAGAGATAACTCCAACCAATGCTGTCTGAAATGGTGGACTTATCTCCTAGCAACTCCCTTCATTCAGGGCACAGCCCCTAGCTCTGCCTGCAGCTCAAGAGTCATCGTGGAGACAGTGAAATAACCTTTTCAGTTTGAACAGATGCCTAAAGAACTCTGCTTCCTGAGTCCTTGATGGAGTCTGGGTGACATTTGCCTGGAAATGGGTTTAAATCTGGAAAGAATTAAGATTCTCTTGTTTTCCAGTTGCAGATGTTTCACTTGGAGGATTTAACAGAAGTATCTGGTGAAACAATCAGAAAATCTGAATTCAATCTGATGCTGAATACCTTTTTCTTCCAGATATGAGTCTGTCATGTTTATGTATAAGCTGACATATTCTCCCTTCACATTGCCTATTTTATGCTTACGAGAAATTTGCCAACAGTTGGGAGTGGAGTGGCTCTGGTTACCACGGGAACTCAGCCTCCCGCTTTATCTCCCATGGCAGGGCATATAGAAAGCCGACAAGCATAAATCCTATTAAGAAAAGCACAGGGTTATGCACCATTGAGGTAGGGTCCATCACAGAATTTACTACTAGAATATATACTTGGTGCAAAAAATAATACGTATTTTCCTTGGAATTGTCTATTCATTAGATTTGGGAATCACATTGTTGATTTTTCTAATCTCAAGCAAGAGTGAAGATGACAAAATACCAGGAGGTTACTAGGGGGTGGAGAAAAAGCAAGCCTTTGATTTTCCACTGGTATCTGCAGTAACAAAAGGATACCTCAGAAATGGTGTAAAAATAGCAGATGCAAAGCATCCAGCCTGCTGCGGGGTGTAAATCAGGCCCTGCTCTTGGAATTAAAGGTTTGGCTTAACAAAGCTCTTTTGTAGGATAACAGCCTCCTGGGCTTCCTGGTGCAAACCCTGAGCACTGGCCATTTTTCCAGAAAGCCTCTCGAAGGACTCACCTCTGTCACTTCCACGGAACAGCATTGCTTCCATGGTTATGAAATTGGGGTATCATCTATGATGCCATATTCACTGAATTTTATATCCACACCTACACTAGCCTGCACTTTATCAGTGAAGTAATTATCTTGTTTGTTTGTTTTTGTATTTAAGTCATTTTCAGGTATATTGGAAACAATAATCATATTGTCAAGAAACCAACAAATTCTGTATCAGGCTAGTTGACTGGTAAGTCGTGGGTCACAGAACAGAACTGCATTCTGGAATAAGTCGGTCTCAGAGCACAAGAATCCAAAACAGCTGTCATGCCAGTTGCTGTGAGTTTATGGACAAGGAGATTGGGTCTTTTTTATGCAGAGTGATAAATAAGATTTCTCCCCCTCCAACCTGAACAGCTTTGCGGTGGATTTATTTGTACCCTCCCTAAATCTCTGCGTGCAGATGAATTGCTCATTAAGCTCAGATGTACTTGTTTTCTTATTACCACTTGTCAACACCACAACACACAGGAAAGGATTTTTGAAAGAGACAGAGAAAGCCGGAGGAACTTTGAATGAATATTTTTTTGTGTGTGCCTGTGAATGGGATGTATTTACAATTCTGCTTTGGTTTATTTTAAAAATCAAGATTTCAGCTTAAGAAAAAAAAAAACTGGCAAATATATCACAAAATATCCAATACCTTAAAATCAAGTTATGAGTAATTTGCAAAAATTAACCTTTTCTCATTAGTGAAAGAAGGAAGCGGGAACAGATTTATAAATTGTTTTCTCAAGGCAGGCACACCTTAGGTTGTTTTCCTTGTGGTTATTTTCACATTAAAATATTGAAATCTACCCATTGTAAATATACACACTGTTAGAGCATTGTTACAAATACTTTCTTAAAAATTGCAAATTCTCTCTAGTATGGAGAATATTCCTGCATTTGTAACATGCTAGTTGGCATGAAGTTTGAATAAAGTAACAAAAAATTACCTTAAAAGAAAAAAAAAAAAGAACTATAAGCAGCCATCACAATTTACTTTAGCAAGCGGCAGCTTGGTAATGTCCCCAGGATGCTTATGGGAACTGTCACTGGTGTTCCCTAGGAGATGACTGAAGTTAACCTTTTCACTGCTGTAGGAATTGAATGGATTCTCCCAGCATCATCTTAAAGTCGACAGGTCTGCCTACATCTCATTAACCTGTGGCCAAGAGCCTCTGTTTCAAAGGGCTTTTGGTTGGTAAGAAGGGTCAAAGCTCGGACTGTATCTTGATGCAAATTCGAGTCCTCCTAATGCTTTCTGGGTACCTTGTCATACTAGGCTCTTATGGTTTGATTTTGCATATACAACAATGCATCTCACGGTGGCCAGCATAGGACTGCTCTCTCCTTTCCCACCCAGTTTCAGTGGAGAAATGGAAGTCTCCAGGCTTCCAAGATATATATGGTCACTGACTATACTTCCAGAACTGGGTTCAAGAAATGCAGGGTTTAATTTTTTTTTTCAGTATATTGTTATTTTAAAAATGTCACTTTGAAAAGCTACGTATTGCTTTCTAACTATTCATACTGCCTTGGATTTGTATGTATCCTTGTCCTAAAACAGTATTTCTTTACGTGTTCCATCTATAGTTCTCCAATAAATATGTGTTCAAGGGTAGTTGGTGAGGAAAGGTGATGGCCCCATACGGCATTGATCCAAGAGTGGGAAGACCCAAAATTCTTTTCCAGCTTCATGTTTACTAATTGACCTCGAGTAAGTCACAGCTTCATTGGACCTCAGTTTCTTCATGGAGACTCAAGTGAAATAAAGCATTTGAAAGGGGTTATAAACTCTAAACTATTAATCAAATATTATCACTATTTCCATATTTTTATCTCAATCTTGCAAGATATTAAAAATTATTTCCTAATGGTATTTGATAGAATTGTCAATCTTAAAAAGCAGAAAAAGTAGTATTTATTTGGTTTTACTTCTGACTACCCTTAAATTTATCTCCAGCAATCCAAGAAGCATCCCTTACTTACCACGCTTAATTAGGATAATTTTCTAATTTTGTAAATGTTAGTGTTCTGTATCTTGTAGATTTTTGTTACCCAAGGAAGGTCCCTAAGATAATTCATGGAGTGGTATCCTATGAGAAAAAAAAAGAACATTTTTAATATTTTGCCTGCTTGAACCATAAACCCTATAGCCTTTTTTTTTTTTCTTCTTGCCATCCTGGGA